>NC_000024.10:13502766-14112314 GCF_000001405.40 Homo sapiens
ACTGGTGCTGGGAGACTTGAAGATAGGCCAAACCACTAAATCCCTTGAAGACATTCCCAGCACCACTATAGTGCCTAGTGCCTATACTATTTCTCTTCTGAGTAATAATAATCACTGTAGCCTGGCTTTCAGGAATTCCTACTTTTAGGGTCAGGAGGAGAGCTCCACATCAAGGGAACACCCCATGAGACAAAAGAATCTGGATGGCAGGACTTGATTCTCAGATCTTTCTGCTGATGGAAGTTTCTTACAGCAGAGACACCATTTCAGGTCTCGGAATAGAATGGAAACTCTGCTCCTCTACCCCAACAGGCAGACAGCCTTCATGCTTGTGAAGGGTCTTAGAGAAGGAGTCTTTGTTCCCCTCTTGTCCATCACTGCAGACGCAGCTGGGGATTCTCCCATGAGAAGTCAGCAGGGCTGCACTTAGAGGCAGCCATGTAGGAACAATACAGATTAATGCATGCCCACAGGAGAAGCACTCTCCAGATTCAAGCTTCCACAAGATGCAGAGTCACAATTCCTCTCTATCTGGAACATCAACATCCCTACAAATAAAAAGAGGTTATTTTCTGGTGTGAATAGCCAGAACACTGGGACAGAGGTGAAGCTGAGAGGTGAATAAGTTTCCTGCTTGTATAGTGAGGGAGCTGAAGTAACTTCTACCCTTCAGCTTGATAAAACTTAGTGCAACTAATTGGGAGCTCCCACAACCACCTTCATCAAGTCTGGGACCTCTGCACAGCATGCAGTATTCTGTCTCCCAACCTGCTTTAGCTACAATTGGTTCCTACCAAGGTGTACCTCCCTTTCTGGCCTGAAGCCTGAATCACCAAGTCAGTAAAGAAAATAATAGAGAAAAATTGAATCACTAAAAAAGTACATACAACAGGGGAATGAGATAAGCTTCAAGAAACACTTGCCATTCCAGCTTCATAGAAGACAGCAAACTGGCCCACACACTGAATAAGTACATAAATACTACAACCACAATCTGAGGAAGCCAGCACACAAAGACACTCTATAATCAAGAAACTTAAACGGAATCTTTACCCCTGAAATTGTCAAATTAGGCTATAACAAACTATAAACATTAGAGTTATATCCTTGAAATGGAAAAAAAGAAGTTAAAAAAATCAAATTAAAAATAAATTCAGGAACAATGTGAAGAAATAATCTACTCAAATGAGAAGAAAACAGAAAAGGAATTCTAGTAATATAACAAAACAGGGTTTCACAACACCCCCAAAATATCACACTAGCTCCTCAACGATGGATTCAAGCCAAGAAGACATCTTTGAAATATCAGATAAAGAATTCAGACAGTTGATTATTTAGCTACTCAAGAAGACATCAGAGACAGGTAAAAACAAAAAGAAAATTTAAAACCAAGTCAGGATGTGAAAAAATTTTTTCCAGCAATATTTACCATTAAAACCTATCAAAATTTCTGGAAATAAAAGGCACTTAGGGAAAGAAAAATGCAGTGGAAAGTTTCAGGAATAGACTACAACCCATACAAGAAAGAATTTCAGAGCTCAAAGACAAGGCTTTCAAATTAACTTAATCAGATAAAAACTAAAGGAAAAAGAATCAAAAGAAGTGAACAAAGTTTTCAAGAAATATGGTTAATGTAAAATGGGCAAACCTAAGAATAATTGGTGTTCCTGAGGGAGAAGAGAAGGGTAAAAGTTTGGAAAACTTATTCAAGGAACTAATTATTACATGGCTTTGCTAGAGATTTAGATATTCAAATATAAGAAGCCCAAAAAACTGCTGGGAGATCCATTGCAAAAAGATCATTACCAAGGCATGTAGTCATCAGGCTATATAAAGTCAACATGAAGAAAAGAATTCTAAGTGCTGTGAGACAAAAGCATCAAGTTACCTATAAATAAAAAGCTATCAGACTAACAGCAGACTTTAGAGCAGAAATACAAGTTAGAAAGGATTGGGGTTCTATTTTTAATCTCTTTTTTTCTTTTTTTGAGGTGGAGTCTCAGTCAGTCACCCAGGCTGGAATGCAGTGGTGCGATCTCGGCGCACTGCAAGCCTAGCCTACTGGGTTCATGCCATTCTCCTACCTCAGCCTCCCGAGTAGCTGGGACTACAGGCGCCCGCCACCATGCCTGGCTAATTTTTTTGTATTTTTAGTAGAGACAGGGTTTCACCATGTTAGACAGGATGGTCTCGATCTCCTGACCTCATGGTCCACCCGTCTCGGTCTCCCAGAGTGCTGGGATTACAGGCCTAAGCCACCACGCCCAGACTCTATTTTTAACCTTGTTAAACAGAGTAATCATCAACCAAGAATTTTATGTCCAGCAAAACCAAGTTTCATAAATGAAGCAGAAATAAAGCCTTTTTCAGACAAATGCTGAGGAAATTTGCCATTACCAAGCCAGGACTACAAGAAATGCAAAAAAAAAAACCAACCAACCAAACAAAAAAAACAGTTCTAAATCTTGAAACAAAAGCTTGACATGCATCAAAATATGACCCCTGAAAGCGTAAAACTCACACTCCCTATAAAAATAATAGTGAAAAAAACAAGGTTCTAGGTAATAATTAATGACTAAACTGATGCATAAAAGAGTTCCTCACATCTCAGCATTAATGTTGAATGTAAATGGCTTAAATGCTATGCTTAAAAGATACAGAATGGCAGAATGTATTAAACCACCAACCATATATCTGCTGTTTTCAGCAGGCTCACATAACTAATAAGGATTTATGTAAACTCCAAATAAGGGAGTGGAAACTAGCATTCCATACAAATGGAAAATAAATGTGACCAGAGTGTTTATTCTTACATCAAACAAACCACACTTTAAAGTAACAACAGTTAAAAAGGACAAAGGACATTAGTAATGGTAAAAGGATTAGTCTATCAAGAAGATATTATACTCCTAACACTGGAGTTCCCAGATTCATAAAACAATTTCTACTAGACGTAAGAAATAAGATAGCAACACAATAATAGTGGGGGATTTCATACTCCACTGTCAGCACTACACAGGTCATCAAGATAGGAAATCAATCTAGAAAAAATAGAATGAAATTATATCCTAGAGGAAATTGACTTAGCAGATATTTACAGAACATTCTTCACAACAACTGCAAAATATATATTCTTCTCATCATCACATGGAACATTCTCCAAGATAGATGATATGATGGGCCACAAAACAAGTCTCAATAAATTTAAGAAAATCAAAATCTATATTAAGTATTTTCTCAGACTGTAGTGGGATAAAACTGAAACAACTTCAGAGGGAACCCTCAAAACTATAGAAATACATGGAAATTAAATAACCTGCTTCTGAATAATTTTGGGGTTAACAATAAAACCAAGATGAAAATTTACAGAATTTTTTGAAATGAATGATAACATTGACTAAATTTATTGACACCTCCAGGACAGAGTAAAAGTAATGACAACAGAAAAGTTCAGAGTGTTAAATGATGACATCAGAAAGTCTTAAAGAGTACAAAGTGACAGTCTCAAGGAACTAGAAAAACAAGGAAAAATCAAACCTATGTCAGCAGATCGAAATAAATAACATTTAGAGCAAAACTAAATGAAATTGCAACAAAAAATACAAAATATAAATGAGACAAAATGCTGGTTCTTTGAAAACATAAATAAAATTGATAGACCATTAGTGAGATTAACCAAGAAAAGAAGAGAGAGAATTCAAATAGTTTAATTAGAAATGAAATGAGAGATAGTACAATGAACACCATAGAAGTAAAAAAGATCATTCAATGCTATGAATACCTTTACTTACACAAACTAGAAAACCTAGAGGACATGTATGAATTCCTGGAAACATACAACCCTCCTGGATTAAATCAGAAAGAAATAGAAACCTTGAATAGACTAATAACAAGCAGTGACATTGAGTCAGTAATTTAAAAAATTGCCAACAAAAAAGTCCAGGGTCAGCTGGATTCACAGATGAATTATATTAGACACATTCCAAGAAGAATTCACACCAATCCTACTGAAATTATTACAAAAGACAGATAAAGATGGAATCCTCCCTAAACTATTAAAAAAAAGTATCATCCTAATACCAACATCACGAAAGGACAAAACAGCAACAAATAAGATAAAATTTAGAAACCACTACAGACAAATATCCTGGATGAACAAAGTTGAAAAAATCTTCAATAAAATACTAATGCAACAGAATGCTGAAAAGATAATACAGCATGCAAGAGAACATTAAAAGATAATACCAAATGCCACAGAACATTGATAAGATAATACATCATGATCAATTGGGTTTCATCCCAGGGATGCAGGGATGGTTTAACATATGCAAGTAAATAAAGGTGATACATCACACAAACAGAATTAAAAACAAAAACTACATGATCATCTAAATAGATGCAAAAAATTATTTTATAAAATCCAGCATCCTTTCATGATTTAAAACTGTCAACATAATAGGCATAGAAGGGACTTGCATCAAGGTAAGAAAAGCCATATGTGACAAGCCCACAGCCAACATTATACTGAATAGATAAAAGTTGAAAGAATCCCGGCTGAGAACTGGAGCAAGACAAGGATGCCTACTTTCATCACTTCTATTCAACATATTACTGGAAGTTCTAGCCAGAATAATCAGGCAAGAGAAAGAAATAGAGGACATCCAAATCGGTGAAGAGGACCTAAGACTTGCTGTTCACCAATAATATAATTGTATACCTAGAAAACCCTAAGGAGTCATCCAGAAAGCTCATAAATCTGATAAACTAATTCAGTAAAGTGTCAGGATACAAAATCAATGTATACAAATTAGTCGCACTCCTATACACCAACAATGACCAAGTTGAGAATCAAATTAAGAACTCAGTCCCCTTTACAACAACTGCAGAAAAAAAAACCTAGGAATATACTTAATCAAGGAGGTGAAAGATTTCTACAAAGAAAACTACAAAACACTGCTAAAAGAAATCACAGATGACACAAACACAGGGAAACACATCCCATGCTTGCGGATGGGAAGAATCAATTTGTAAACATGAACATAGTGCCTAAAGCAATCTATACATTCTATTTAATTTCCATCAAAATGCCATTACCATTTTTCACAGAACTGGAAAAAAATCATAAAATTCATATGGAATCAAAAAAGAGCCTGTATAGGCAAAACAATACTAAGCAAAAAGAGTAGATCTGGAGGCATCACATTACCAGACTTCAAATTATGTTACAAGGTTCTGGTAGCCAAAACAGCAAGATACTGGTATAAAAATATGCACTTTGATTAATTGAACAGACTAGAGAACCCAGAAATAAAGCCAGATACTTACAGACAACTGATCTTTGACTAAACATACAAAAATATATAAATTGGGAACAGGACACCCCATTCAATAAATAGTGCTGGGAAAATGGGAAGCCACATGTAGAAACAATGAAACTGTTTCTCCATCTCTCACCTTATACAAAAACTCACTCAAGATGAACCAAAAACTTAAACTTTGGCCTGAAGCCATAAGAATTCTATAATATAAAACTGAAAAATCTCTTCTGGACATTGGCTTAGGCAAGGAATTCGTGACTAAGACTCCCAAAGCAAAGGCAACAAATACACAAATGAATACATGAGACCTAATTAAACTAAAAAGCTTCTGCAGAGCAAAAGAAATAATCAGCAAAGTAAATAGACAACCCACAGAATAGGAGAAAATATTCACAAACTATACTTCTGACAAAGGACTAATATCTAGAATCTACAAGGAACTCAAACAAATCAGTAAGAAGAAAACAATCCTATAATAAAGTGGGCAAAGGACATGCATAAACATTACTCAAAAGAAGATATACAGAAGAACTATAAACATATGAAAAATGCTCTATATCACTAGTTATTGGGGAAATGCAAATCCAAACCACAGTGAGATACCATTGTACTGCAATAATGGCCATAGTTTAAATTTTTTTTTTAAAAAATAGAAGTTGGTATGAATATAGTGAAAAAGGGCACACACACTTTTACACTGCTGGTGGGAATCTAAATTAGCAAACTACTGCAACCACTATGGAAAATAGTATGGCAATTCCTTAAAGATCTAAAAGTAGATCTGTCATTTGATTTAGCAGTCCCACTACTGAGTATCTCCTCAAAGAAAAACATCATTACATGAAAAAGGCACATGTAGGTACATATTTATTGCAGCACAATTTGCAACTGTAAATGTATGGAAGCATCCTAAGCACCCATTGACCAATGAGAGGTTAAATAAAATGTGTATATGCACTCTGAAATACTATTCAGTCATAAAGAGAAATGAAATGATGTCTTTTGCAGCAATTTGGATAGAGGTGGAGGCCACTATTATAAGTGAAGTAATTCAGGAATGGAAGGCCAAATACCTATGTTCTCTCTTATAGGTAGGAGCTACGCTTTGAGGATCTGAAAACATACAGAGCAATATGGTGAACTTTGGGGACTCAGCAAGGAGTTTGGCAGGGAGTGAGGAATAAAAGACTACACACTGGGCACAGTGTATACTGCTTTGGTGACAGGGGCACTAAAATCTCAGACTTCACTACTATATAATTCATCCGTGCAACCAAAAACCATTTGTACCCCAAAAACTATTGGAAAAAAAATTAATTAAAAAAAAAAGAAAAGAAAATGCTGACACCTGAACTACAGAACAGAAGGCAACTGGCCTGATTCTTGGGTTACTTTGTGAGAGTTTTGCCATATGGACATTAGATCTCCTTTTGTCAATATCCTGTTAAAAGAGGTCCTGCAATTGCTGGCAATTATAGTCTTACAATTTAATATTTGTTTGTTTCTGGGGTTATTTTGCTGTTCCATTGTATTCAGTCATCACGGTGAAATTTACAGCACTGCTTTTCTATCAGCATCACTATGTATTCTGGTCCTCTTTTCTTTAATGACATTTTTCTTAGGCTGTATGACTATATGATCCTAATAAACTTAACTGAACTATGCTGGGGTAAGTGTTGGTTGAATTGCAATCTTCTTTTCATACTCTCTGCCTTTTGAATTAACTTTGTAAAGCTCAAAGAAAAATATGAAACACCCCAAGCCCTAAATGGATTGGTACAGAGATCCAATTACCTGGTTTTTAAAAACCCAACATATTTATTATGGAAAATAGTAGCAAGAAATCTCGCTACTATTTTCCATAACTAAAATTTTTCAAACTAAAAATGAAACTGTCATATGACTTCTGTAAACCCAGTACTAAGTCTATATTCAAAGGAAGTAAAATCAGTATTTGCAGAGATATCTGTACTTTTATGCTCACTGCCATATTATTCACAATGGCCAAGGTATGGAATCATCCTAAGTGTCCATCTGTGGGTAAATGATTAAAGAAAATGTGGTATGTTTATGCACACCGAGTGAATTTGAACCTGGAAGACATTAACAGTGAGATAAGCCAAGCACAGAAAAAAAGAAAAAAGAAAAACTCATTATCTTCCTCATAAGTGGAATCTAAAATAATTGATCTCATAGAAGTTGAGAATAGGTCCAAGAGCAGTGGCTCACACTTGTAATCCCAGCTCTTTGGGACACCGAGGCAGGCAGATCACCTGAGGTCAGGATTTTGAGAGCAGCCTGATCAACCTGGTGAAACCCCAACTCTGCTAAACATATAAAATTAGGCCGGGCGCAGTGGCTCATGCCTGTAATCTCAGCACTTTGGGAGGCTGAGGTGGGCGGATCACGAGTAAGGAGTTCAAGCCCAGCTTGGCCAATATAGTGAAACCCTGTCTTTACCATCTCTACTAAAAAATACAAAAATCAGCTGGGTGTGGTGGCGGGTGCCTGTAATCCCAGCTACTCGGGAGGCTGAGACAGGAGAATCATTTGAGCCCAGGAGGTGGAGGTTGCAGTGAGCCGAGATCATGCCATTGCACTCCAGCCTGGGGGACAGGATGAGCCTCCATCTCAAAAAAAAAAAAAAAAGATTACAAAATACAAAATTAGCCAGGCATGGTGGCTTGCACCTGTAATGCCAGCTACTCGAGAGGCTGAGGCAGATGAATTACTTGAACCCAGGAGGTGGAGGTTGCAATGAACTGAGATCATGCCACTGCACTCCAGCCTGGGCGACAGAGTGAGACTCATCTCAAAAAAAAATATATATATGGATATAGTGGTTGCCAAGGACTGGCAGATGGAGCAGGAGGTTGTGGGAGATGTTGGTTAAAGGACACAAAATTTAAGATACAAGAAGTAAGTTAAAGAGATTTATTGTACAACATGATGACTATAATTCATAACATAGTCTTGAAAAATGTTGAGAGATTTCAAATGTTATGGCCAAAAATTATTAATTTGTGAGGTAGTTCATGTTAACTAGCTAGATTTAACCATTCTATAATGTGTATACATATATATATACTTCAAAACATCATATTATATACATAATAAACATATGTAATTTTATCCATGAATTAAAAAATGCGTAAAGGATTATCCTCTCTTCCCATATACATAACTATATTATTAATAAAATTAAATGTAAATTTTTTTTTTTGAGACACAGTCTCATTTGTCGCCCTGGCTGGAGTGCAGTGGTGCCATATCAACTCACTGCAACTTCCGTCTCCTGAGTTCAAGCGATTCTCCTGACTCAGCCTCCTGAGTAGCTGGGACTACAGGCATGTGCCACCATGACCAGCTAATTTTTTATATTTTTTGGTAGAGATGAGGTTTCACCATGTTAGCCAGGATGGTCTTGATCTCCTGACCTTGTGATCCACCCACCTCTGTCTCCCAAAGTGCTGGGATTACAGGCATGAGCCACTGCACTCTGCCAAATGTAAATTTTTATATTTTGTGATATAACATTTTATACTGCATGATAGAGGTATATGTACAAAAATTCAACATATCGATGTATGCAGAAAAAGCATTTGACATGAGGCAACCCTTATTCAGAATGAAAATATTAAGCAAACTAGGAACTAACAATTTTTTTCAACTTTATAAAGAACACCCATAAAAACTTACAGCTAACATCATAATGGTAAAAAACAAAATGCTTTTCCCCTAAAATTGAGTACAAGACAAAGATCTCCCCTTTAACTACTTCTGTCAACATTGTACCAGAACTCTGAGCTAATGCAATAAGACATGACAAGGAAATAAAAATATGAAAATTGGGAGGAAGGGAATAAAACTCTCATTGTGTACAGATGCAAAGTCTATAAAAATGAATTGTCAAAAATACTTCTGAAACTAAGCAGTAATTACAGGAAGGATGCAGGATACAGTTAATATATTAAAATCATTGCTTCCATGTACAAGAATGAAAATTGGAAAATTAAATTAAATATCACTGAGTGGAACTAGACATCAGCAAGAAGGTGGAATAAGATTTCCAAGCACTAACTTCTCTGCAGGACATCAATTTTAATGACTATCTACGTACATTTTCATATATGTACACCTTCAAAGGTGCATAAGAAACCAGGTGAGAGATGATAGCACCTGGGTATAGCACAGAAGTAAAAACAGATGCATTAAAGAGGGTAGAAAGAAAGCTTTACCATCCCCTACGAGTTAGCAGAGTGTGGAGAGAGATGCTCATTGCTTAGGGAATGGAGAGGAAAATGTGCACTGAAATTTGCCTCAGACTCCAACACTAGGCCTACCCTTAGTAAAACCCAGTGCAAGACAGGCCCCAACATCCCCAGGCTCCAGGCTGGTACCTGGAGACCTGAATGCTGGGATCTTCAAGCCTGCTTCCCTTGCCAAGCAGAATTCCACAGCCCTAGGCTCCCAGGACTGCTTGTTCTACTTCCAGACCACCTTAGTGCCAGGTTTACCATAGACACCCCAGGCTCTTGAGCATTCCCAGCACCACAATGACACCCATGGCTGCAGGCCTCAAGCCCACCGCAACACCAGCTGGGCCTTAACAACCCCAGTCATTACATGAAAACCCAAGAACCAAGCTTCCAAACCAGCCCATGTTGATATAAGCTCCAGGGCCTCCCAGGACATGGCAAGTTTGTGTGGCCTTAGTCCCTTACCTACGGGGTGACCCTCCAAGCTCATCCAGGTACCAGGTGGGACCTGATAGCCCCTCCTTCCATAAATGTGTCCCAGCCCCAGCCTAGCCCCATTAGACTGAAGTTCTGGGCCTTTATCAATCCTAAACCATCTCCAGCAGCTTAAGTTCTGGAATGCCCTTAGCCCCAGTGTGGCTTCCACAGCCCTAGTAATCAGGTCAATACCCACAGACCCAGACTCCAGACTGACCCAAACCCAGGCTCTGGGCCCATACCAGGTTTCTGACCAGCTCTGAGCCAGGTTGGCCTGCGCAGCCCAACCTCCAAGACTTCTAATGTCTACCTAGTTCCCATGGCTGCACCCTCTAGCCTTGCCTCTGCAGACCCACACTCCAGCAGACTTATTGTTCATGTGCTTTCAAATAGACCTCAGCTCTGGACCAGCCCCCAGGTTTCAGGCTGGACCCTCGGCCCCAGAATCCAAGTCAGCCCTCACAGATCTGTCCTCTAGATTAGGACCCACACATTCAGTCTCCAGCTTTGCCCAGGGGACTCAAGGTTTATGTTCATTCCCATGGCTCCAGGAACCAAGTAAGTACAGGCAATCTCAATTTCCAAGCTAGCCCCAATATCCCTAGGCTGCACAGGTGCCACAATGCCAGGCCAGACTCAGGTTCAGGCCAGTCTCCAGAGGACTCAGGATGCAGACCTGATCTTACAGACCCAGCGACAAGGCCTGATCCAGCAAATCCCAGTGTTAAGCTGTGTCTCACAGGCTGAGGCTCCAAAATTAGCCCTGTCAATCCTTCAGAAATGAAGGGGAGAAAAAGGCTACCAAACAAAAGGTGAGGGAGCTCGTCACCACCAGACAATGAGAAATGCCAGGAAAAACTTCAAGCTGAAAATTTAAAACAAAACTATTAACAAAAAAAATGTGAAAATATAAAACTTACTGGACACTCGAATATCATAACAGTTTAAATATTTGGTATAAAGATGAAAAGACAAAACTATTTAAAATAATAATAGCTACAATAATTTGTTAGGGAACACTCAATGTAAAAAGATGCAAAATACTCACCAGAAGCAAAATGTTAGGGGTGGAGTAAAAATGTTCATTTTCTTAATGCCTTCAAAGTTAAGTTGCTGTCAGCTTAAAATGGACTGTTTTAACCATGTTTTAGGAAAGTCTCATGATAACTACGAAACAAGAAGTACAGTACATGCACAAAAGATAAAAAGTAAGGAATAAAATGGTACTACCTGAGGAAACCCAATCACCAAAGGGTTTGAGAGAGGAGGAAAGCAATAAAGGGTCTATAGAATAATTTAAAAAAAACCCTAAATGACAGTAGTAAATTCTTATTTATTAATAATTTCCTTGCACATAGATAGACTAAAATCTCCAGTCAATAAACATACAATGAAATACAAATAAACAATGACATAACTATACACTGCCTATGACAGACTCACTTCCCCTTTAATGACAATATCAATCTAAATAACACACACAGAGAGATGCTAAATCATACAGTGCTATAGCAACCTATGGACATATTCAAAGAGTTAAGGGAAAAAGGAATTTTTAAGGGAAAATACTAAGATTACATAATACATTTTATTTATTTATTTATTTATTTATTTATTTTATTATACTTTAAGTTCTAGGGTATGTGTGCACAACGTGCAGGTTTGTTACATATGTATACATGTGCCATGTTGCTGTGCTGCATCCATTAACTTGTCATTTACATTAGATGTATCTCCTAATGCTATCCTTCCCCTCTCTGCCCACCCCATGACAGGCCCCATTGTATGATCTTCCCCACCCTGTGTCCAAGTGTTCTTATTGTTCACTTCCCACCTGTGAGTGAGAACATGCGGTGTTTGGTTTTCTGTCCTTGCGATAGTTTGCTCAGAATGATGGTTTTCAGATTCATCCATGTCCCTGCAAAGGACATGAACTCATCCTTTTTTGATGGCTTCATAGCATTTCATGGTGTATATGTGCCACATTTTCTTAATCCAGTCTATCATTGTTGGACATTTGGGTTGGTTCCAAGTCTTTGCTATTGTGAATAGTGTCTCAATAAACTTACGTGTGCATGTGTCTTTATAGCAGCGTGATTTACAATCCTTTGGGTATATACCCAGTAATGGGATGGCTGGGTCAAATGGTATTTCTAGTTCTAGATCCCTGAGGAATCGCCACACTGTCTTCCACAATGGTTGAACTAGTTTACAGTCCCACCAACAGTGTAAAAGTGTTCCTATTTCTCCCCATCCTCTCCAGCACCTGTTGTTTCCTGACTTTTTAATGATCACCATTCTAATTGGTGTGAGATGGTATCTCATGGTGGTTTTGATTTGCATTTCTCTGATGGCCAGTGATGATGACCATTTTTTCATGTGTCTGTTGCCTGCATAAATGTCTTCTTTTGAGAAGTGTCCGTTCCTGTCCTTTGCCCACTTTTTGATGGGGTTGTTTCACTTTTTTCTTGTAAATTTGTTTAAGTTCTTTGTAGATTCTGGATATTAGCCCTTTGCCAGATGGGCAGATTGTAAAAATTTTCTCCCATTCTGTAGCTTGCCTGTTCACTCTGATGGTGTGCACTCTTTTGCTGTGCAGTAGCTCTTTAGTTTAATTAGATCCATTTGTCAATTTTGGCTTTTGTTACCATTGCTTTTGGTGGTTTAGTCATGAAGTCCTTGCCCATGCCTGTGTCCTGAATGGTATTGCCTAGGTTTTCTTCTAGGGTTTTTATACTTTTAGGTCTAACATTTAAGTCTTTAATCCATCTTAAATTAATCTTTGCATAAGGTGTAAGGAAAGGATCCAGTTTCAGCTTTCTATATGTGGCTAGCCAGTTTCCCCAGCACTATTTATTAAATAGGGAATCCTTTCCCCATTTCTTGTTTTTGTCAGGTTTGTCAAAGATCAGATGGTTGTAGATGTGTGGTATTATTTCTGAGAGCTCTGTTGTGTTCCATTGGTCTATATCTCTGTTTTGGTACCAGTACCATGCTGTTTTAGTTACTGTAGCCTTGTACTATAGTTTGAAGTCAGGTAGCATGATGCCTCCAGCTTTGTTGTTTTTGCTTAGGATTGTCTTGGCAATGCGGGCCCTTTTTTGGTTCCATATGAACTTTAAAGTAGTTTTTTCCAGTTTTATGAAGAAAGTCTTTGGTAGCTTGATGGGGATGGCATTGAATTTATAAATTACCTTAGGCAGTATGGCCATTTTCACGATATTGATTCTTCCTATCCATGAGCATGGAATGTTCTTCCATTTGTTTGTGTCCTCTTTTATTTCTTGAGCAGTGGTTTGTAGTTCTCCTTGAAGAGGTCCTTCACATCCCTTGCAAGATGGATTACTATGTATTTTATTCTCTTTGAAGTGATTGTGAATGGGAGTTCACTCATGATTTGGCTCTCTGTTTGACTGTTATTAATGTATAGGAATGCTTGCAATTTGCAATTTTTGCACATTGATTTTGCATCCTGAGACTTTGCTGAACTTGCTTAGCAGCTTAAGGAGATTTTGGGCTGAGATGATGGGGTTTTCTAAATAAACTGTCATGTCATCTGCAAAGAGGGACAATTTGACTTCCTCTTTTCCTAATTGAATACCCTTTATTTCTTTCTCCTGCCTGATTGCCCTGGCCAGAACTTCCGACACTATGTTGAATAGGAGTGGTGAGAGAGAGCATCCCTGTCTTGTGCCAGTTTTCAAAGGGAATGCTTCTAGTTTTTGCCCATTCAGTATGATATTGGCTGTGGTTTGTAATAAATAACTCTTATTATTTTGAGATATGTCCCATTAATACCTAGTTTATTGAGAGTTTTTAGTATGAAGTGCTGTTGAATTTTGTCGAAGGCCTTTTCTGCATCTATTGAGATAATCATGTGGTTTTTACCTTTCTTTCTGTTTATATGATGGATTATGTTTATCGATTTGTGTATGTTGAACCAGCCTTACATCCCAGGGATGAAGCCAACTTAAGCATGGTGGATAAGCTTTTTGATGTGCTACTGGATTCAGTTTGCCACTATTTTATTGAGGATTTTTGCATCGATGCTCATCAGGGATATTGGTCTAAAATTCTCTTCTTTTGTTGTGTCTCTGTCAGGATTTGGTATCAGGATGATGCTGGCCTCATAAAATGAGTTTTTTTGATTGGAGTAGTTTCAGAAGGAATGGTACCAGCTCTTCTTTGTACCTCTGGTAGAATTCGGCTGTGAATCCATCTGGTCCTGGACTTTTTTTGGTTGGTAAGCTATTAATTATTGCTTCAATTTCAGAGCCTGTTATTGGTCTATTCAGAGATTCAACTTCTTTCTGGTTTAGTCTTGGGAGGATGTATGTGTCGAGGAGTTTATCCATTTCCTCTAGATTTTCTAGTTTATTTGCGTAGATGTGTTTATAGTATTCTCTGATGGTAGTTTGTATTTCTGTGGGATCGGTGGTGATATCCCCTTTATCATTTTTTATTGCATCTATTTGATTCTTCTCTCTTTTCTTCTTTATTAGTCTTGCTAGCAGTCTATCATTTTGTTGATCTTTTCAAAAAACCAGCTCCTGGATTTATTAATTTTTTGAAGAGTTTTTTGTGTCTCTAGTTCCTTCATTTCTGCTCTGATCTTAGTTATTTCTTGCCTTCTCCTAACTTTTGAATGTGTTTGCTCATGCTTTTCTAGTTCTTTTCATTGTCATATTAGGGTGTCAATTTTAGATCTTTCCTGCTTTCTCTTGTGGGCCTTTAGTGCTACAAATTTCCCTCTACACACTGCTTTGAATGTGTCCCAGAGATTCTGGTATGTTGTGTCTTTGTTCTCATTGGTTTCAAAGAACATCTTTATTTCTGCCTTCATTTTATTATTTACCCAGTAGTCATTCAGGAGCAGGTTGTTCAGTTTCCATGCAGTTGAGCAGTTTTGAGTGAGTTTCTTAATCCTGAGTTCTACTGGATTGCACTGTGGTCTTAGAGACAGTTTGTTATAATTTGTGTTCTTTTACATTTGCTGAGGAGAGCTTTACTTCCAAGTATGTGGTCAATTTTGGAATAAGTGAAATGTGCTGCTAAGAAGAATGTATGTTCTCTTGATTTGGGTTGGAGAGTTCTGTAGACGTCTATTAGGTCTGCTTGGTGCGGAGCTGAGTTCAAGTCTTGGATATCCTTGTTAATTTTCTGTCTCACTGATCTGTGTAATGTTGACAGTGGGGTGTTAAAGTCTCCCATTATTATATTACCATTATGTAATAGCCTTCTTTGTCTCTTTTGATCTTTGTTGGTTTAAAGTCTGTTTTATCAGAGAGTAGGATTGCAACCCCTGCTTTTTTGTTTTCCATTTGTTTGGTAGATCTTCCTCCACCCCTTTATTTTGAGCCTATGTGTATCTCTGCACATGAGATGGTTCTCCTGAATATAGCACACTGATGTGTCTTGACTGTTTATCCAATTTGCCAGTCTGTGTCTTCTAATTGGAGCATTTAGCCCATTTCCATTTAAGGTTAATGTTGTTTTGTGTGAATTTGATCCTGTTATTATGATGTTAGCTGGTTATTTTGCTCATTAGTTGATGCAATTTCTTCATAGCATCAATGGTCTTTACAATTTGGCATGTTTTTGCCGTGGTTGCTACTGGTTGTTTCTTTCTGTGTTTAGTACTTCCTTCAGGTGCTCTTGTAAGGCAGGCCTGGTGGTGACAAAATCTCTCAGCATTTGCTTGTCTGTAAAGGATTTTATTTCTCCCTCACTTATGAAACTTAGTTTGGCCGGATATGAAATTCTGGGTTGAAAATTCTTTTCTTTAAGAATTTTGAATATTCACCCCCACTCTCTTCTGGCTTGTAGAGTTCCTGCTGACAGATGCGCTGTTAGTCTGATGGGTTTGCCTTTGTGGGTAACCCGAACTTTTTCTCTGGTTGCCCTTAACCCTTTTTTCTTCATTTCAACTTTGGTGAATCTGATAATTTTGTGTCTTGGAGTTGCCCTTCTCGAGGAGTATCTTTGTGCCATTCTCTGTATTTCCTGAATTTGAATGTTGGCCTGACTTGCTAGGTTGGGGAAGTTCCCCTTGATTATATCCTGCAGAGTGTTTTCCAACTTGGTTCCATTCTCCCCATCACTTTCAGGTACACCAATCAAACATAGATTTGCTCTTTTCACATAGTCCCTTATTTCTTGGAGGCTTTGTTTTTTTCTTTTTACTCTTTTTTCTCTAAACTTCTATTCTCATTTCATTTCATTCATTTGATCTTCAATCACTGATACCCTTTCTTCCTCTTGATCGAATCTGCTACTGAAGTTTGTGCATGCATCACATAGTTCTCTTGGCATGGTTTTCAGCTCCATCAGGTCATTTAACATCTTCTCTACACTGTTTATTCTGCTTAGCCATTTGTCTAATCTTTTTTCAAGGTTTTTAGCATCTTTGCAATGGGTTCAAACATCCTCCTTTAGCTTGGAGAAGTTTGTTATTACTGATCATCTGAAGCCTACTTCCATCAACTCATCAAAGTCATTCTCCATTCAGCTTTGTTCCATTGCTGGCGAGGAGCTGTATTCCTTTAGAGGAGAAGAAGTGCTCCGATATTTAGAATTTTCAGCTTTTCTGCTCTGGTTTCTTCCCATCTTTGTAGTTTTATCTACCTTTGGTGTTCGATGATGGTGACATACAGATGGGGTTTTGGTGTGGAAGTCCTTTCTGTTTGTTAGTTTTCCTTCTAATAGTCAGATCCATCAGCTGCAGGTCTGTTGGAGTTTGCTGGATGTCCACTTCAGACCCTGTTTGCCTGCGTATCACCAGCAGAGGCTACAGAACAGGAAATATTGCAGAACAGCAAATGTTGCTGCCTGATCCTTCCTCTGGAAGCTTCATCTCAAAGGGGCACCCAGCTGTATGAGGTATCAGTCAGCCCCTACTGGAAGGTGTCTCCCAGTTAGGCTACTTGGGGGTCAGGGACCCACTTGAAGAGGCAGTCTGTCCATTCTTAGATCTCAAACTCCATCCCAGGAGAACCACTACTCTCTTCAAAGCTGTCAGACAGGGATGTTTAAGTCTGCAGAAGTTTCTGCTATCTTTTGTTCAGCTATGCCCTGCCCCCAGAGGTGGAGTCTACAGAGGCAAGCAGGTCTTGTTGAGCTGCTGTGGGCTCCACCCAGTTTGAGCTTCATGTCTGCTTTGTTTACCTACTCAAGCCTCAGCAATGGTGGACACCCCTCCCCCAGCCTCACCTCTGCCTTGCAGTTAGATCTCAGACAGCTGTGCTAGCAGTGAGTGAGGCTCCATGGGTGTAGGATCTGCTGAGCCAGGTGTGGGATATAATCTCCTGATATGCCATTTGCTAAGACCACTGGGAAAGCACAGTATTAGGTTGGGAGTGTCCCAATTTTCCAGGTACCATCTGTCATGGGTTCCCTTGGCTAGGAAAGGGAATTTCCTAACCCTTTGTGCTTCCCGAGTGAGGCATTGCCCTGCCTGCTTCAGCTCACACTCCATGGGCTACATTCACTGTCCAACAAGCCCCATTGAGATGAACCTGGTACCTCAGTTGGAAATGCAGAAATCACCCATCTTCCACGTCGCTCAGGCTGGGAGCTGTAGACTGGAGCTGTTCCTATTGCACCATCTTGGAACCCACCTACATAATTTATTTTTAAACAATTATCTTTGGCCACAAGGAACAGTAACAATGGTGGCATCAGTCCAAGATTGGAAAGGCAATTAACTGGGCAAATGTCCTCACATAAGTATTTTTTTTTCTGTAAAGTTATTATAGCTTTTGTGCAAGGTTGTAGTTTCAGTAGTGTTTTGTCATAGTTCTGGTTATCAGGTGTTTGTGCTAAGAATACTTCCTTCAGGCCCTGTCTGACTCCAATTTTCCACGGTTTGACAAAAGTAACTATTTTGATTCTAACAGCTTTCACAAGACACATACACTGAAAGTAATGGGATGGAAAAGATATTGCCTAAAAATGAAAACAGAACAGAAGACATTACCACATATTTTTAGAAAAAAGTAGATATTTAGTCAAAAACTGTGAAAAAAGACAAAGAAGGTCATTAAACAGTTACAGGATCAACTAATCAAGAGATTATGACACTTGTAAATATGTACCCAGCATTAAAGCACCTACATATATAAAGAAAATATTAATAGATCTGAAATGAGATATAGATGCAAAGATAGTAGGGGACATCAATACCCCACTTTCAGCAACAGACAGATTATCCAGAGAGAAAATCATAAGGAAATATTGAACTTAAACTAAACTTTAGACTAAAAGGACTAATAAAAACAGTTGGAACACTTCATGTAATAGAAGTAGAATGTACACTCTTCTCAAGCGCACATGGAAGATTTTCTAAGATAGATAATATATTAGGCCACAAAACAAGAGTTAACAAATTTAGTATTGACATTATGTCAAGTAACTTTTTTGACCAAAATTGTATGAAACTAGAAATTAAAAATAGAAAATTTTAGAAATTTTGCAAATATGTAGAAATTAAGCAACATGCTTCTGAAAATAAATAATAATCGTTGAAGAAATAAAAACTAAACAATGTAAATGACAAAAAAACTGAGTTGTTTTTTGAAAAACCAACAAAATTGAAAAACCTTTTACCTAGACTATCTCATGAAAAAAGAGAGAAGGGGGGATGAGGTTTAAGATGGCTGACTAGAAGCAGCAAGTGGGCAACACTTTCATAAAGACGAAATAAAGTAGCAAGTAAATAGTAGCTCTTCAAGTGGATATCTAAGATACCCCATCGGGATTCACCAACGTGGCAAAAGGACTCACAGAGAACAGAGCAAACCCAGGTAGCGGCCCACCCAGAACTGATGTGGAACTGGGAGAACCTCTCACACAATGAAAGGGTGAATGACTGAGGGTCCCCAGGGGATCCACACTTCCCATATGGACCTTCAAATCCTAGGTATGGGTAATCTTCCCTGTCCCCCAGGTCTCTAAGACCAACATAGAGAGGTGCCTAGAGTTTTTGCAGAGCATCACTCAAGCCCATGAGGAGCTTTGCCAGTCATGGAGCCCTGTGAACCCTAGCACCAGCTGCCATAACCACAATAGATACTGCAGTCACAGTGCCAAGGTTGGCTTGGGCTTTCAGCATAATGAACACACTGCCACCTGAATTCTGCAGGTGGACATAACTCTACATTCTCCTAGGAATCACCTGAACTGCAGACCATATGATATCTTCTACCCCTGTCCTGCTGCTCCTAGCTAGGCAAGGCTCATTGGTTTAGGCTTCTAGTACAGTGACCTTGCCCCTTCCTGCACACTGGAGTGGATCACAGCTCTGTGTTCTTCAGGGACAAACCTCTTAGAGGTAATAGACAATGCTTGACATTGCATGCCCCCAACAGTGAAGTTCAGGATTGTTCAGGTGGGAAGTATGAGCATGTCATCCACCCAACAGCTTACAGTCTTCATTGCCCCAGCTAAGAAATTCTGATCTCTCCAGTGAAAGGCTCATAGCATAGCCATTCTCTGCCTGCCTAAGTGTATTACCTGTGGCCCAGAGACCTTCTGAAATCCCAACCCCTACTGCCTTGTGATAGTCCCTCCACCACCTAAGCATTTGATTTGCCCTTGCCTGAAATTGACCCAGGGACCAGTCCATATCCCTGAGTTCACCCCCATACCACAGCCAGCATTTAATTCTTTACTGGCCTAACCCTGATTCAGCCTCCTCAGGAATTATACACATTTTTCACCGTGCCATCTAGGCATCTGGGTATTGAAGAATTAACTACCCAGTTTCAACTCTGTTATTACCCGACCATTTCTCTCAGGACTTGATGTTGTGCTGACCCAATCAGCCAACAACACCATGACCAACACCCATTCTTATGGGCTTAAAGGTCGAGCCCAACATTTACAAGCCCCACCTTTACAATTACACTCCCCGTCACCCATCCAAACAATGCTGAACTTTACTGTTGGTCATAAACAAAGGTGTCAAGCATTGTCCACTACCTTCATGAGTTTTGTCCCAGAGAAATGCAGGACTATTATCCACTGCAGTGCTCGGGTAGAGGTAGGGCCATTCTGCGCAGTATTGCTACATCAGAGAACAGGCAAGCCTTAAGGTTCTCAGTATTGGGTTGAGTGACAAGGATATGCCCTAATCCACTCCCATGAAGAGTTAAAAGTCATTCCTCATGGTTTCAACTACATTGCAGTTCAGAGACAGACTACAGTGTGCATCTGAACTAGAAGTTATGAGCCCTGGAACAAAACAGTGATCAGGAAAGAGATTGCATTCTCGCCTATCTAGGATGGGAAAGCCAGAGAAGCCCCAAGAATCCACCTGTTTATCGACCTATGGAGGCCTCAGCATACTTCACCAGGAGCTTCTTCCAATCACCCTCGTCAGGGCTGATTCCTACAGTAACCATTGGGATATGTATGGAAAAGTCAGAAGCCCCATTTCTGCCCAGATGTGTACTGCCACGTGTATAGAATAAGAAGCTTGGGAAATGGGTTTTCAACTCTTCAGTCCTTCATCTTAAATAATAAAAAATACCTCATAAAAAGCAAAAATCAGTTCCATGCCCATTTGCTTGTGCAGCACCTGGCTTTTACCTGCAAAGTAAAACTGTACAGCTCAATGGAAAACCTGCCAACAGAAGTTTTTAGGACTATGGAAGAAAGACCAAAAGACATTTTCCAACACAGTGCTCTCCAGATGAGAAAAAGCCAGTGTAAGAATTCTGTCACCATGTAAAATCTGAATCTGAATGTTGTGACACCACCAAAGGCTTACCATTGTTCTCCAGCAATTGTCACTAACTAAAATCTGCCATTGAGATGACAGATGCATAATTGAAACCACGGATTGCAGGGAAACTCGACATGATCCAAAGTAAGGTTGAAAATCAGCACTAAAAAACCTCCAAAGAAATCCAGGAAATAAAGGAAGAAATAATCATCTTAAAGGAAATCAATCAAAGCTACTGAACATAAAAAACTCACTTAAAGGATTTCAAAATACAACAGAAAGCTTTAACTGTAGACTCTACAAAGCAGAAGAAAGAATTTCAGAGCCTGAAGGCCGGTACTAAGTCAGTCAGACACAAATAAAGAAAATAGAGTTTTAAAAATGCAATGAAGTCTCTAGGAAATGTAGGATTCTGTGAAGTGACTAAATTTCTGAATTATTGGCATTCCTGAAAGAGAAAGAAAAAGGTCAACAAGGAGGAGCCAAGATGGCCAAATAGGAACAGCTCCTATCTACAGCTCCCAGCCTGAGCGACGCAGAAGATGGGTGATTCCTGCATTTCCATCTGAGGTATCAGGTTCATCTCACTAGGGAGTGCCAGACAGTGGGCACAGGTCAGTGAGTGCACGCTCCGTGCGTGAGCAGAAGCAGGGTGAGGCATTGCCTTACTCCGGAAGTGCAAGGGGTCAGGGAGTACCCTTTCCTAGTCAAAGAAAGGGGTGACGGACGGCACCTGGAAAATCGGGTCACTGCCACCCAAATACTGCGCTTTTCCGACGGGCTTAAAAACCAGCACACCACGAGATTATATCCCGCACCTGGCTTGGAGGGTCCTACCCCATGGAGTCTCACTGATTGCTAGCACAGCAGTCTGAGATCAAACGGCAAGGTGGCAGTGAGGCTGGGGGAGGGGAGCCCGCCATTGCCCAGGCTTGCTTAGGTAAACAAAGCAGCTGGGAAACTCGAACTGGGTGGAGCCCACCACAGCTCAAGGAGGCCTGCGTGTCTCTGTAGGCTCCACCTCTGGGGGCAGGGCACAGACAAACAAAAAGACAGCAGTAAACTCTGCAGACTTAAATGTCCCTGTCAGACAGCTTTGAAGACAGCAGTGGTTCTCCCAGTACGCAGCTGGAGATCTGAGAATGGGCAGACTGCCTCCTCAAGTGGGTCCCTGACCCCTGACCCCTGAGCAGCCTAATTGGGAGGCACCCCCCAGAAGGGGAACACTGATACCTCACACTGCAGGGTACTCCAACAGACCTGCAGCTGAGGGTCCTGTCTGTTAGAAGGAAAACTAACAAACAGAAAGGACATCCACACCAAAAACCCATCTGTACATCACTATCATCAAAGACCAAAAGTGGATAAAACCACAAAGATGGGGAAAAAACAGAACAAAAAAACTGGAAACTCTAAAAAGCACAGCACCTCTCCTCCTCCAAAGGAATGCAGCTCCTCACCAGCAATGGAACAAAGCTGGATGGAGAATGACTTTGACGAGCTGAGAGAAGAAGGCTTCAGACGATCAAATTACTCTGAGCTATGGGAGGACATTCAAACCAAAGGCAAAGAAGTTGAAAACATTGAAAAAAATTTAGAAGAATGTATAACTAGAATAATCAATACAGAGAAGTGCTTAAAGGAGCTGATGGAGCTGAAAACCAAGGCTCAAGAACTACATGAAGAATGCAGAAGCCTCAGGAGCCGATGCGATCAACTGGAAGAAAGGGTATCAGCAATGGAAGATGAAATGAATGAAATGAAGTGAGAAGGAAAGTTTAGAGAAAAAAGAATAAAAAGAAACAAGCAAAGCCTCCAAGAAATATGGGACTATGTGAAAAGACCAAATCTACGCCTGATTGGTGTACCTGAAAGTGATGTGGAGAATGGAACCAAGTTGGAAAACACTCTGCAGGATATTATCCAGGAGAACTTCCCCAATCTAGCAAGGCAGGCCAACGTTCAGATTCAGGAAATACAGAGAACACCACAAAGATACTCCTCGAGAAGAGCAACTCCAAGACACTTAATTGTCAGATTCACCAAAGTTGAAATGAAGGAAAAAATGTTAAGGGCAGCCAGAGAGAAAGGTCGGGTTACCCTCAAAGGGAAGCCCATCAGACTGACAGCGGATCTCTCGGCAGAAACCCTACAAGCCAGAAGAGAGTGGGGGCCAATATTCAACATTTTTAAAGAAAAGAATTTTCAACCCAGAATTTCATATCCAGCCAAACTAAGCTTCATAAGTGAAGGAGAAATTAAATACTTTACAGACAAGCAAATGCTGAGAGATTTTGTCACCACCAGGCCTGCCCTAAAAGAGCTCCTGAAGGAAGCGCTAAACATGGAAACGAACAACCAGTACCAGCTGCTGCAAAATCATGCCAAAATGTAAAGACCATCAAGACTAGGAAGAAACTGCATCAACTAACGAGCAAAAGAACCAGCTAACATCATAATGACGGGATCAAATTCACACATAACAATATTAACTTTAAATGTAAATGGACTAAATGCTCCAATTAAAAGACACAGACTGACAATTGGATAAAGAGTCAAGACCCATCAGTGTGCTGTATTCAGGAAACCCATCTGACATGCAGAGAGAACCATAGGCTCAAAATAAAAGGATGGAGGAAGATCTACCAAGCAAACGGAAAACAAAAAAAGGCAGGGGTTACAATCCTAGTCTCTGATAAAACAGACTTTAAACCAACAAAGATCAAAAGAGACAAAGAAGGCCATTACATAATGGTAAAGGGATCAATTCAACAGGAAGAGCTAACTATCCTAAATATATATGCACCCAATACAGGAGCACCCAGATTCATAAAGCAAGTCCTGAGTGACCTACAAAGAGACTTAGACTCCCACACATTAATAATGGGAGACTTTAACACCCCACTGTCAACATTAGACAGATCAACGAGACAGAAAGTCAACAAGGATACCCAGAAATTGAACTCAGCTCGGCACCAAGCAGACCTAATAGACATCTACAGAACTCTCCACCCCAAATCAACAGAATATACATTTTTTTCAGCACCACACCACACCTATTCCAAAATTGACCACATACTTGGAAGTAAAGCTCTCCTTAGCAAATGTAAAAGAACACAAATTATAACAAGCTATCTCTCAGACCACAGTGCAATCAAACTAGAACTTAGGATTAAGAATCTCACTCAAAGCCGCTCAACTACATGGAAACTGAACAACCTGCTCCTGAATGACTACTGGGTACATAACGAAATGAAGGCAGAAATAAAGATGTTCTTTGAAACCAATGAGAACAAAGACACAACATACCATAATCTCTGGGACGCATTCAAAGTAGTGTGTAGAGGGAAATTTATAGCACTAAATGCCCACAAGAGAAAGCAGGAAAGATCCAAAATTGACACCCCAACATCACAATTAAAAGAACTAGAAAGCAAGAGCAAACACATTCAAAAGCTAGCAGAAGGCAAGAAATAACTAAATCAGAGCAGAAATGAAGGAACTAGAGACACAAAAAACCCTTCAAAAAATTAATGAATCCAGGAGCTGGTTTTTTGAAAGGATCAACAGAATTGATAGACTGCTAGCAAGACTAATATAGAAAAAAAGAGAGAAGAATCAAATAGATGCAATAAAAAATGATAAAGGGGATATCACCACCAATCCCACAGAAATACAAACTACCATCAGAGAATACTACAAACACCACTACACAAATAAACTAGAAAATCTAGAAGAAATGGATAAATTCTTCGACACATACACTCTCCCAAGACTAAACCAGGAAGAAGTTGCATCTCTGAATAGACCAATAACAGGAGCTGAAATTGTGGCAATAATCAATAGTTTACCAACCAAAAAGAGTCCAGGACCAGATGGATTCACAGCCGAATTCTACCAGAGGTACAAGGAGGAACTGGTACCATTCCTTCTGAAACTATTCCAATAAATAGAAAAAGAGGGAATCCTCCCTAACTCATTTTATGAGGCCAGCATCATTCTGATACCAAAGCCGGGCAGAGACACAACCAAAAAAGAGAATTTTAGACCAACATCCTTGATGAACATTGATGCAAAAATCCTCAATAAAATACTGGCAAAACGAATCCAGCAGCACATCAAAAACTTATCCACCATGATCAAGTGGGCTTCATCCCTGGGATGCAAGGCTGGTTCAATATACGCAAATCAATAAATGTAATCCAGCATATAAACAGAGCCAAAGACAAAAACCACATGATTATCTCAATAGATGCAGAAAAGGCCTTTGACAAAATTCAACAACACTTCATGCTAAAAACTCTCAACAAATTAGGTATTGATGGGACATATCTCAAAATAATAAGAGCTATCTATGACAAACCCACAGCCAATATCATACTGAATGGGCAAAAACTGGAAGCATTCCCTTTGAAAACTGGCACAAGACAGGGATGCCCTCTCTCACCACTCCTATTCAACATAGTTTTGGAAATTCTGGCCAGGGCAATTAGGCAGGAGAAGGAAATAAAGGGTATTCAATTAGGAAAAGAGGAAGTCAAATTGTCCCTGTTTGCAGATGACATGATTGTATATCTAGAAAACCCCATTGTCTCAGCCCCAAATCTCCTTAAGCTGATAAGCAACTTCAGCAAAGTCTCAGGATACAAAATCAATGTACAAAAATCACAAGCATTCCTATACAACAACAACAGACAAACAGAGAGCCAAATCATGAGTGAACTCCCATTCACAATTGCTTCAAAGAGAATAAAATACTAGGAATCCAACTTACAAGGGATGTGAAGGACCTCTTCAAGGAGAACTACAAACTGCTGCTCAATGAAATAAAAGAGGATACAAACAAATG
The DNA here is from genome assembly GCF_000001405.40 of Homo sapiens. Taxonomy (NCBI): domain Eukaryota; kingdom Metazoa; phylum Chordata; class Mammalia; order Primates; family Hominidae; genus Homo; species Homo sapiens. The sequence goes on from NC_000024.10 coordinate 13,528,393, forward strand.
GAAGAACATTCCATGCTCATGGGTAGGAAGAATCAATATCGTGAAAATGGCCATACTGCCCAAGGTAATTTACAGATTCAATGCCATCCCCATCAAGCTACCAATGCCTTTCTTCACAGAATTGGAAAAAACTACCTTAAAGTTCATATGGAACCAAAAAAGAGCCTGCATCACCAAGTCAATCCTAAGCCAAAAGAACAAAGCTGGAGGCATCACACTACCTGACTTCACACTATACTACAAGGCTACAGTAACCAAAAGAGCATGGTACTGGTACCAAAACAGAGATATAGATCAATGGAACAGAACAGAGCCCTCAGAAATAACGCCACATATCTACAACTATCTGATCTTTGATGAACCTGAGAAAAACAAGCCGTGGGGAAAGGATTCCCTATTTAATAAATGGTTCTGGGAGAACTGGTTAGCCATATGTAGAAAGCTGAAACTGGATCCCTTCCTTACACCTTATACAAAAATCAATTCAAGATGGATTAAAGACTTAAACATTAGACCTAAAACCATAAAAACCATAGAAGAAAACCTAGGCATTACCATTCAGGACATAGGCATGGGCAAGGACTTCATGTTTAAAACACCAAAAGCAATGGCAACAAAAAACAAAATTGACAAATGGGATCTAATTAAACTAAAGAGCTTCTGCACAGCAAAAGAAACTACCATCAGAGTGAACAGGCAACCTACGAAATGGGAGAAAATTTTCGCAACCTACTCATCTGACAAAGGGCTAATATCCAGAATCTACAATGAACTCAAACAAATTTACAAGAAAAAAACAAACAACCCCATCAAAAAGTGGGCAAAGGACATGAACAGACACTTCTCAAAAGAAGACATTTATGCAGCCAAAAAACACATGAAAAAATGTTCATCATCACTGGCCATCAGAGAAATGCAAATCAAAACCACAATGAGATACCATCTCACACCAGTTAGAATGGCGATCATTAAAAAGTCAGGAAACAACAGGTGCTGGAGAGGATGTGGAGAAATAGGAACACTTTTACACTGTTGGTGGGACTGTAAACTAGTTCAACCATTGTGGAAGACAGTGTGGCGATTCCTCAGGGATCTAGAACTAGAAATACCATTTGACCCAGCCATCCAATTACTGGGTATATACCCAAAGGATTATAAATCATGCTGCTATAAAGAGACATGCACACGTATGTTTATTGTGACATTATTCACAATAGCAAAGACTTGGAACCAACCCAAATGTCCAACAATGATAGACTGGATTAAGAAAATGTGGCACATATACACCATGGAATACTATGCAGCCATAAAAAAGGATGAGTTCATGTCCTTTGTAGGGACATGGATGAAATTGGAAATCATCATTCTCAATAAACTATCGCAAGAACAAAAAACCAAACACAAAAAACCAAACACCGCATATTCTCACCCATAGGTGGGAATTGAACAATGAGATCACATGGACACAGGAAGGGGAACATCACACTCTGGGGACTGTTGTGGTGTGGGCGGAGGGGGGAGGGATAACATTGGGAGATATACCTAATGCTAGATTACGAGTTAATGGGTGCAGCGCACCAGCACGGCACATGTATACATATGTAACTAACCTGCACAATGTGCACATGTACCCTAAAACTTAAAGTATAATAGTAAAAAAAAGAAAAAAAAAAAGAAATTAATCCACGTTTCCTATAATAAAATATTGGTTAAACAATTTAAAAAAAAAGAAAAAAGGTCAACAATTTGGAAAACATATGTGAGTAAAATTTTTCTTAACCTTCCCAGAAAGATAGATAATCCAGATACAAGTAATCCAGAGAATGTCTGTCAGACACTATACCAAATGAATACCACTAGGGCATATAGTAGGTGGTCTAAGATCAATGCTACAGAAAAAAAATCTTGAAGCCATATATAGAAAAACCTAATATCATATAAAAATGGAACCCTATCAAGCTATCAGTTCACTTCTCAATAGAAAAACTACAAGCCGGAAGAAATAGGGGGGGGCCTATTTTCAGAATTCTTAAAGCAAAGAAACTTCAGCCAATAGTCTCACACCCTGCCACTAAGCTCTATAAGTGATGGAGAAATAAAATGTTTTTCAGACAAGCAATTGCTAAGAAAATTTATTATCACTAAACAGCCTTACAAGAATTCCTTAAGGGATTTCTAGACATAGAGACAAATAAATAATATCTGCTAGCACAAGCCAACAAGAAGATACATATTCTAATACAATGCAAACTACAAAACAACCAGCCAACTTCAGTATAGGATCAATATCTCAACATTAACCTTGAAAGTAAATTCAATATTCATAATATTACAATATGACTGTATATTGAAAATATTTTTTGAGAAGAAATTCAAGGTGGCTACAGAAATTTGCATAAATAGCTAAATGTTATCAGTATTCATTTCAATATTATATCAATAAATATATTTTTTATTTTAATATTGTCATTTAAAAAAATTATACTTTAAGGTCTGGGGTACATGTGCAGAATGCGCAGGTTTGTTACAGAGGTATACACGTGCCATGGTGGACCCATCAACCTATCATCTACATTAGATATTTCTCCTAATGCTATCCCTGCCCTTGCCGCGCATCCCCCAACAGGCCTCAGTGAGTGATGTTCCCCTCCCTGTGTCTATGTGTTCATATGGTTCAACTCCCACTTATGAGTGAGAACATGTGGGATATGGTTTTCTGTTCTTGTTGGTTTGCTGAGAATGATGGTTTCCAGCATCATCTGTGTCCCAGCAAAGGACGTGAACTCATCCTTTTTTCCTGGCTGCGTAGTCTTCCATGGTATATGTGTACCACATTTTCTTTATCTAGTCTATCGTTGATGGGCGTTTGGGTTGGTTCCATGACTTTGTTATTGTGAACAGTGCTGCAGTAAACATGCATGTGCATGTGTCTTTATAGTAGAATGATTTATAATCCTTTGGGTATATACCCAGTAATGGAATTGCTGGGTCAAATAATATTTCTAGTTCTAGATCCCTGAGGAATTGCCACACTGTCTTCCACAATGGTTGAACTAATTTATACTCCCAACAAGGGTGTAAAAGCATTTCTATTTCTCCACATCCTCTCCAGCATCTGTTGTTTCCTCACTTTTTAATGAGTGCCATTCTAACTGGTATCTCACAATGAGATAGTATCTCATTGTGGTTTTGATTTGCATTTCTCTAATGACCAGTAATGATGAGCTTTTTTTCATATATTTGTTGGCTGCATAAATGTCTTATTTTGAGAAGTGTCTGTTCATAGGGTTTGCCCACTTTTTGAGGGGGTTGTTTTTTTCTTATAAATCTGTTTAAGTTCTTTGTAGATTTGGATATTAGCCCTTTGTCAGATGGATAGATTGCAAAATTTTTCTCCCATTCTGCAGGTTGCATGTTCACTCTGATAATAGTTTCTCTTGCTGTGCAGAAGCTCTTTAGTTCAATCAGATCCCATTTGTCTATTTTGGCTTTTGTTGCCATTGTTTGGGTGTTTTAGTCATGATGTCTTTGCCCATGCCAATATTGTGAATGGTGTTGCCTAGGTTTTCTTTTAGGGTTTTTACAGTTTTAGGCCTTACGCTTAAGTCATTAATCCATCTTTAGTTAATTTTTGAATAAAGTGTAAGGCAGGGATTCAGTTTCAGCTTTCTGCATGTGGCTAGCCAGTTTTCCCAACACCATTTTTAAATAGGAAATCCTTTCCCTGTTGCTTGATTTCATCAGGTTTGTTAAGGATCAGATGGTTTTATATGTGTGGCTTTATATCTGAGGCCTCTGTTCTGTTCCATCAGTCTATATATCTGTTTTAGTACCCATACCATGGTGTTTTTGTTATTGTAACTTTGTAGTATAGTTTGAAGTCAGGTAGTGTGATGCCTCCAGCTTTGTTCTTTCTGCTTAGTATTGTCTTGGCTATGCAGGCTCTTTATTGATTCCATATGCAATTTAGAGTAGATTTTTTCCAATTCTGCAAAGAAAACCAATGGTAGCTTGATTGAGATATGAAATTTATAAATTACCTTGGGCAGTATGGCCATTTTCACGATATTGATTCTTCTTACCCATGAGCATGAAATGTTTTTCCATTTCTTTCTGTCCTCTCTTATTTCCTTGCGCAGTGGTTTGTAGTTCACCTTGAAGAGGTCCTTCACATCCCTTGTAAGTTGTATTCCCAGGTTATATATTCTTTTTGTGGCAATTGTGAATGGGAGTTCACTCATGATTTGACTCTCTGTTTTTCTGTTATTGGTGTATAGGAATGCTTGTGATTTTTGCACATGGATTTTGTATGAACTTGCTTATCAGCTTAAGGATATTTTGTGCTGAGACATTGGGGTTTTCTAAATATACAATCATGTCATCTCTAAGCAGAGACAATTTGACTTCCTCTTTTCCTACTTGAATACCCTTTATTTCTTTCTCTTGCCTGATTGCCCTGGCCAGGGCTTCCAATACTATGTTAAATAGGAGTGGTGAGAGAGGGCATCCTTGTCTTGTGCCAGTTTTCAAAGGGAATGTTTCCAGGTTTTGCCCATTCAATATGATATTGGCTGTGGGTTTGTCATAAATAACTCTTATTCTTTTGAGGTACATTCCCTCAAGGCTTAGTTTATTGAGAGTTTTTAGTGTCAAGGGCTGTTGAATTTTGTGAAAGTCCTTTCTGCATCCATTGAGATAATCATGTGGTTTATGTCATTGGTTCTGTTTATGTGATGGATTATGTTTATTGATTTACATGTGTTGAACCAGCCTTGCATCCCAGGGATGAAGCTGACTTGATTGTGATGGATAAGCTTTTTGATGTGCTGCTAGATTCACTTTGCCAGTATTTTATTGAGGATTTTCACATCAATGTTCTTCAGGGATATTTGCCTGAAATTTTCTGTTTTTTATTGTGTTTCTGCCAGGTTTTGGTATCAGGATGATGCTGGCCTCATAAAATGAGGTAGGTAGGATTTCCTCACTTTCTATTTTTTGGAATAGATTCAGAAGGAATGGTACCAGCTCCTCTTTGTTCCTCTAGCAGAATTCAGCTGTGAATCTGTCTGCTCCTGGGCTTGTTTTGGTTGGCAGGCTATTAATTTCTGCCTCAATTTCAGAGCCTGTTATTGGTCTATTCAGGGATTTGACTTCTTTCTGGTTTAGTCTAGGCAGGGTGTATGTGTACATGAATTTATCCATTTCTTCTAGATTTTCTAGTTTATTTGCACAGAGATGTTTATAGTATTCTCTGGTGGTAGTTTGTATTTCTGTGGGATTGGAGCTGATATCCCCTTTATCATTTTTTATTGTATCTATTTGATTCTTCTTCTCTTTTTTTCTTTATTAGTCTGGGTAGTGGTCTTTCTATTTTGTTAAAGTTTATAAAAAGCAGCTCCTGGATTCATCCATTTTTTGAAGGGTTTTTTGTCTCTGTCTCCTTCTGTTCTGCTCTGATCTTAGTTATTTCTTGTCTTCTGCTTGCTTTTGAATTTGTTTGCTCTTGCTTCTCTAGTTCTTTTAACTGTGATATTAGGGTGTTGATTTTAGATCTTTTCTGCTTTCTCTAGCGGGCATTTAGTGCTATAAAATTTCCCTCTTAACACTTCTTTAGCTGTGTCCCAGAGATTCTGGTACATTGTGTCTTTGTTCTCATTGGTTTTAAAGAACATCTTTATTTCTGCCTCCATTTCATTATTTAATCAGTAGTCATTCAGGAGCAGGTTCAGCTTCCATGTAGTGGTGGAGTTTTGAGAGAGTTTCTTGATCCTGAGTTCTAATTTGATTGCACTGTGGTCTGAGAAATTGTTTGTTGTAATTTCCATTATTTTGCATTTGCTGAGGAGTGTTTTACTTTCAGTTATGTGGTCAATTTTAGAATAACTGGGATGTGGTGCTGAGAACAATATATATTCTGTTGATTTGGGGTGGAGAGTTCTATAGATATCTAGTGGGTCCACTAGGTCTAGAGCTGAGTTCAAATCCTGAATATCCTTGTTAATTTTCTGTCTCGTTGATCTTTCTAATGTTGCCAGTGGGGTGTTACAGTCTCCCACTATTATTGTGTGGGAGTCTAAGTCTGTTTGTAGGTCTGTAAGAACTTGCTTCATGAATCTGGGTACTCCTGTATTTTGTGCATATATATTTAGGATAGTTAGCTCTTCTTGTTGCATTGATCTTTTTACCATTATATAGTGCACTTCTTTGTCTCTTTTGACCTTTATTGGTTTAAAGTCTGTTTTATCAGAGACTAGAATTGCAACCACTCCATTTTTTTTTTTTTTGCTTGCCATTTGCTTGCTAAATCTTCCTCCATCCCTTTAGCCTATGTGTCTTTGCATGTGAGTTGGGTCTCCTGAATACAGTACACCAATGGGTCTTGACTCTTCATCCAATTTGCCAGTCTGTGTCTTTTAATTGTGTCATTTAGCCCATTTACATTTAAGGTTAATATTGTTATGTGAGAACTTGATCCTGTCTTTATGACGTTAGCTGGTTATTTTGCTCATTAGTTTATGCAGTTTCTTCATAGTGTCAATCGCCTTGGCAATTTGGTATGTTTTTGCAGTGGCTGGTACAAGTTGTTCCTTTCCATGTTTAGTGCTTCCTTCAGGAGCTCTTGTAGGGCAGGGCTGGTGGTGACAAAATCTCTCAGCATTTTCTCATCTGTAAGGGATTTTATTTCTCCTTTGCTTATGAAGATTAGTTTGGTTGGATATGAAATTCTGGGTTGAAAATTCTTTTCTGTAAGAATGTTGAATATCGGTCCCCACTCTCTTCTGGCTCATAAGGTTCTCTGCTGAGAAATTCGCTGTTAGTCTGATGGGGTTCCCTTTGTGGGTAACCTGACCTTTCTCTCTGGTTACCTTTAACATTTTTTCCCTCGATTTCAACCTTGGTGAATCTGATGATTATATGTCTTGAGGTTGCTCTTCTGGAGGAGTATCTTTGTGGTGTTGTCTGTATTTCCTGAATTTCAATGTTGGCCTGTCTTGGTAGGTTGGGGAACTTCTCCTGGATAATATCCTAAAAAGTATTTTCCAGCTTGGTTCTATTTTTCCTGTCACTTTCAGGTACACCAATCAAATGTAGATGTAGTCTTTTCACATAGTCCTATACTTCTTGGAGGCTTTCCTCATATCTTTCCACTCTTTTTTCTCTAATCTTGTTTTCCTATTGCATTTCATTTGGTTGATCTTCAATCTCATATATCCTTTCTTCCACTTAATCGACTCAGCTATGATACTTGTGTATGCTTCATGAAGTTCTTGTGCTGTGTTTTTCAGCTCCATCAGGTTATTTGTATTCTTCTCTAAACCAGTTATTCTAGTTAGCAATTCATGTAACCTTTTTTTCAAGGTTCTTAGCTTCCTTGCACTGGGTTAGGACATGCTCCTTTAGCTCAGAGGCGTCTGTTATTACCCACCTTCTGAAGCCTACTTCTGTCAATTCATCAAAGTCATTCTCCACCCCATTTTGGACCTTGCTGGTGAGGAGTTGTGACCCTTTGTAGGAGAATAGGCATTCTGAATTTTCAGCGTTTTAGTGCTGGTTTCTCTCCATCTTCATGGATTTATCTACCTTTTGTCTTTAAAGTTGCTTACCTTCAGATGGGGTTTCTCAGTGGATGTCCTTTTTGTTGATGTTGCTACTATTCCTTTCTGTCTGTTAGTTTTCCTTCTAACAGTCAGGCCCCTCTGCTGTAGGTCTGCTAGAGTTTGCTGGAGGTCTGCCCCAGAACCTGTTTGCCTGGGTGTCACTGGCAGAGGCTGCAGAACAGCAAATATTGCTGCTTGCTTCTTCCTCTTGAAGCTTTGTCCCGGAAGGGCACCCACGAGATGCCAGCCAGAGCTCTCCTATATGAGGTGTCTGTCACCACCTACTAGGAGGTGTCACCTTGTCAGGATAAATGGGCATCATGGACCCACTTGAGGAGGCAATCTATCCCTTATAGGAGCTCGAATGGCTGTGCTGCTAGATCTGGTGCTCTCTTCAGAGCTCTTAGGTAGGGTCATTTAAGTCTGCTGAAGCTGCGCTTAAAACCAACCCTTCCCCAAGGTGCTCTGTCCCAGGGAAGAGAAGGGCGGTGGGGGTTATATCTATAAGTCCCTAATGTGGCTGCTGCCTTTTTTTCACATGATGTCCTGCACAGAGAGGAGACAGTCTGGCCACTGTGGCCTTGCTGAATTGGGGTGGGTTCCACCCAGTTTGAAATTCCTGGTGACTTTGTTTACACTGTGAGGGTGAAACTGCCTACTTAAGCCTCATAGATGGATGATGCCCCTCCCCACACAATGTTCAAGCTTGGACTGCTGTTGTGCTGGCAGCAAGGATTTCAATCCAGTGGATCTTAGGCTGTTGGGCTCCATTGGGGTGGGACCTGCCGAGCTAGACTACTTGGCTCCCTGGCTTCAGCCCCCCTTGCAGGGGAGTGAAAGGTTCTGTCTTGCTGGCATTCCAGGCACTGATGGGGTATGAAAAAAAAAACTCCAGAACTAGCTTGATATCTCCCCAAATTGTCACCCAGTTTTGTGCTGGAAACCCAGGGACCTGGTGATATAGGCACTGAAAGGAATCTTCTGGTCTGCAGGTTCTGAAGACTATGGGGAAAGTGCAGTATCTGGGCCAGAGTGCATGGTACAGTCCCTAATGGCTTCCCTTGGCTGGGAGAGGGAGTTCCCTGATCCCTTGTGCTTCCTGGGTGAGGTGACTTCCCACCCTGCTTTGGCTCTCCCTGCTTGGGCTGCACCCACTGTCCAACCAGTCCTAGTGAGATGAACCAAGTACCTCAGCTGGAAATGCAGAAATTACCCACCTTCTGCATTGATCTCACTGGGAGCTGCAGACTGGAGATGTTTCTATTCGGTCATCTTGCCAGCAACCGCCTATTATATCAAGACTGACCTGGAATGTAAATTATCTTAATGTCACAGTTAAAAGGCACAAAGTGCCTAGTTGGATTAATAACACAAGACCTATTCACCTGCTATCTTCAAAAGAGCCATCTCACATGTAAAATACCTATACACTAAAGGTAAAGGAATGGAGAGAGATCTATCATGCAAATGGAAAACAAAAGGCAGGGGTCACTCATCTTACAAGAGATAAAATAGACTTTAAGCCAACAACAGTAAAAAAGGACAAAGATGGGCACTAAATAATAATAAAGGGCTCAATCCAACAAGATGCCTTACTCATCCTAAATGTACACTGACACAATATTGGAGCACCCAAATTTATTTAAAAAGTATGTCCTAACGTACAAAAGACTTAGGCACACAATGATAATGGGGGACTTCAACAGCCCACCAAAGTCTTAGACAGATCCTCAAGGTAGAAAACTAACAAATCTTAACCTTAAATAAAACACTTGTACATGATAGACATCTACAGGACACCTCCGCCATAAACAACAAGATATACATTCTTTTCATTTGCAAATGAAACGTACTTAAAATTGGCCACACACTTGGCAATAAAGGAGGGCTCACTTCATTAAAAAAATAAAAATTATACCTGTATTAGTCTGTTCTCATGCTACTAATAAAGACATACCTGAGACTAAATAATTTATAAAGGAAAGATGTTTAATTGACTCACAGTTCTGCATGGCTGGGGAGGCCTCAGGAAACTTGTAATCAAGGCAGAAGAGGAAGCAAGCATTTTCTTCTTTACATGACAGCAGGAAGATAAGCATGAGAGCTGAGTGAAGGGGGAAGCCCCTGGTAAAACCATCAGATCTCATAAGAACTTAGTCACTATCACAAGAGTAGCATGGGGGAAACTGCCCCCATGATTCAATTACCTTCATCATGTCCCTCCCACCACATATGGGGATTATGGGAACTACGATTCAAGATGAGATTTGGGTAGGGACACAGCCAAACCATAACTATGCCAAACATAGTTTTGACAATAGTAAAAATAGGAGTCAATAGCATGAAGACCCTTCAAAACCATATAATTACATGGATATTAAACAACGTTCTACTGAAGGGCTTTTGGATTAAAAAATGCAGAAATCAAATAATTCTTTGAAATAAAACAGAAACACAGAATACTAAAATCACTGGAATTCAGTTGAAGCAGTGTTAAGAGGACACTTGTCTACATTGAGTTTGGAGGAGGAATCAGGCAAGATGGCTGACTAGATGCAACCACGTGAAATGGCTGCCTGATACCGGAACCTCTGGTGTGAGGTAACTGAATCACAGGGGGCAGTTTCCCCTATGCTATTCTTATGATAATGAGTTCTCATAAGATCTGACAGTTTTATTTGGTGGCTTCCCCATTTGCTCAGCTCTCATACTTCTTTTGTTGCTGCCATGTGAAGAAGGACGTGTTTGCTTCCCCTTCTGCAATGATTGTAAGATTACTGAGGCTTCCTCAACCATGCTGAACTGTGAGTCAATTAAACCTTTTTCTTTTATAAATTATCCAAGCTGAGGTATGTCTTTATTAGCATTCAAGCACTCAACATTCAAATTCAGGAAACTCAGGTTCACTCCTAAAAGATCTTCAGAGGGAAGGCACCGAGAGGGGACAGAGGGAAGACACAAAACCTAGTCTGAAAGGGAAAGAACCTGGAAACCCTGTATGGGGCTACCAGTATCCTGAAAGGAAGAGACCTCTTGACCACTACAGATACTTGAGTTGGCATGGTGAACCGCTTACAGAAGTGGCAGGAACAGTATTCTTCCCCATGCAGAGCCCAGAGGGTTTTCAGCAGAAACATCTGTAGTGAAGCCCAGCCACAGATGACCATTCCCTCAGGCTCAACTTGTTCCCACAGGAGACTTTAGCCCTGGGGGAACTGTCAGGGCTGACCTCTGCAGGGAGCTCATGTCTATCAGATAGGGCTGGGTCTGATTTAACCTCCTTGATTTGATGGCCTCTCAGGCCCACAGCCTGGGAATGACTGCTTGCAGTGCAGCCCCAGGTGTCCTGGGGACCCATACCATAACTCCTGTGCTAGTGGACCATGCCTGACCAGTGGAGAGCTCCAGTGGGGGCAGCCTTCATTGTCAAGCACCAACCCACTGTGTCCCTTCCCCAACTGTAGCTTCCCCCAAACCCATGGCAACTCGCCACATCACTTTGCTAGCACATGTGTATGTGGGTAGGTTTTGCCTTCCCTGCTCATCCAATATGCATGTGTGAAATTCTCCATGCCATGCATCTGCTGCCCTGGCCCCACCATACCAGCATAGCAGTTGGAACCCTGGTAGGCTCAAAGCTTGCCAGTCCCCTTACCTGTGCCCTGCTCCTGTGTTAAGACTGCCACCATAGTGAACTGGGCAGAAGAATAGTGTACAATTTCCTACCCTGAGCAGCTGCAGGCCTGTACTTGCCAGTGTGCCACCCCCATACTAACACCACCAAAAGTGTGACTGTGTACAGTCATCAATGATGGCTGCCTCACCTTTAGCCATGCCATCTCCCATACTGCTGTGAACACCTGCACAGAGGCAGGGAACTTGGCACCTGTTAGCATCCTGCCATAGCTGAAAAGTATGCACATTACCATTCTGCCACTATGCCTGCTGCTGGCATGTGCAAACAAGGATGGGTCCTGCTGCCATTGCCCTGAAAAGTGCTTTGGCTGACATCACCCATTGGAGTGTAGTAACCAGTGGTCCAAGAGAACCTGAGCCTTCTAACCTACAACAAAGAACAGTGAATTTCTAAACTCAAGGAATCAGAGAATAAGTTTAGGGCAATACAAGCCACCCAGAATAGATCATGCAGCCCAAAAGTTGGGAGCTGAACCTTGGCTCCCTAAAAACCTTCAGAAAAGAAGCCAGTCAAGTGAACCCACCTTATACCACAGTAAAAACCTCAAGTCATCAAACAGGATGAAAGGAAAAAAACTCCATACAAAAGAGAGCAATTGCAAAGATTGAAGGAACATCAGTCCACAAAGATGATAAGGAATCAGCACAAGCACTCCAACAACAGAAAAAGCCAGAGTGCCTGCCTTCCTCCAAATGACTTCACTAGCTTTCTAACAAGGGTTTTGAACTGAGTTGAGTTGGCTGAAATGACATAATTCAGAATATGGATAAGGATGATGATTATTAATGTGCAGGAGAACATTGAAATGCAGTCCAAGAAAGCTAAGAGTTACAATAAAACAATACAGGAGCTGACAGACAAAATGACCAGTGTAGAGAAGACTGTAACCAACCTGAGGGGGCTGAAAAACACAAGAATTTCATAATAAACTCAAAAGTATTAATAGCTGAACAGACCAAGCTGAGAAAAGAATCTCAGAGCTTGAAGACTGGCTTTCTGAAATAGGACAAACAGAAATAGAGAAAAAAGAATGAAAAGAATAAAGAAAACCTCCAAGAAATATGGGATTAGGTAAACAGACCAAATTTATGACTCCTTCATATCTCTGAAAGAGATGGAATGGAAGAATGGAAGTAACTTAGATCTGCTTTCTTAGGCTGGAGTGCAGTGGCATAATCTCGGCTCACTGCAACCTCTGCCTCCCAGGTTCAAGAGATTCTCCTGCCTCAGCCTCCTGAGTAGCTGGGATTACAGGCACTCACCACAACACTCAGCTAATTTTTGTATTTTTAGTAGAGACGGGGTTTCACCATGTTGGTGAAGCTGGTCTCAATCTCCTGACCTTGTGATCCACCCACCTCAGCTTCCCAGGGTGCTGGGATTATAGGCATGAGCCACTGTGCCCAGCCCTCAACAATGTTTTTAAAAAAAGAAATTTTAACAAACAATTTCATATTCAGCCAAACTAAGTTCCATAAGAGAAGGAGAAATAAGCTCCTTTTTAGACAAGAAAATTCTGAAGAAATTTATTACCACCAGGCCTGTCTTACACAAGAGATCCTGAAAAAACACTAAATGTGGGAAGAAAATATTATTGCCAGCCACTACTAAAGCACACTTCAGTACATAGACCAGTGACACTATGAAGAAACCACACAAATAAGTATGCAGAATAACAAGCTAAATCTCTCAGCATTTCCTTGTCTGTAAAAGATTTTATTTCCCCTTCACTTATGAAGCTTAGTTTGGCTTTACTAACCTTGAATGTAAACAGGATAAATGCCCAAATTAAAAGGCACAAGATGGCAATCAGGGTTAAAAAACCCTGAGACCCAATGATATGCTGTCTTCTTTTTATTATTATTATTATTATTATTATACTTTAATTTTAGGGTACATGTGCACAATGTGCAGGTTAGTTACATATGTATACATGTGCCATGCTGGTGCGCTGCACCCACTAACTCGTCATCCAGCATTAGGTATATCTCCCAGTGCTATCCCTCCCCCACTTCCCACCCCATAACAGTCCCCAGAGTGTGATGTTCCCCTTCTTGTGTCCATGTGTTCTCATTGTGCAATTCCCACCTATGAGTGAGAATATGCGGTGTTTGGTTTTTTGTTCTTGAGATAGTTTACTGAGAATGATGATTTCCAATTTCATCCATGTCCCTACAAAGGACATGAACTCATCATTTTTTATGGCTGCATAGTATTCCATGGTGTATATGTGCCACATTTTCTTAATCCAGTCTATCATTGTTGGACATTTGGGTTGGTTCCAAGTCTTTGATGTGCTGTCTTCAAAAGATTCAGCTCACATGCAATTATATCCATAAACTCAAAATAAAGGAATGGCCAAAAATCTACCAAGTAAACAGAAGACAGAAAGAATCAGAGGTTGTCATTTTAAGTTCACACATAAAGGACTTTAAACCAAAAAGATAAGAAATGACAAAGGGCATTACGTAAAGCTAAAGAGTACAATTTAACAAGAAGACTTAGCTATTTTAAACACATATGTATGCACCCAACATAGGCTTCATAAAACAATTTCTTAGACTTTCAAAGAATCTTAGACTCCCACACACTAATGACAGAATTTAAGATATCAGTATTGACAATATTTGGATGCATCATCGAGGCAAAAAACGTACAAAAATATTTAGGACCTAAACTCAGCACTGGATCAAATAGACCTGAGGGTCATTTACAGAAGTCTTTGCCCCCAAAACAACAGAATATACATTCTTATCATTGTCACAGGGCTGATTCTCTAAAATTGACCATGTAGTCAGACATTAAACCCTCCTCAGCAACAGTAAAACAGATGAAATTATAACAACCGCTCTCTCAGACACCAGCGCAATAAAATTGGGAATCAAGACTAATAAATTTACTGAAAACCATACAATTACATGGAAATTGAATAACCTGCTTCTGAATGCTTCCAGGTAAATAATGACATTAAGGCATAAATCAAGAACCTCCTTGAAACAAATGAGAACAAAGATACAACATACCAGAATCTCTTGGACACAGACAGCTAAGGCAGTGTTAAGAGGCAAATTTATAGCATTAAACACCCACATAAAAAAGAAATATCTCAATCTAGCAATATAACATTTCAACTAAAATAACAAGAGAAGCAAGAGCAAACTAACCCCACAGTTAGCACAAGAAAGGAAATACCCTAAATTTGATCTGAACTGAGGTAATTAACATATTAACAACCATTCAAAAGATCAATGAATCCAGGAGTTGGTTTTTGGAAATTAATAATATAGATAGACTGCTAACTAGACTAATAAAAAAGAGAGCAGATCCAAATAAATACAGAAATGATAAAGGGGATAGTACCATAACCTCACAGAAACACAAAAAACATCAGAAAATAATATGAATGTCTTTATGCCCCTGAACTAAAAAAAAACCTAGAAGAAATTGATAACTTCCTGGGCACATACACCCTCCCAAGATTGAACCAGGAAGAAATCAAATTCTCGAACAGACCAACAACCAATTTCAGAACAGAACTCTGAAACTGAATCAGTAATAAGGAGCCACAACCTAACAAAGCTCAGGGCCAGAAGGATTCACACCTGAATGATGAACAAAGAAGAGCTGGTATCATTGCGACAGAAACTATTCCAAAAAATGGAGGAGGAGGAGGAACGCCTTTCTAAGTCAATCTATGAGGCCAGCATTATCTTGATACCAAAATCTGGCAGACACATAACAACAGCAACAAAAAAGTTCAAGCCAATATCATGGATGACTATCGATGCAAAAATCCTCAACAAAATTCTGGCAAACTGAATCCAGTGGCACATCAAAAAGCTTATTTATACTATCAAGTAGCCTTTATCTCTGAGATGCAAGGGTGGTTCAACATAGCAAATCAATAAATGTGATTTATCCTTTAATAAAACTAAAGACAAAACCACATTATAATTTCAATAGATGCAAAAAATAATTTCAACAAAATTTAACACCTTTCATAGTAAAAACTCTTGATAAACTAAGCATTGAAGGAATATACCTTAAAATAGCAAGGGCCATTTGTGACAAACTCACAGCCAACATTGTATTGAATAGGAAAAAGCTGGAAGCATTCCTCTTGAAAGCTGGCACAAGACAAGGATTTCCTCTCTCAGCACACATATTCAACATAGTACTGGAAGTCCTGAGCAGATCAATCAGGTAGTAGAAAGAAATAAAGGAAATCCAAATAGAAAGAAAGGAAGGCAAACTCTCCCTCTTTGCAGATAACATTATTCTGTTGTAGTTTCACCAGTGCACAAAGTTGTAACAGTCTCTCATTGTCTGAGATATAGCAAGAGTTCTTTGTCTGAGATGACTAAGGAGTGCGGACACTAGGGTTAGGTCAGAGCAAAAGTTTAAAAAGCAAAAGAAGGAAGTTCTCCGCTAGCAGAGGGTTGGGGGTGCCAAATAGGGTCCCTCTATGAGGCTGGGGTCCAGGGTTTTCATGGACTGGGAAGGGGAAGGAATATGCTTAGTCTGTGTGCTGTCTTGGAGAACTCCTGACTCAGCTTTGCCTGGGGTCTCGGCCTGGGGCCTTGGCCCTGGACCAATCAGGAAGCCTAGCCCAGGGGCCAATTAGGGGCTGAAGTGGTAATTCATAGAGGCAGCTAGGCCTGGGACCTATTGGCAGCTGAAGTAAAAGCTTGACCTAGGACCTTGACCCAGGACCAATCAGGAGATGAACTGATGATTCATAGATGCTGGGCTCACAATCTAAAAAGGAAAGGAAAGGAAACTGCCCACCAGAACCCAACAGAGAACAGTGTGTTCATGCTCATAAAAGCAGAAGAGACTTTTTTCCTGGAAGCCCACTGATGATAGAAAGGATAATGGCATTTCTCTGTCAGGACTTGTTCTCTTAAACAGGGAAACAAGTAAGCTGGAGATTCCTGTAAGTTTTTATGTGAGTAACCTGGAGCTCCCTTATCTGTACAGCTGTGGGCATGTCTCCAGGCACAACTCCTTGTGCTAGTTTTCTTATCAGTACATGCAGCTTGATTTATTTTTCCAGCCTGCTTTTTGGGGCTGAGGCACTGATCAGTGGGTCAGGGAATCTCCGGGGACCCCTCCCTTGCTGTCTACTTAAAAGAAGCTAGATAAATCATCTCAATTCTACATCTAGAAAACCTCATAGTCTTGGCCCAAAAGCTCCCTCAGCTGATAAATAACTTCAGCAAAATCTAAGCATAGAAAATCAATGCACAAAAATTACTAGCATTTGTATATATCAAAAATTGTCAAGCCAAGAGTAAAACCAGGGACATAAATCCCATTCACTATTGCCACAAAAAGAATAAAATATATAGAAATACACTTAACCAGAGAGGTCAAAAATCACCACAAGAACTAAAAAGTACTGGTCAAAAAAGTCAGAGATAAAGCAAACAAATGGGAATACATTCCATGCTCATG
This sequence comes from Homo sapiens, assembly GCF_000001405.40. Lineage (NCBI taxonomy): Eukaryota > Metazoa > Chordata > Mammalia > Primates > Hominidae > Homo > Homo sapiens. The sequence continues at coordinate 13,545,145 of NC_000024.10, forward strand.
GATAGGAAGAATCAACATCATAAAATGGTCATACTGCCCAAAGCAATTTATAGATGGAATGCTATTCCTATTAAACTACCAATTAAATTTTTCACAGGACTAAAAAAAACTATTTTAAAATTAATATGGAAACACAAATTATCCCAGATAGCCAGGGGAATTCTATACAAAAAGAGCAAAGGTGGAGGCATCATGTTACCTGACTTCAAAGTATACTTCAGGCCTACAGTTAACAAAACAGCATGGTGCTGGTATAAAAGTAGACATTTAGATCAATGGAAAGGAATAGAGAGCCTAGAAATAAGACCTCATATTTGCCATCTAATCTTTGATAGAGCTGACAAAAAGAAGCAATGGGAAAAGAACTCTCTATTCAATAAATCATTCTGGGATAACCACCTAGCCATATTCAGTAGATTGAAATGGGACCCCTTTCTTACACCACAAACAAAAATTAACTGAAGATCAATTAAAGGCTTATGTAAAACTTAAAGGAATAGAAATTCTGAAAGACAACCTACGCAATAGCATTCTGGAGATAGGAATGGGCAAAGATTTCATGACAAAGATTCCAAAAACAATTGCAACAAAAGCAACATTTGACAAGCAGAATCTATTTAAACTAAAGAGCTTCTGTGCAATATAAGGAACAATCAACAGGGTAAGCAGACAAACTATAGAATGGGATAAATAATTTGGTTCATTAATGGTAACAAATATGTCACATCTTAGGCTGGGCATGGTGACTCATGCCTGTAATCCCAGCATTTTGGGAGGCTGAGTTGGGCAGGTCATCTTAGGTCAGGGGGTTGAGATCAGCCTGGCCAACATGGTGAAACCCCGTCTCTACTAAAAACAGAAAAATTAGCCAGGTGTGGTGATGGGTCCTGTAATCTCAGCTACTTGAGAGGCTGAGGTATGAGAATTGTTTGAACCCAGAAGGCAGAGGTTTCAGTGAGCTGAGATCACACCACTGTACTCCAGCCTGGGGGATGGAGTGAGAATCTGTCCCCAAAATTATATATATATATGTATATATATATACACACACACACACACACGTATATATATATACACGTATATATATATATACGTATATATATATACACATATATATATACACGTATATATATATACACGTATATATATACACACATATATATATACACGTATATTATATATATATACGTGTATATATATATACACGTATATTATATATATATACACACATATATACACACACACACACACACACACAAACACACCCACATCTTTTCAAGATGTTAATAACAGAAAAACTGAAGATGAGTAGATTAAATTTGAAATGTAGTGTAAGTTTAGGTCCCAATTTTGTTGTTGGTAAATAGCAAGTTGTCCCAGGAGTATGAAGAGACTATTCTTTCTCTGTATAATGATGTTGAAACCTTTGTCAAAAAGCAACTGACATTATATGTCTGGATTATTTTTTGGAGTCTCAATCCTATCACAATTTTCTTTACACTTATACTACACTGTCTTGAATTGTGTAATTTTATAATACATTTTGAAATCCAGTATGAGTCCTGCAACTATGCCCTTCTTTCTCTCAATTGTTTTGCATTTTCATGGTCACTTGCTTTTTCATATTAAATTTATGATTAACTTCTTCATTTTGGCAAAAATTGCCAGTGGGATTTTGGTAGGTTTACATTAAATTTGCAAAGTTTTTTTTGGAAATACTGACATTTTAACAATATTAAGTCTTTCAATCCATGAACATAATATATTTCCATTTATTAAGGTCTTCTTTTATTTATTTAGCAATGTTTTGTAGTAATTAGTGCAAAATAGTATAATACTCTCCTATTTAAAGGTATTCCTAAGGATTTTATCCTTCAGGTGTTATTATAAAAATGATTTTAAGACTTTTTTTGAGATTGCTCATTGACAATAAGTTTCTTTTTGTTGTCAATCCTATACCCAGTAAACTGCTGGATTCATTTGTTATCTTTATTAGTTTTTATTTTGTAATTCTAGAATTTTCTATGTATAGGATGACATCATCAACCAATAAAGATAGCTTTGCTTCTTCCTATCCAATTTAGATTTTTATCAATTTAAATTTTATATTCTATTATTTAAAATTTTATTTAATCTTTTTTTTCTTGCCTAACTATTCTGACTAGAACATTTTGTACAATGTTGAGTATCAGTGGTGAAAGCAGGCAACCTTGTATTGAACTCAGTGGGTATATTTTCAGCCTTTCACCATTAAATATGACATTAACTGTAGGTTTTTAAACAAATACTCTTTAATTTTCTAAGGAAGTTTTTTTCTCTTTGTAGCTTACTGAGTGTTTTCATCATATAAGTGTTCGCTTCTGTCAAATGCTGTTTTAAGTCTAGTTTAATGCCCATAGAGACACATTGAAAATTGTAGTTAACATGGACAGGATGATGAGAATAATTCCAAACAAAACTTGTGAGCAGAGTATTACAGGTCACTTCTGAATGATATCATTTAATTTAATTGCAAGCTTTTTCAGCATGTACTTTCTTCCTGCCATAGTTACCATTAGCATCACAGCAGAGTCTCTAAGTGAGAAAAGCATAAATTTTGTACTCTATATGCCAAACCTATTCTATAATAAATGTGTAGCAAGAGAAAAAAAATTCCATTGAGTCTGAAGATGATTTAATATTTTAGTGTAACCCAAACTGATTTTCCTGACTCATAAAGCAAGAATATATTATCAAAACCATTATATAACACAAAGTTATTAAGACCAGAAAATGTATCTGCCAGCTGAGCAAGGTGTCTCACAAACCTAATCCCAACATGTTGGGAGGTTGAGGCTGAAGGACCGCTTGAGACCAGGAGTTTGAGGCCACCCTGGCCAATACAGTGAGACCCAATCTCATATTAAAAAAAAAAAAAAATCTACATATCTGCCTTTGGAGCACTCATCTGTACTTTTTCTTTCCTCTGGCTTATTTTTAATCAGTCTAGCAACATAGTCCTTCCAAAATCTAAAATTAATATAGAGTTATATAGGCCTGAACAGTGTTAAATCAGTGTTCTTTCTAATCAGGTACTACATTTTAAACATTACTGAATATTTAATCAACTCTACTTTTAAGAACTTTGCTCACATGTAGCAATAATGTCTAGGTTGAATAAAGCCCCCCACCCCCCGCCCTTTTCTTTTTGAGATTGAGTCTCACTCTGTCACCAGGTTGGAGTGCAGTGACATGATCTCGGCTTAATGCAAACTCTGCCTTCTGGGATCAAGTGATTCTCCTACCTCAGCCTCCCAAGTAGCTAGGATTACAGGAGTGCACCATGATGCCTGGCTAATTTTCATATTTTCAGTGGAGATGGGGTTTCACCATGTTGGCCAGGATGGTCTCGATCTCCTGACCTCGTGATCTGCCTGTATCAGCCTCCCAAACTGTTGGGGTTACAGGCATGAGCCACTGTGCCCAGCCCGAATAAACTCTTAATTGCAAATTTCAAATGCCTCAAGTCTTAAATCTATGGGGTTATAATCATATCATTTACCTCTGATTTTTTAAACATCTAAACATCTAAAAACTAAAATGCAGCCATGAATAAGTGATGAACCAACATAATTGCTTACAATTACTAAAAGTATTGCCCTGATATTTTTACATAAAAATATTTTTTTGTACAGATAAACTCATTGAAAATGGATATTGCTGCAAATTCTTTCATTCTTTCTTGATGGTTATTTTAAGGATGTTGGCACATTGAAATTTAGCTGACTCTAATGTAAGAACTTTGTTTGGTGTTTCTTGGGTGGGTACAATGTAATCACAAAAGTCTTAAAAAACGAAAAGGTGGCTGGGTGCAGTGGCTCGTGCATGTAATCCCAGCACTTTGGGAGGCCAATGAGGGTGGATCCCAAGGTCAAAAATTCAAGACCAGCCTGACCAACATGGTGAAACCCAGTCCCTACTAAAAATACAAAAATTAGCTGGCCATGGTGGTGCACACCTGTAACACAAGCTATTCAGGAAGCTGAGGCAGGAGAATCGCTTGAACCCAGGAGGTGGAGGTTGTAGTGAGCCGAGATCATGCCACTGCACTGCAGCCTGTGCTACAGACCAAGACATTGCCTCAGGAAAAAAGAAAAGAAAAAGTAAGGAAGAGTAGAATCAGTGTCAGAAAGATGTGATGATGGAAGTAGAAACAAGAGAGAGTCAAGGAAGAACTCAATCCATTACTGATGGTTAAAAAAAAGGAAAAGGTACTTTAAATATGTGAATAAAGATCTTGACACAAAATTTATCATGAATTATCCAAGTGGGTGCAATGTAATCACAAACATTCTTATAAAAGAGAACCAGCAGGATCAGAGTGTGAGACAGAAAACAGTATGTACAGAATCAGAGGCCAGAGGCCAGAGAGGAGAGAATATATTACATGGTTGTTTTTGAAGAAAAAGGAGCCATAAGCCACATACTGGCAGATATCTAAAAGCTAAAGTCACAGAAATAAATTCTTACCTAAAGCTTCCAGAGGTAGCCAAAATCTTGATTTTTTTCCTCTTTAAAAATAATTCTGCTTTTCTGGCATTCAGAACAGTAAGATAATTTTGGATGGTTTTAAGAAACTGTTATTTTGTTATAGCAATGATAGAAAACTAATATAAACCATTGTGTATAAGTACCACATTTTCTTTACCCATTCATCTGTCAATGGATGCATAGATTGCTTCCAAATTTTGGCTATTGCGAACAGTAATACATCAAACATAAGAATGTTTCAATATCCTGGTTTCCTTTCTTTTGGGTATATACCCAGAAGTGGGATTGCTGGGTTAATAAGGTAGCTCTCTTTTAATTTTCTGAGGAACTTCTAAACTATGCTCCATAGTGATTGTACTAATTTACATTCCCACCAACGGTGTACATAGATACACTTTTCTTCACGTCCTCACCATTATTTTTTATTGCCTATCTTTTGGCTGTAGTCCCTTTTAACTGGGATGAAATAATATCTCATTGTAGTTTTGATTTATATTTCTGTGATAATCAGTAATGTTAACCACTTTTGCTGTTTGGCATTTGTATGTCTTATTTTAAGAAATGTCTATTCAAATCTTTTTTGCCAATTTTAATCAGATTATTAGTTTTTTTCCTATAATGTTTGCACTCCTTATGTACTCTGTTTATTAATTTCTTGTCAATTGGGTAGTTTGCAGATATTTTCTCTCATTCTGTGGGTTGTCTCTTCTCTTTGTTGATTGTGTCCTTTGTTGTGCAGAAAGCTTTGTAACTTGATATGATCCCGTTTGTTCATTTTGCTTGGGTTTCCTGTTCTTTTGGGATATTACTCAAGAAATTTTGCCCAGAACAACGTCCTGGAGAGTTTCCCCAATGTTTCACTTTAGTAGTTTTCTAGTTGGAGATCCTATATTAGTCTTTAATCCATTTTGATTTAATTTTTGTATATGATAAGAAATAGGGGTATAATTTTATTATTCTGAATATAGATATCCACTTTTCCCAGCACCATTTATTGAAGAAACTGCTTTTCCCAATATGTATGATACCTTTTTTGAAAATAAGCTCACTGTAGGTGTATGGTTTCTGAGTTCTTTATACTGTTACATTGGTTTATGTGTCTATTTTTATTTCTGTGTCATGCTGTTTTGGTTATCATAGCTCTGCAGTATATTTTTGAAGTCAGGTAATATAAATTCCTCCAGTTTTGTTCTTTTTGCTCAGAATCGCTTTGGCTATTTTGGATCTTTTGTGGTTTTATATGAATTTGAGACTTTTTTTCTATTTCTGTGAAGAATGTCATTGGTATTTTGATAATTGCATTGAATCTGTAGACTGTTTTGGGTAGTATGACTATTTTTAACAATATTGGTTATTTCAATTCATGAACATTAAATATTTTTCCATTTTTTGATGTCTGCTTCAACTTCTTTCATTAGTGTTTTGTAGTCTTAATTGTAAAGATCTTTTCACTTCTTTGTGTTTTTTATTTCAATATTATTTATTCTTCCTTTGATCTTTATTTTTCTCTTTGAATCTTAGGTTCAGTTTGCTCTTGCTTTTCTAGTTCCTTAAGATGCATTGTTAGGTTATTTCTTTGGAGTTTTTCTTTTTTTGGTGTAGGCACTTATAGCTATAAGTTCCCCTACTAGTACTAAAAGGAGTTAGTTAGCTTGCCTTAGGTAGATAAAAAGGAAAGGATCCTGGAGAGCCCCAGGCCAATAGGTAGGTGCCTTATCCCCATGCAACATAAAAAGTAGCCTAAAAAATTCAAGCTGCAGGCACTGATAAGAGAACTAGCACAGGGTGTTGTGCCTGCAGACATGCCTACAGCTGCACAGATAGAATAGCCTCCAGCTCATTTGGATAAAAAATATCTTGCGCAAATTTCCAGCTCACTCAGATAAGGATGTATAGAAATGCCTTTATCCTTTGTATAGTCAGCAGGCCCAGAAAAATGTTTCTTTTTCTTTTGTGGGCATGGGCACTGTGGGATCCAGTAGGTTCCAGTGGGTGATTTACTTCCCTTTATTAGGACTCTAAGTCCAACTTCTATGAATTATCACCTCAACCCTGATTGGGCCAATGTCCTAGGCCAAGCTTTCACTTAAGCTTTTGATATGTCCTGGTCCAAACTAAGCAGAATATATGAAGCATCATTTCAGCTCCTGACTGGTCACAGGCCTGGGTCAAGCTGAGTTACTTGTTTGCCAAGACAGCCAGCAGAGTAAGAACCATCCTTCTCTTTCCCAGTTTGTAAAAACACTGAGGCTGGACACAGTGGCTCACACCTGTAATCCCAGTGCTGTGGGAGGCTGAGGTGGGTGGATTACAAGGTCAGGAGATGGAGCCTGTCCTGGCCAACATGGCGAAACTCCGTCTCTACTAAAAATACAAAAATTAGTCAGGCGTGGTGTTGTGTGCCTGTAGTCCCAGCTACTCAGGAGGCCGAGGCAGGAGAATTGCTTGAACCCGGGAGGCGGAGGTTGCAGTGAGCCAAGATCACACCACCACTGCACTCCAGCATGGGCAACAGAGTGACACTCTGTCTCAAAACAACAGCAACAACAGCAAAAACAACAAAACCCTGGACCCCAGCCTCATAGCGGGTACTACTGTTTAAGATCCCCTCTGTGCTGGCAGAGAGCTTTCCTCTTTTGCTTATTAAACTTTTACTGTAACTTCTTCTTTGTTTCCACACTCCTTAATCATCTTTGGAGGCAGGAAAAACAACTCCCAAGTTATGTCAGACAATGGAAGACCGTTACATCTTGGTGCATTGGCCGGGAAGAAAATAATTCATCATAAGGGCAAGAGTGAACCTTTAACTCTTTGCTTTCATTTCTCAAACTTATTGTCTACTCCAATCTAGTTTCTTTTTGAGGGACAAAGTGGCTAAGTTGTCTGGACTTCCTGGGTCAAGAGGGACTTCCCCAAGGGGCTTTTTCCTAAGCCAAAATGAATCATAGCTGCAAACTAAGGGATTGAAACTTCAACCAATCAAAGAGGACTTTCCCCTAAGCCAAAATGAGTAATAGCTGCAAACTAAGGGATTGAAACATCAACCAATCATATAGGGAGTTTAAGCTGTAGCTGCAGCCTGATGTTTTTAATCAATCAGGACCACCAATCTACAACCAGATGGAAAGTAAGCTAATCCTATAGGACAGAAAAAGGAAAAGGGAGGAGTCATAAGTGGATATAAGCATAGGACACCGAAGTCAGAGACAGCAACCCTTCCAGGTCCACTTCCACCATGTGGAAGCTTTACTTTTGCTTTACTTTCACTTTTGCTTTAGTAAGTCTTGCCGTTGCACACTCTTTGGATCCATGCGTTTCTCTAATCAAGCTATAACACTCGCTGCTGAGTCCATGCTTCATTCCTTGAAGCCCATGAGACCATGAACCCTTCGATGGAGAAAAACCTTTGATGGGAAGAAGACATCTCGTCTCACTTTCACGGAGGGCCTAAGCCATTGTGTGGGATTGGAAGGAGGTCTTAGGGCTACTTAAGATTTCTGGCTGGGACTACACCCCAGAGTTATCTGAAGGCCCTTAGACTAACTCCATTGCATGACAGCTCAACAGGGCCAGCCCCAGGACTTATTCCTATCACATTTTCCTTCTTTTCTCTCACAGCTATCATGTCTCCTATTCGTTCTTTGAATACAATGTTGTGGGTATTTTTGCAACCTAGAGACATAGTCTTGCTGGGTAGTTAGTAGGTGTTTTAGAAATGAGGAATGTAATTCAAAGAGTTGTTGTTTTGTGATTTCCTAGAAACAGGGGGAATTCAGTATTTCAATCTAAGTTTTCACCTAGTAATGCCCCTTCTATCCCTCAATGATGGACATTCATAGCACTGAATGGGAGAATATTTCACCCTGAGTGAATATCCTCCTCCACTTTTAAGTTGTTTTTTTACTTCATTAAGAGTTCAGCATTGTCCAGTGAATTTAATCAGTTCTTTTATGAAACAAATTAATTTTCTTATGCTGGAAGCCATGTTATATGGACAGCCTATCAAATCCAAACCTTTCTTTCTAAATTTTGCCTGAAAATAATTTAGAGTTAGAGATTTTACCTAACATTTCTTTTTTAATTTTTATTTTATTTTATTTTATTTTAATTTAGCCAGAGTCTGTCTGTGTCACCCAGGCTGGAGTGGAGTGGTGTGATCTCAGCTTACTGCAACCTCTGCCTCCCAGGGTCAAGCAATTCTCCTGCTTCAGCCTCCCGAGTAGCTGGGATTACAGGTGCCCACCACCATGCTCGACTAATTTTTTGTATTTTTAGTAGAGACATGTTTTCACCATTTTAGTGAGGATGATCTCTATCTCCTGACCTTGTGACCTGCCTGCCTCATCCTCCCAAAGTGCTGGGATTACAGGTGTGAGCCACTGCGCCTGGACTTTACCTAACATTTCTAACCCTACGGTGCCACATAGTTGAAAGGGATTTTTCTCCATGGGGAGTCTTATCAGCTGTCAGTCCCAAACCTCTACTCTCCCAATTCTTTTCCCTTTTACATTCTTCTATCAATGATCAGGCCCCATGTCTTATGTAGTGACAGAAAAACTCCACTTTCAACAGCCAGGAGAAAGCCATCCTGATAATACAGATCTTAGCTTCAATACTGTCCCCAACAAAGGGGGGCAAACATTCAATTTTTACACTCTTTTGAGGCATCTGCTTTGCATTCAACTACATTGGAATTTAAACAGAAAAGGAATTTTATGTTTGAAAATTAATCAGTTCCATTCTGTGGGATTTTGACTTTTTTCCTGAGGCCATAGCAAATGAAGCCAGAGATAGTGTTAGGACACTCCCTCCATTAAGAAGTCTTGCCCAGCTCCAACTACTACATAATCTCTCCCAAGCCTTTGGGGTACCTTGAGAGCCTTCTGTGTTAAGTGGATCTAGGAATCCAGCAGGACAGAAGGATAGGGTTTTGAGCAGGTAAGTGTGACTAAAACCCACCAACTAGCTTTTCTGGGGTCATAGATGAAAGGTCATGCTTGTATCCATGGACAGCACCTCTGGTGGTCCATGGGACCCAGAGAAGAGGAGGTAAGAGGAGAAGTGGGATGTGCTTTCTCTCACTCAACCCTGGGTCACACAAAAAGAGGAAGGGGACTGAGGGATGTGTTGTCTCCCTCTCTTTCTAGATGGGTAACATAAAAAACCATATGCAGTTTGTACTCCCCTTCAGTGCATTTCAAATCACTGGACCTCATTTGACCCTGAGACTCTGAAGAGAAAATGGTTTATATTTTATTGTGCAAGGGCCTGACCTTGTTATTATGTTGGGGATAAACAAACTTGACCTTCTGAGGGAAGTCTTGATTTCTGTACTATTCAACAACCAGATCTTTTCTGTAGGCAGAAGGGCAAGTGGCCCCTGGTTTCCTATGTGGGAAACCACATAGTTTTAGTTTTTAGTTTTGTGGGAAAATCCACATTTTTATAAGCATTGTACAGTTGACACTGTCTTCTTGGCAGGCCTGTCAGGCACGCCCACAAAGGATGATTACCCAAAGTCAGAGAGACAAACCACTGGGGAACCCTCAAATGCAACTACTGGGTGCCCTACCTGCCCCAGTTATTTGGGGATCCCAGTAGCCAAATCATTAACTCCTCTTGTTGTGCCATTCAAGAAATTCCCAACTTTGCTCTTGTCCCTGCAGAAAATGCCCAATAGGCATGGTGCCACTAGGGTTAAAGTTCCCTTCTTATTGCAGGACCTTAGGCAAATAAAGGGGGACCTAGTCAAGTTCTCCAATGACACTGATAAATATATAGGGGTTTTCCGAAATTCAACCCAAGTGTTTAATCTTATGTGAAGAGATGTTATGCAACTTTTAAGCCAAACCCTAACTGTTAAAAAAACGGGCAGAGATATTCAGAGAGAAACAGTATCCCTCCTATAGCCTGTCAAAAGAAAGCCAATCAAAAGGGGAAAGAGGGTAAAAAAGAGCCATGGTCCCCATTTCCAATAGGAAGAGAAACATACCCCTTTAAATACCCTAATTGAAGCCCAGTAATTCCATAGATAAGTAGAAAAGAAAACAATTTTTATGTGCATTTTAAAAGGCTTACAAAGAACTAAAACCAAACCTCTCAATTATTCTAAACTGTGCTTGTTGAAGCTGAAACCAGATGAAAATTCCCCTCACTCTTTGGAAAGGCTGAGAAAAGCTTTAGTGAAACACATGTCCCTGTCTCCCAATTCAATTAAAGAAAAAAAAAAAGTTAATTACTCAGGCAGTCCCTGATGTCAAAAGGAAGTTGCTGAAACAGGTTCTGTCTAAAGATCTTTCCAGTTTTTCTCACTCTCAAGTTTAAGCTTTGAAGCATGTAAATAATATTCTCCTCTCTGCCCCAACTGAGGAGGTCTCAAGAAGTCAACAAGGCTCTGCTCAATGTTTTAGCTGAAATAGAGTACAGGTTCTCAAAATCTAAAGCTCAGCTCTGTAAAACAAACATAAAGTACCTAGATTTAGTCTTATCAGGAGGGATGAAAACACCAGATGAAGAAAAGATTAAGCCCATTTCTTTTAACAGTTAATGGGATTCTTGGGCATTACTGAATTTTGCAGACTGTGGGTACCTGGTGCAATGAAATAGCTGATCCTTTATACTACCTCATAAAACAAACTCATTCTCTAATATGGGAACCTAAAACACAAAAACTCAGCTAGAACTCACTCTCTAACAGCAGCTAGAACTCACTTTCTAACATGGGAACCTAAAACACGAAAACCGTAAACCAGCTAAAGCTAGCCTTACTTAAAACACCAGCCCTCAGTCTTTCCATAGGGAAGGTATTTAATCATTATGTAACAGAAAGGAAGAAAATAGCCTTTGGAGTTTTGGCTAAGGCTTGAGGTCCAGCTCTACAGCCAGGATTAACCATGGGGAACAAGTGAACTGTTTGCACCCCGTACAGTAGTAGGACTGCTGTTCTCTAAGGGAGGTCTCTGATTAACAATCACCTCCTCAAATATCAAGCTCTGCTGCTAGAGGGATCTGAAGTCCAGTAAAACAAACTGCTTTTGCCTAAACCCAGCCACCTTCTCCCAGAGGGAAGTGGAGAGCCTGAACATAATTGTGAACAGGTAGTAGTATAAACCAGTAAAAGAAATGATAAAAATCAGTTTATCTTCTATGTAAAATTTTAATTAATAAAAAATGATTTTCTTAAAGTGTACTCAGCTTAATTAAAAGGGGATATCTAAGCTATAGTTATATTTAAAAGGCTTTTACAGTTTTCTCTTCAAATATCTTGTTTCTGGAAGAGGTTTTTTTCCCTCAGTCAACAGAATTACTTTTCTCCTCTGTGTCTTGCCACTCTAGTAAATGCATGAAAGACCCTGTAATGACTTCTGGTGGCCTGGGACTCTTCAGGAAAACAGACAAGGCACCACATATCCCACTTTGGGAGAAATCTCTGTTTTCCTCATGGAGCCCCTGTAATTAGGGGTGAATAGGACCCTCTCAAAATCTGTGTTGGTCTTCCATCTATGCTTGTTTATTAGGCCTTGGAAATTGTATTCCTAGCCCTGTTCTTAAAGGGCCTCACCAGGAGGCCAATAATCCAACTGGGAAATTAGCAAATGAAAGATATAACTATAGGGTCTTCCTCTGTGTGTCTGTGTGGTTATACATGCGTTACGTGTGTGATGTCTATTTAAAAAAGGAGCTCTAATTAATTGACTTAAAGAAGAATAAGCACTTGGATGAGATATTTTTAAGAAAAAAGTAAAGGCTGTAGTGCCTATTGGTTCATGTGACTTTATTCTTTAAGAAATACAAACAGCCTTGTAGCATATTGATAAAATCCAGATGTCTTTGAGATGTAAATAGGTGGTCTAAATTATGCCGGTAAGTTACTAGGTTTGCTAAATATTTTAAGGTTTTAAATTGCTTCTTTGGCCTTTAAGAACTGTTCAACTTTTCTGCTTCACAACGAGTAAGGCCTAGGGACATATGGAAGTGTCCATGCCCGTAACTATGCTGGAAAATTTCAAACTTTAACTGTACCTAGCACATAATTAAAACAACTTACCAGGTTTCACATTCAAGTTAGTAATTGCTGAGTTACCATTATGACATGTAATTGAAACTATTAAAAATAGACTTATGGCTGGGTGCAGTGGCTCATGTCTGTAATCCCAGCACTTTGAGAGGCTGAGGCAGGTGGATCATGAGGTCAGGAGATCGAGACCATCCTGGCTAACACGGTGAAATCCCGTATCTACTAAAAATACAAAAAGATTAGCCAGGCGTGGTGGCATGTGCCTGTAGTCCTAGCTACTTGGGAGGCTGAGGCAGGAGAATGGCATGAACCCAGGAGGCAGAGCTTGCAGTGAGCCAAGATCGCGCCACTTCACTCCAACCTGTGCGACAGAGTGAGACTCCATCTCCCCACAAAAAAAAAAAAAAAAAAGGCTTACATGCAAGGTATTAAAAATAGTAAAGTATGTTTTCAGTAAAAGATTATAAAAAGACATGAAAATGTATATTTTGTCTAAACATAAAGGATTGGCTTAAATAAAATAAAACAAGTTTTAAGCAATTGTGAAAAGATTATAAAAATCAATCTTGAAATGAAATTTTGTTCATGAAAATATTAACTAAATTCAAAAGGTTATTATATAGTTTTTAAAATCAAGCATTAAAATAAAAGCACAGCAAGGTTTTCTTAAAATGCTAATCTACTCTTTAGCAAAATTTGTAGAGGGTTATAAAAGGTTTGTGAAAATCTCACCTCATGGTCAAATTGGTTAAAATTAAATAGAATTGGCTATAAGATTTCATTAAAATTAGCATTAACATTAATGATAAACAAATGCAAGGGTGAATTTTGGCTTTCTCTTAAACATAATTTTTATGTAATAATAAAGGCTAATGAAAGGTTTTGCATTTTCAAGTTCTCAAGTCTTTTTTTGGGCAAAACAAATGACTTATGGTAATCTGAAATTTTATTTCATGATATCAAGTATTTTAAAACTCCAGAATGTTCAACAGAATTCCCAAAATAAAATTTAAGTTTCAATGATGTCGTTCCTGGTGCCTGGCTTTTGGGTATTGCAAACAGCCTCTGAAGCATCTAGAAAAAAGGTAAACAGGATTATTTAACATGTTTATAAATATGAGATTGCTAAAATTAGGTCTAATCTTCAGGTTATATTTTACTGAATAATATTAACATATATTCCAAAACTGCATGGAATTTCCAAGGTTTTAATGTGTGGATATATGCTATCAATTACAATTAAGATTATTATGTTGGGTTATGGCAAACCACAGAAATAACCAAATTTTCTTGTCAATTGAGTTTCTGACTGTAACTATCCTGAACATTTTGTCACTTACAGACAAGTGTCTCCTTTTAATTCTCTTCAAAAGATAGTTTATAATCAAACTGTTGGACATTATTAGCAGGTTCTCTCAAATGCAAGTTTCTCAGAAAAACATACAAAACTCATGAAAAGCTAAAATGTTTATAAATATCAAGCAAAACAATACTTAATGAGGTGGACTAAACTAATCAAAAATGAAAGCAATGTTTTTTGATTTTTGCTTGGAACATTGCTGATCCTTTTTTTTTTTGCGTTTTTTTTTTTTTAATTATACTTTAAGTTTTAGGGTACATGTGCACATTGTGCAGGTTAGTTACATATGTATACATGTGCCGTGCTGGTGCGCTGCACCCACTAACTCGTCATCTACCATTAGGTATATCTCCCAGTGTTATCCCTCTCCCCTCCCCCGACCCCACAACAGTCCCCAGAGTGTGATATTCCCCTTCCTGTGTCCATGTGATCTCATTGTTCAATTCCCACCTATGAGTGAGAATATGCGGTGTTTGGTTTTTTGTTCTTGTGATAGTTTACTGAGAATGATGATTTCCAGTTTCATCCATGTCCCTACAAAGGACGTGAACTCATCATTTTTTATGGCTGCATAGTATTCCATGGTGTATATGTTCCACATTTTCTTAATCCAGTCTATCATTGTTGGACATTTGGGTTGGTTCCAAGTCTTTGCTATTGTGAATAATGCCGCAATAAACATACGTGCGCATGTGTCTTTATAGCAGCATGATTTATAGTCCTTTGGGTATATACCCAGTAATGGGATGGCTGGGTCAAATGGTATTTCTAGTTCTAGATCCCTGAGGAATTGGCACACTGACTTCCACAATGGTTGAACTAGTTTACAGTCCCACCAACAGTGTAAAAGTGTTCCTGTTTCTCCACATTCTCTCCAGCACCTGTTGTTTCCTGACTTTGTAATGATTGCCATTTTAACTGGAGTGAGATGGTATCTCATAGTGGTTTTGATTTGCATTTCTCTGATGGCCAGTGATGATGAGCATTTTTTCATGTGTTTTTTGGCTGCATAAATGTCTTCTTTTGAGAAGTGTCTGTTCATGTCCTTCGCCCACTTTTTGATGGGGTTGTTTGTTTTTTTCTTGTAAATTTGAGTTCATTGTAGATTCTGGATATTAGCCCTTTGTCAGATGAGTAGGTTGCGAAAGTTTTCTCCCATTTTGTAGGTTGCCTGTTCACTCTGATGGTAGTTTCTTTTGCTGTGCAGAAGCTCTTTATTTTAATTAGATCCCATTTGTCAATTTTGTCTTTTGTTGCCATTGCTTTTGGTGTTTTGGACATGAAGTCCTTCCCCATGCCTATGTCCTGAATGGTAATTCCTAGGTTTTCTTTTAGGGTATTTATGGTTTTAGGTCTAACATTTAAATCTTTAATCCATCTTGAATTGATTTTTGTATAAGGTGTAAGGAAGGGATCCAGTTTCAGCTTTCTACATATGGCTAGCCAGTTTTCCCAGCACCATTTATTAAATAGGGAATCCTTTCTCCATTGCTTGTTTTTCTCAGGTTTGTCAAAGATCAGATAGTTGTAGGTATGTGGCGTTAATTCTGAGGGCTCTGTTCTGTTCCATTGATCTATATCTCTGTTTTGGTACCAGTACCATGCTGTTTTGGTTACTGTAGCCTTGTAGGATAGTTTGAAGTCAGGTAGTGTGATGCCTCCAGCTTTGCTCTTTTGGCTTAGGATTGACTTGGCGATGTGGGCTCTTTTTTGGTTCCATATGAACTTTAAAGTAGTTTTTTCCAATTCTGTGAAGAAAGGCATTGGCAGCTTGATGGGGATGGCATTGAATCTGTAAATTACCTTGGGCAGTATGGCCATTTTCACGATATTGATTCTTCCTACCCATGAGCATGGAATGTTCTTCCATTTGTTTGTATCCTCTTTTATTTCTTTGAGCAGCAGTTTGTAGTTCTCCTTGAAGAGGTCCTTCACATCCCTTGTAGGTTGGATTCCTAGGTATTTTATTCTCTTTGAAGCAATTGTGAATGGGAGTTCACTCATGATTTGGCTCTCTGTTTGTGTGTTGTTGGTGTATAAGAATGCTTGTGATTTTTGTACATTGATTTTGTATCCTGAGACTTTGCTGAAGTTGCTTATCAGCTTAAGGAGATTTTGGGCTGAGACAATGGGGTTTTCTAGATATACAATCATGTTGTCTGCAAAGAGGGACAATTTGACTTCCTCTTTTCCTAATTGAATACCCTTTATTTCCTTCTCCTGCCTAATTGTCCTGGCCAGAACTTCCAACACTATGTTGAATAGGAGTGGTGAGAGAGGGCATCCCTGTCTTGTGCCAGTTTTCAAAGGGAATGCTTCTAGTTTTTGCCCATTCAGTATGATACTGGCTGTGGGTTTGTCATAGATAGCTCTTATCATTTTAAAATACGTCCCATCAATACCTAATTTATTGAGAGTTTTTAGCATGAAGAGTTGTTGAATTTTGTCAAAGGCTTTTTCTGCATCTATTGAGATAATCATGTGGTTTTTGTCTTTGGCTCTGTTTATATGCTGAATTACATTTATTGATTTGCGTATATTGAACCAGCCTTGCATCCCAGGGATGAAGCCCACTTGATCATGGTGGATAAGCTTTTTGATGTGCTGCTGGATTCGGTTTGCCAGTATTTTATTGCCGATTTTTACATCAATGTTCATCAAGGATATTGGTCTAAAATTCTGTTTTTTGGTTGTGTCTCTGCCCGGCTTTGGTATCAGAATGATGCTGGCCTCATAAAATGAGTTAGGGAGGATTCCCTCTTTTTCTATTGATTGGAATAGTTTCAGAAGGAATGGTACCAGTTCCTCCTTGTACCTCTGGTAGAATTCGGCTGTGAATCCATCTGGTCCTGGACTCTTTTTGGTTGGTAAACTATTGATTATTGCCACAATTTCAGCTCCTGTTATTGGTCTATTCAGAGATGCAACTTCTTCCTGGTTTAGTCTTGGGAGAGTGTATGTGTCGAGGAATTTATCCATTTCTTCTAGATTTTCCAGTTTATTTGCGTAGAGGTGTTTGTAGTATTCTCTGATGGTAGTTTGTATTTCTGTGGGATCAGTGGTGATATCCCCTTTATCATTTTTTATTGCATCTATTTGATTCTTCTCTCTTTTTTTCTTTATTAGTCTTGCTAGCGGTCTATCAATTTTGTTGATCCTTTCAAAAAACCAGCTCTTGGATTCATTGATTTTTTTGAATGGTTTTTTGTGTCTCTATTTCCTTCAGTTCTGCTCTGATTTTAGTTATTTCTTGCCTTCTGCTAGCTTTTGAATGTGTTTGCTCTTGCTTTTCTAGTTCTTTTAATTGTGATGTTAGGGTGTCAATTTTGGATCTTTCCTGCTTTCTCTTGTGGGCATTTAGTGCTATAAATTTCCCTCTACACACTGCTTTGAATACGTCCCAGAGATTCTGGTATGTCGTGTCTTTGTTCTCGTTGGTTTCAAAGAACATCTTTATTTCTGCCTTCATTTCGTTATGTACCCAGTAGTCATTCAGGAGCAGGTTGTTCAGTTTCCATGTAGTTGAGCGGCTTTGAGTGAGATTCTTAATCCTAAGTTCTAGTTTGATTGCACTGTGGTCTGAGAGATAGCTTGTTATAATTTGTGTTCTTTTACATTTGCTGAGGAGAGCTTTACTTCCAAGTATGTGGTCAATTTTCGAATAGGTGTGGTGTGGTGCTGAAAAAAATGTATATTCTGTTGATTTGGAGTGGAGAGTTCTGTAGATGTCTATTAGGTCTGCTTGGTGCAGAGCTGAGTTCAATTTCTGGGTATCCTTTTTGACTTTCTGTCTCGTTGATCTGTCTAATGTTGACAGTGGGGTGTTAAAGTCTCCCATTATTAATGTGTGGGAGTCTAAGTCTCTTTGTAGGTCACTCAGGACTTGCTTTATGAATCTGGGTGCTCCTGTATTGGGTGCATATATATTTAGGATAGTTAGCTCTTCCTGTTGAATTGATCCCTTTACCATTATGTAATGGCCTTCTTTGTCTCTTTGATCTTTGTTGGTTTAAAGTCTGTTTTATCAGAGACTAGGATTGCAACCCCTGCCTTTTTTTGTTTTCCATTTGCTTGGTAGATCTTCCTCCATCCTTTTATTTTGAGCCTATGTGTGTCTCTGCACGTGAGATGGGTTTCCTGAATACAGCACACTGATGGGTCTTGACTCTTTATCCAATTTTTCAGTCTGTGTCTTTTAATTGGAGCATTTAGTCCATTTACATTTAAAGTTAATATTGTTATGTGTGAATTTGATCCTGTCATTATGATGTTAGCTGGTGATTTTGCTCGTTAGTTGATGCAGTTTCTTCCTAGTCTTGATGGTCTTTACATTTTGGCATGATTTTGCAGTGGCTGGTACTGGTTGTTCGTTTCCATGTTTAGCGCTTCCTTCAGGAGCTCTTTTAGGGCAGGCCTGTTAGTGACAAAATCTCTCAGCATTTGCTTGTCTGTAAAGTATTTAATTTCTCCTTCACTTATGAAGCTTAGTTTGGCTGGATATGAAATTCTGGGTTGAAAATTCTTTTCTTTAAGAATGTTGAATATTGGCCCCCACTCTCTTCTGGCTTGGAGGGTTTCTGCCGAGAGATCCGCTGTTAGTCTGATGGGCTTCCCTTTGAGGGTAACCCGACCTTTCTCTCTGGCTGCCCTTAACATTTTTTCCTTCATTTCAACTTTGGTGAATCTGACAATTATGTGTCTTGGAGTTGCTCTTCTCGAGGAGTATCTTTGTGGCATTCTCTGTATTTCCTGAATCTGAACGTTGGCCTGCCTTGCTAGATTGGGGAAGTTCTCCTGGATAATATCCTGCAGAGTGTTTTCCAACTTGGTTCCATTCTCCCCATCACTTTCAGGTACACCAATCAGACGTAGATTTGGTCTTTTCACATAGTCCCATATTTCTTGGAGGCTTTGCTCATTTCTTTTTATTCTTTTTTCTCTAAACTTCCCTTCTCACTTCATTTCATTCATTTCATCTTCCATTGCTGATACCCTTTCTTCCAGTTGATCGCATCGGCTCCTGAGGCTTCTGCATTCTTCACGTAGTTCTCGAGCCTTGGTTTTCAGCTCCATCAGCTCCTTTAAGCACTTCTCTGTATTGGTTATTCTAGTTATACATTCTTCTAAATTTTTTTCAAAGTTTTCAACTTCTTTGCCTTTGGTTTGAATGTCCTCCCATAGCTCAGAGTAATTTGATCGTCTGAAGCCTTCTCTCAGCTCGTCAAAGTCATTCTCCATCCAGCTTCGTTCCGTTGCTGGTGAGGAACTGCGTTCCTTTGGAGGAGGAGAGTTGCTCTGTGTTTTAGAGTTTCCAGTTTTTCTGTTCTGTTTTTTCCCCATCTTTGTGGTTTTATCTACTTTTGGTCTTTGATGATGGTGATGTACAGATGGGTTTTCGGTGTGGATGTCCTTTCTGTTTGTTAGTTTTCCTTCTAATAGACAGGACCCTCAGCTGCAGGTCTGTTGGAATACCTTGCATTGTGAGGTGTCAATGTGCCCCTGCTGTGGGGTGCCTCCCAGTTAGGCTGCTCGGGGTCAGGGGTCAGGGACCCACTTGAGAGGCAGTCTGCGGGTTCTCAGATCTCCAGCTGCGGGCTGGGAGAACCACTGCTCTCTTCAAAGCTGTCAGACAGGGACATTTAAGTCTGCAGAGGTTACTGCTGTCTTTTTGTTTTTCTGTGCCCTGCCCCCAGAGGTGGAGCCTACAGTGGCAGGCAGGCCTCCTTGAACTGTGGTGGGCTCCACCCAGTTCGAGCTTCTGGGCTGCTTTGTTTGCCTAAGCAAGCCTGGGCAATGGCGGGCTCCCCTCCCCCAGCCTCGCTGCCGCCTTGCAGTTTGATCTCAGACTGCTGTGCTAGCAATCAGCGAGACTCCGTGGGTGTAGGACCCTCCGAGCCAGGTGCGGGATATAGTGTCGTGGTGCGCCGTTTTTTAAGCCGGTCTGAAAAGAACAATATTCGGGTGGGAGTGACCCGATTTTCCAGGTGGGTCCATCACCCCTTTCTTTGACTCGGAAAGGGAACTCCCTGACCCCTTGCGCTTCCCAGGTGAGGCAATGCCTCGCCCTGCTTCGGCTCCCGAACGGTGCTTGCACCCACTGGCCTGCGCCCACTGTCTGGCACTCCCTAGTGAGATGAACCCGGTACCTCAGATGGAAATGCAGAAATCACCCGTCTTCTGCGTCGCTCACGCTGGGAGCTGTAGACCGGAGCTGTTCCTATTCGGCCATCTTGGCTCCTCCTGCTGATCCTTTTTTGTTTTTCAGACTCAAGGAAAATTCCTTAAAAGCTTTTGGCCAGGCACGGTGGCTCATGACTGTAATCCCAGCACTTTGGGAGGCTGAGGTGAGTGGATCACAAGGTCAGGAATTCAAGACCAGCCTGACCAACGTGGTGAAACCCGCATCTCCACTAAAAATACAAACATTAGCTGAGCATGGTGGCACATGCCTGTAATCCCAGACATTCAGGAGGCTGAGGCAGGAGAATTGCTTGAACCCGGGAGGTGGTGATTGCAGTGAGCTGAGATTGAGTCACTGTGATCCAGCCTGGGTGACAGAGTGAGACTCTGCCTCAAAAAAAAAAAAAAAACACACACACACACACAAAAACACCTTCTTTCAACAACTGAGCAAGGTATACTCCTATGAACAAAATTTCGAACATGTTTATTTCTCTCTGCCTAGTTCTTCTAAAATTCAAAAACTAGTTATGACTGTTTTTTTACTTACAACAGTATAGTTGTTTGCATCAGTGCAACAGGAATTTATTTTCTTTTGCAACAAGACACAATTGAAAAAACTGGTTGTTTTACCAAGGCCTTGACTAGATGGGTGTGTTTCCCTTTAAGGAATCAAGCTTGGCTTGCAGAGCGGATAAAAGCCGCTTGGGAAAACTGACCTCATATTTTGTCTACACAGTCTCTGTACAGGATTCCTGACCTGTGGTGAGTAAAGAATGTCACTTTCTAACAGGCCTAGGAAACCAATGCTCCTGGAACTGCAAAAAAAAAAAAAAAAAAAAAGTTTACCCAACGCTCACAGGTATTTGAAAATACAAACCCAAGGCTAGCCTTGTTTTAAGGAGTTCTGCCTGAGATTCCTTGTGGAACAGAGTTCCATCAATGCCAGTCAAAAAGGACTACATAAAGGTGATTATTCTTGCTGCACTTTATGCAAATAATTATGCCAAGTATAATACTAAAGTCTATTTTGCAAATAGCCGTGTCCTATCATAAGTTGCTTTTAACAAAAATGAGAACTGAAGAGAAAGAAATTATGTTTTAAAACTTATCATACATTTATCATTAACTTCTAGTTTCATTAGTTATTTTTAAGTATTTGTCTACATTTTAAAATAATTGTGCTTATTCCTATGAGCCAACCAGGAATCTCCAGCTATAGCTCAGAGGTGACAGAAGGATGGGGAATGTAAAACTCTAGATCAATATTCTGGCTCTGAGCAATTGTTTTGCAGCTCCTTCTGGGTAATGGGAACAAATATGATGCCCATAGCCCAGAAATTTCCTTGAAAGAAAAAAAATCAAGAAAGCTAACCAAAGCCAAGCCCTATGCACCCAAATCTTAGCAAGCCCAACTCTAGCCACTAGTTACGGGGACATGTAAGCAGCCTTAACATTTTTAAGCTGCTTTTACCCCCCTTGTCTCATTTTAATACATGTCCTCTAATAACCAAAATTGTTTCTTTTCATCTAGAGGCTATCAAACTCCAAACAGTGATGCAAATGGAACCATGCATGAATGCACCTTTCCATGAATGAATAACATGTAAGCCAACCTTGGGAGGAATCCTAGCTGCTGTTCCTAACACAATGCACCTCTCTAGCAAAAAGTAGCCAGAAAAATCAATGCTCTAGTTAGATAACAAGGGAAGAGTCACGGAGAGTCCCAGGCTAATGGGTCAGTGCCTCATCCCCACATAACATAAAAAGCAGCCTGGGAAATAATTCAAGCTGCAGGCACCAATAAGGAAACTTGCACAGGGTGTTGTGCCTGCAGACAGGTCCATTACTGCACAGATTGAAAAACCTCCAAACCCATTTGGATATAATTGTGCACAAACCTCCAGCTCACTCAGAGAAGGGAATGCCTTTATCTTTTGTATAGTCAGCAGGCTCCCAGGAAAATGTTTCTTCTTCTTTTGTGGTCATGGGCACAGTGGACTCTGGTAGGTCCCAGTGGGCACCCTACTTTTATTTATTAGAACTATAAGTTTGGCTTCTATGAATCATCATCTCAGCCTCTGATTTGTCCTGAGCCAAGGTCCCAGGCCAAGCTTTCACATCAACTTCTGATAGGTCTTAGGCCAAGCTAAGCAGCAATTATGAAACATCATTTCACCTCCTCATTGGTCCCAGGCCAAGGTCCTAGGCCAAGCTGAGTTGCACATTTGCTAAAACAGCCTGCAGAGTAAGCGTACTCCTTCTCCTTCCCAGTCCATGAAAACCATGGACCCCACCTCATAGGGGATACTCCCATTCAGGACCCCCTTTTTGTGCTGGCAGAGAGCTTTCCTCTTTCACTCGTTAATCATTCACTCTAACCTCACCTGTGTTTCCATACTCCTTAATCATCTTGGAGATAGGACACAAAACTCCAGACATTATCTTAGACAATGTTGTGTTTCCATTATCATGGTTCAATAAATTTTTTTATTTCCTTCTTAATTTCTTGATTGACCAGCTGGTCATTCAGGAGCATAATGTCTAATATTCATGGGTTATATAGTTTCAAAAATTCCTCTTTTTGTTGATTTCTAGCCTGGTTTATTGTGGCCAGATAAGACACTTGATATTATTTTAGCTCTGGAATATTTTAAGAATTGTTTTGTGACCTAATATATGTTCTGTCCTTGAGAATGATTCGTCTGCTTCTGGGAAGAATGTGTATTCTGCAGGCACTGGATGAAATGTTTTGTAAATATCTATTAGCCGCATTTGGCCTATAGTGCAGATTAAGTCCAATATTTCTTTGTTGAGTTTCTCTCTCAGAGATCTGCACAATGCTGAAAGTGGGGTGTTAAAGTGTCCAGTTATTGTTGTATTGAAGTCTATTGCTCTCTTTAACTCTAATAATATTTGCTTTAATTATCTGGGTGCTCTAGTGTTGGGTGAATATGTATACTTGCAATTGTTATATCCTGTTTCTGGATTGACTCCTTTATCATTATACTTTGTCTGTTTTTACAGTTTTTGTCTTAAAATCTCTTTGTCTTATATAAATATAGTTATAGTGATCTGTTTCAGTTGTAATGAAATATCTTATTCCATCCTTTTGTTTTCAGTCTATGTGTATCTTTAGAGGTTAGTTAAGTTTTTAATGGCATCAAGATAATATGCATTGAATACAAACTGTATTTTTCCTGAAATAATACAAGCCAGATGCAGCTCCTAGTTACTCACACACTTTCAACTTACATTTTTTCTTCTTTTTAAAATTTCATTTTAATTTTCAATTCAGTGGTTTGTTATAGAATATATTTTATGAAGATGAGGTTTGGGCTTCTATTGGTCCCATCTCCCATATAGTAAATACGGTACCCAATATAAACTTTTTCAGCCTTTGTCCCCCTTTCTAACTTACTCTTTTTGGAGCCCACAGTGTTTATTGTTTTCATTTTTATATCCATGTGTACATGAGATTTAGTTCCCGTTTATAATGAGAACATGCAACATTTGGTTTTCTGTGTTAAATGACTTAGGGTAATGGTGTCTAGCTGCATGCATGTGGCTACAGAAAACATTAAGTCTTTTTTTGTGGCTGCGTAGTATTTTATGTTGTATAAGTACCATATTTTCTTTATCCAAACCACCACTTAAGGACACCTATGTTGATTTAATGTCTTTGCTATTGTAAATAGTGCTGTGATATGAATGCATGTGCATTTTTGGTACAACCATATTTTTAGGCATATATAAGCAATAATAAGGTTGTTGGGTTACATGGGAGTTCTGTTTTTAGCTCTTTGAGAAATCTCCAAAGTAATTTCCACAGTTGTTGAGCTAATTTACATTCTCAGCAATAATGTGCAAGTATTACCTTTTCCACATGGCATCACCAATATCTTTTATTTTTTTGACATTTTAATCATGGCTATTCTGACTTATGGGTAATGATATCTCATTGTTATTTTGATTTACATTTCTCTGATAATTAGCAACATGAAGCATTTTTCCCATACTTTGTTGGCCATTTGTAAGTCTTCTTTGGAGAGTGTCTGTTCATGCCCTTTGCCCGTGTTTTAATGGAGTGATTTGTTTTTTCCTTGTTGCACTGTTTAATTTCCTAATTTATTTTGGGTATTAGTCCCTTATAAGATAAATGGTTTGCAAAAATTTTTCTCCTACTTTGTAGTTTGTCTGTTTACTGTGTTTACAGTTTTTTTGCTGTGTTGAAGTTCTTTAATTAGGTCTCACTTGTCAATTTTTCTTTTTGTTTCAATTGCTTTTAATTATTTGTTCATAAAGTATTTGCTAAGACCAACATCCAGAATGGCATTTTGCTGGTTTTCTTATAGAATGTAGTTTGAGGGTTTAAATTTAACTCTTTAATTCATCTTGACTTAAAGATATGGTATATGAGGATAAATAGGAGTCCAGTTTTATTATTCTGTATATGGTTAGCCAGTTTTCCCACACTATTTATTAAACAGTCATTTCTTTATTGTTTATTCTTGTTCACTTTTTCAAAGATCAGTTGGTGGTAGCTATGCTGTATTTTTTCTAAGTTCTCTATTCTGTTCTATTGGCCCATTTTTCTGTCTTCATAACAATAACATGCTGTTCTGGATAATGAATCATTGTAGTATAGTTGAAAATCTGGTAATGTAATGCCTCTGGCTTTGTGCTCTTTGGTTAGGATTGCTTTGAGCTTCTAGTTGTTTCCACATGCATTTTAGAATTTTATTTAATTATGTGAAAACTGAACTTGGTAGTTTGATAGAAATACTATATCCATATATTGCTGTGGGCATTATGGATATTTTTAAAAGGTTGATTCTTTAAACTATAATTATACAATGTATTTTTTGTTTGTATTTTCTATAATTTATTCTATCAGTGCTTGGTAGTTCTCTTTATAGAGATCTTTCACCTATTTGGTTAACTGTATTTCCAGATATTTTACTTTTTGTGAATATTGTAAATGGGATTGCATTTTAAGTTTATGGGCACATGTGAAGGTATTTTATATATGTAAACTCATACCAGTGGGGTTGCTGTGCAGAGTATTTATTGTGTTAAGCCTACTGCCTATTAATAATTTTTCCTGATCCTCTTCCTCCCTGACATGCCATCCTCAGGTAGGCCCCAGTGTCTGTTGTTCTTAAAGAGTTTCTGCACAGCAAAAGAAACTATCATCTGACCAAATGGGTGGCCTTCAGAATGGGAGAAAATGCTTGCAAACTATGCATCTGACAAAGGTCTAATATTCAACACCTTTAAGAAATGTAAACAAATTAATAAGAAAAAATGAACAACCCTATTAAAAAAGGGTGAAAGACATGAGCTTTTCAGAAGACATACATGTGGACAACAAGCATATTATAGAAGCTCAATATCAGTAATCATTAGAGAATTTCAAATCAAAACTGCAATAAGATACATTCTTACACTGAAAAAAATGGCTATTATTAAAAATTCGGAGGGGAGGAGCCAACATGACTGAATAGGAACAGCTCCAGTCTACAGCTCTCCACGTGAGTGATGCAGAAGACGGGTGATTTCTGCATTTCCAACTGAGGTACCAGGTTCATCTCACTGGGGAGTGTAGCGCACCCTGTGAGAGCTGACGCAGGGCGAGGCATCACCTCATCTGGGAAATGCAAGGGGTCAGGGAATTCCCTTTCCTAGTCAAAGAAAGGGGTGAGAGACAGCACCTGGAAAATTGGGTCACTCCCACCCTAATACTGCACTTTTTCCAACAGCCTTAAAAAATGGCACACCAGGAGATTATATCCTGCACATGGCTTGGAGGGTCCTATGCCCACAGAATCTCACTCTTTGCTAGCACAGCAGTCTGAGATCAGATTGCAAGGCAGCAGTGAGGCTGGGGGAGGGGCGCCAGCCATTGCTGAGTTAGTTGTTTGATTAGGTAAACAAAGTGGCTGGGAAGCTCCAACTGGGTGGAGCTTCAGGAACTTGGAAGAGTTCCTGAAGGAAGCACTAAATATGGAAAGGAAAAATTTTTACCAGCCACTACAAAAACACACTGAAGCACACAGACAAATGACACTATGAAAAAACTACATCATCACGGCTGCAAAATTAACCAGCTAACATCATGAAGCCAGGATCAAATTCACATGTAACAATATTAACCTTAAATGTAAATAGGCTGAATGCCCCAATTAAAATGCACAGACTGACAAGCTAGATAAAAAGATAAGACCCGGGCTGGGCGCGGTGGCTCACGCCTGTAATCCCAGCACTTTGGGAGGCCGAGGTGGGTGGATCATGAGGTCAGGAGATCGAGACCATCCTGGCTAACAAGGTGAAACCCCGTCTCCACTAAAAATACAAAAAATTAGCCGGGCGCGGTGGCGGGCGCCTGTAGTCCCAGCTACTCGGGAGGCTGAGGCAGGAGAATGGCGTGAACCCGGGAAGCGGAGCTTGCAGTGAGCCGAGATTGCGCCACTGCAGTCCGCAGTCTGGCCTGGGCGACAGAGCGAGACTCCGTCTCAAAAAAAAAAAAAAAAAAAAAAAATAAGACCCATTAGTGTGCCATATTCAAGAGACACATCTCATGTGTAAAGACACACACAGATTCAAAATAAAGGCATGGAGGAAAATTTTCCAAGCAAATGGAAAGTAGAAAAAGCAGGGATTGCAATGCTAGTTTCTGACAAACACAACTTAAACCAACAAAGGTCAAAAAAGACAAAGAAGAGCATTACATAAAGTTAAAGGTTTCATTCAACAAGAAAAACTAACTATCCTGAGTACACATGCAGCAAATACAGGAGCACCCAGATTCACAAAATGAGTTATTAAGACCTACAAAGAGACTTAGACATCTCCCAAGAAATAATAGTGGGAGACTGTAGTAGCCCGCTGTCAATATTACACCTTTCAGACAGAAAATTAACAAAGATATTCAGATGTGTACACGCCCCTGGACAAAGTGTAACTTACAGACATCTACAGAACTCTCAATCCCCAATAAACAGAATATGCATTTTTCTCACCACCACATGGTACTTACTCTAAAATTGATCACTCTAAAATTGATCTACTCTAAAATTGTAGTGTCATAATTGAAAGTAAATCTCTAGCAAATGCAAATGAACTAAAATCATAGCAAACAGTCTCTGAGACCACAGCACAATCAAATTAGAACTCAAGATTAAGAAACTCACTCAAAACCAATAACCACATGGAAATTGAACAACCTGCTCCTGAATAACTTCTGGGTAAATAATGAAATTAAGACGGAAATCCAGAAGTTCTTTACAACCAATGAGAACAAAAAGACAACATACCAAAATTTCTGGGACACTGCTAAAGCAGCGTTAAGAGGGAAATTTATACCACTAAATGCCCACGTCAAAAAGCTACAAGAATCTCAAGTTAACAACCTAATATCATTACTAAAAGAACTAGAAAACCAAAAGCAAACAATTCCCACAGCTAGCAGAAGACAAGAAACTAAGATCAGAGTGGAACTGAAGGAGATAGAGACATGAAAAACCCTTCAAAAAATCAACAAATCCAGAAGCTAGTTTTCTGAAAAAAAAAAATAAAATAAAATAAAATAGACCACTAATTAGACTAATAATGAAGAAAAGACAAAAGACTCAAATAAACACAACCAGAAATGATAAGAATACCACAACTGACCAGACAGAAATACAAACAACCATCAGAGAATACTACAAACATCTCTGTGTAAATAAACCTGAAAATCTAGAAGTAGATAAATTCTTCAACATATCCAATCTCCCAAGTCTGAAGCAGGAAGAAGTTAAATGCCCAAATTCACAATAATAAGTTCTAAAATTGAGGCAGAATAAGTAGCCTAGCAACCAAGAAGAAGCCCAGTACCAGACAGATTTACATATGAATTCTATGAGACACACAAAGAGGAGATGGTACCATTTCTTCTAAAGCTATTCCAAATAATTGAAAAGAAAAGACTCCTCCATAACTCATTTTATAAGGCCAGCCTTATCATGATACCAAAACCTGGCAGAGAGACAGCAAAAACAACAACAACAACAACAACAACAACAACAACAACAACAAAAACTCAGCTCAATATCCCTAATGAGCACTGATGCAAAAATCCTGAATAAAATACTGGCAATCCAACCCAGCAGTACATCAAAAATTTTATCCACCACAATCAAGTTGGCTTCACCCCCAGGATGCAAGGCTAGTTCAATATACACAAATCAATAATTTTAATTTATTACGTAAACAGAAACAAAGGCAAGAATCACATGATTATCTCAATAGACACAGAAAAGGCCTTTGATAAAATTCAACACTTATTGGGAGTGTAAATTAGTACAACCATTGTGAAAGACAGTGTGGCAATTCCTCAATGATCTAAAACTATTGTGGCAATTCCTCAATGATCTAAAACTATTTGACCAGCAATCCCATTACTGGGTATATACCAAAAGTATTATAAAGCATGCTGCTATAAAGACACATGCACTCATATTTATTGCAGCACTATTTACAATAGCAAAGACTTGGAACCATCCCAAATGCCCATCAATGATAGACTTGATAAAGAAAATGTGGTACATGTACACCACGGAATACTACGCAGCCATAAAAAGGATGAGTTTATGTCCTTTGCAGGGACATGGAAGAACTTGGAAACCATCTTTCTGAGCAAACTAACACAGGAACAGGAAACCAAACACCACATGTTTTCACTCATAAGTAGGAGCTGAACAATGAGAACACATGGACACAGGAAGGGGAACATCACACACCAGGGCCTGTTGGGGGATGGGGGATCTAGGGGAGGCATAACATTAGCAGAAATACCTAATGTAGATTATGGGTTGATAGGTGTAGCAAACCACCATGGCACATGTATACCTATGTAACAAACTGCAGGTTCTGCACGTGTATCCCAGAACTTAAAGTATAATTTTAGAAAGTCAATATTGACATATGGGATCTAATTAAACTAAAGTGCTTCTGCACAGCAAAAGAAACTATGTTCAGAGCAAACAGACAATCTAAAGAATGAGATAATATTTTTGCAATCTATCCATCTGACAAAGCCCTAATATCTAGAATCTACAAGGAACTTAAACAAATTTACAAGAAAAAAGTGAACATGGACATTTCTCAAAAGAAGACATACATGTGACCAACAAACATATGACAAAAAGCTCAACATCACTGATTATCAGAGAAATGCAAATCAAAACCACAATGAGATAACACCTCATGTCAGTGATGATGGTGATTGTTAAAAAATCAAGAAACAACAGATGCTGGTGATGTTGTGGAGAAATAGAAACTTTTTTACACTGTTTCTAGGAATGTGAATTACCTCAATTATTGTGGAAGACAATGTGATGATTCCTCAAACACCAAGAACCGGAAATAACATTAGACCCAGCAATTCCATTACTGGGTATATACCCAAAGGAATATTAAGCATTCTGTTATAAAGATACATGCATGCGTACATTCACTGTGGCACTGTTCACAATAGCAAAGACATGGAATCAATCCACATGCCCATCAATGATAGACTGGATAAAGAAAATGTGGTAAACATATGCCATGGAATACTATGGTATTACATGGAAAGGAATGAGATCATATCCTTTGTAGGGACATGCATGAAGCTAGAAGTTGTTATACTCAACAAACTAATGCAGAAACAGAAAACCAAACACTGCATGTTCTCACTTGTGAGTGGGAGCTGAACAATGAGAACACAAGGACACAGGGAGAGGAACAACACACATAGGGAGATGGTAAGGGAGTTGTGGAAGGAGGGAGAGCATCAGGAAAAACAGCTAATGCATGCTGGGCCTAATACTTAGGTTATGGGTTGATATGTGCAGCAGACCACGGTGGCCCATATTTACTTATGTAACCAACTTGCATGTCCTGCACAGGTATCCCAGAACTTAGAATAAAATAAAATTAAAATATTAGTTTTTATACCTAGAAATAAGGAAAAATGAAAAAATTTTGACATTAAAAAATGACTTAAACATAAGACCTGCAATCATTAAAATTCTAGAAGACAACCTGTGAAAAACTCTTCTGGACATTGGCTTAGGCAAAGAAATTAGAACTATGACCCTCAAAAGAAACTGTGACAAAAACAAAGATGAACAAAAGGGTCCTAATTAAATCAAATAGCTTCTGGACAGCAAAAGAAATAATTAATAGAGTAAACAGACCACCTACAGAATGAGAGAAAATATTTGTAAACTATACATTTAACAAAGGGCCAATATACAGAATCTACATGGAACACAAACAGATCAGCAAGAAGAAAAATTCCATTAAAAAGTGGGCAAATCATATGCTGAAAACTAGAACTAGACCCTTTCCTTACACCTTATACAAAAATTAAATCAAGATGATTAAAGACTTAAATCTAAAACACAAAACCATAAAAACCCTAGAAGAAAACCTAGGCAATATCATACAGGACATAGACATGGGCAAGGACTTCATGATGAAAAAGCCAAAAACAATTGCAACAAAAGCCAAAACTGGACACATGGGATCTAATTAACCTAATGAGCTTCTGCACAGCAAAAGAAACTATGAACAGACAACCTACAGAATGAGAGAAAATTTTTTGCAATCTACCCATTTAACAAAGGTCTAACATCCATAATCTACAAAAAACTTATAAAAATAAAAAAAACACACAAAAAAATGAAAAAACCATCAAAGAGTGGGGAAAGGATATGAACAGACACGTCCCAAAAGAAGACATTTATGTGGCCAAGAAACACGTGAGAAAAAGCTCAACATCACTTATCATTAAAGAAATGCAAATCAAAACCATCATGAGATACCATCTCACACTAGTCAGGATAGCAATTATTAAAAAGTCCAGAAACAATAGATGCTGGAGAGGCTGTGGAGAAATAGGAATGCTTTTACACTGTTGCTGGGAATATAAATTAGTTCAGCCATTGTGGAAGACAGTGTGGTGATTCCTCAAGGATCTAGAACAAGAATTCCATTTGACCCAGCAATCCCATTACTAGGTATATGCCCAAAGGAATACAAAACATTCTACTGCGTATGTAACAAAAACCTGCACATTGTGCACATGTACCCTAAAACTTAAAGTATAATAATAATCTTTAAAAAACACATGCACATATATGTTTATTACAGGAATATTTACAATAGCAAAAACGTGGAACCAACCCAAATGCCCGTCAATGATAGACTGGATAAAGAAAATCTGGTACATAAACAACATGGAATACTATGGTGTCTCATAAAAATGAATGAGATCATGTCCTTTGCAGGGACATGGATGAAGCTGGAAGTCATCCTCCCCAGCAAACTAACACAGGAACAGAAAACCAAACACTGCATGTTCTCACTCATAAGTGGCAATCAAACAATGAGAATACATGGACACAGGCAGGGTAGCAACACAGTCTGGGACCAGTCAGGGGTTAGGGGGTGAGAGGAGGAAGAACACTAAGACAAATAGCTAACCCATTTGGGGCTTAAAACATAGATGATAGATTGATAGATACAGTAAACCACCATGGCACACATATACCTATGTAACTAGCCTGCATGTTCTGCACTTATAGCCTGGAAATTAATTTAAATTAAATTAAATTTAAAAAGTTTAAGTGAGCGAATCATCAATAACAGACTGAATAAAGAAAATGTGGTACATAACACACCATGTAATACTATGCAGTCATAGAAAGGAATTAAAAAATGTTTAAGTGGACAAATCATCAATGATAGGCTGAATAAAGAAAATGTGGTATATATATACCCTGGAATACTATGCAGCCATAGGAAGGAATGAGATCATGTTATCTGCAAGAACATGGATGGAACAGGAAGCCATTATCCTCAGCAAACTCACACAGAAGCAGAAAACCAAACAGCACATATTCTATAATTGGGACAATGAGAACACATGGACACAGGGAGATAAACAACACATGTTGAGGCCTGTCAGGGAGCGGAGAGGCAGGAGGAGGGAGAGTATCAGGAAACATAGCTAATGCATGCTGGGATTAACACCTAGCTGATGGGTAATTTTGTGCAGCAAACCACCATGGCACATGTATACCTATGTAAGCAACCTGCACATCCTGCACATGTATTCTGGAACTTAAAATAAAACAAAATTTTAAAAATTTTAAAGTGGTTAAATGACATAAATATAATGGAAATATACAAATAGTCAAGAAACACATGAATAAATTATTAACATCACTAATTATGCAATTTAAAACCACAATGAGAAGATCAAAATTAAAACCACAATTACATATCACCTTACCCCAGCCAGAATGGCAATCATTAAAAAGTCAAAAAACAATAGATGTTGATGCAGATATGATGAAAAGGGGACACTTATACATAGTGTTGAGAATCTAAATTAGTACAAGCTTTATGGAAAACTATAGAGATTTCTCAAAGAAAGAAAAGTAGATCTACCATTTGATCCAAGAATCCCACTACTGCAGGGGTCCTCAAAACCCAAGCCACGGACCAGTACCAGTCCCTGGCATGTTAGGAACTGGGCTGCATAGTAGGAGGTGAGTGGCAGTTGACTGAGTGAATCATCATCTCCCCATTGCTTGGATTACACCTGAGCTCTGCCTCAGTGGTGGCATTACATTTCTGTAGGAGAGCAAACCCTGTTGTGAACTACACACACAATAGATCTGTCGCACACTCCTAATGAGAATCTAATGCCTGATGATCCTTCAGTGTCTCCCATGAACCCCAGAAGACACAGTCTAGATGCCAGAAAACACACTTGGGGCTCCCACTGATTTTTACTAACATACTGTAAATATATTTACAATAATTTATTATTGTAAATATATTATTGTAAATATATTATAAATATATTTACAAAAATAAATAATTCTACATTATTCCATTATATATCACAGCATGATAATATAAATAAAGTGCACAATAAATGTAATGCACCCCACCACAGATCTTGGAAAAATTTTCTTCCATAAAACTGGTCTGTGGTGTCAAAAATGTTAGGGACTGCTGCACTGTCTACCCCAAGAAAAAGAAATCATTATATTAAAAAGACACCAACACACATATGTTTAACACAGCACAATTCACAATTGCAAAGATGTGGAATCAACCTAAATGCCTTTTAATTGATAAGTGGATAAAGAAAAAATATGGCAGATGTAGATATATACCACAGAAGAGTACTCAGTGATAATAATGTTTTGCAGCCACTTGGATGGAACTAGAGGCCATTATCCTAAAAGAAGTAAACCAGGATTGGAAAACCAAATACTGTATATTCTCACTTATAAGTGGGAGCTAAGCTATGGGTATGTGAAAGGCTACAGTATGGTATAATGCACATTGGAAACTCAGAATAGGGAAGGCTGGAATGAGGGTGAGGGATGAAAAATTATTTATTGAGTACAATGTATACTATTTGTTTGACAGGTATACCAAAAGCCCAAACTTTACCACTATACAATTTATCTATTTACTCACAACTCTTGCTTACCCAATACTATCAAAATAAAATTTAAAATAAAATAAATAAGATTAAAATGCTGTCAATAAAAAGAAAAGACTCAATGGAAAAAACTCACCTCCCATGAAAAAGTAATACTGCCAGCAGACTGCCTTTGAACTCAAACTGCAACTCAACCCTAGTTCTCTAGCTTTCAAGCTTGCCCTGTAGATTTTGGACTTGCTAGTTCCCAAAATTGCATGAAAGAATTTTTTAAAATTATCTATCTATCATTTGTTATCTATCAATCAATGTATATATCATATATCTACTTTCCCATACATCATACTGATTCTATTTCTATAAGTAGAATTCTCACTAATACATATTTTGATAAGAAAAGTGGATTGCAAGAAAATCTTTAGTGTATTTCCTGTATCAGTTCTGGATTTTCTGGAATTAATTCTCTAATATGATAAGATTTAACGTAAATAATGACTCAAATGACTCAATAGTCATTGGCATGGGATATCCATGTCATATGTGAACATGAGACGTAAAAAACATCATCACTGGCTACTTGTAATCAAATACTTACATGAGGTGATGTTCTGGGTGATAATGTGTGTGACTCCTCTTGTTATTTTAGTGAAATTAACAAGTATGGTGAGGCCAGCTTGTGTCTCCGAATTTCACTATACAAAACGAGCAGGGGAAGTTTGAGCTCAGAAGTTCAAACTCCTAGAAAATATGACAGCTTTTCTGTCAGACGTAAAATAAACCCTAAGTACTGTACTACCAGAGCTGAAATTGCTAAAGACTAAACCCAGAATCTCATCATGTGCATCGCTGAATTACAACACAAATTAAATTATCAATTTAGGAGAATATAAACGGTTAGGTAGAGAAGACTTATCTGAAAAAAATGGGATACTAAAAACTGGAATTGACAGATTGAACTCCTAAATTCAGATGAGACTTCGCCAGTGGAAGCAGCCACTACACCTCCATATAAAGAAATTAATCCTGCTTTGCTTGAGAAAACTTTAATGGCCTTTCCAATTAGTTGCCTTGAAAGATACCACTGATCTCTTAATCAAACCCCATCACCTATTTTTCATTCTAACTCTATAGATAGACTCAATCCCTAGTAGATCCTTAAAGGTGAGGTGCAAAATATAACCCATGAGGATGCAAACCACACTCCAAAGAACTATTTGATTCTTTTTTTCAGTTTTTACAAACAGAAATCTGAGGATATGTATGGGAATGGATATTAAGCACGTGGGATAATGGTTAGATCCAACACCACGTTGCATAAAGCTGAGGTTATTGATATAAGCTAACAAAGCAGACATTTTGCATGCATTGTTGCAGTATCAGCAGTTAAAAAGAGCTCTAACCATTGTTTGGTTGGTTGGCTAAAACATGTGGCAAAAGACGGCTCAAAGTAAATTAAGTTGAAATGCCATAGCTGCCTTTCTGTATTGTACAGGAAGCAATTCAAAAATAGAAGATTGAAATAATGTGGCACAAATGGCAGAGCAGTTTTTCCAGATCTTTCTCTTGTTTGTAGGGACTTATTAAAGAGCCTTCTCCTCTTCTCAATTACTCACTCTTTTTTTGGTTACTTTGTAACTGGGACTGGGACAGAGTAACTCACTCAAATGAAAAATATGTTGCCCCCAAAAGAAATTTATTAGGCATTCTCTTTCTTTTAGGGGAATAAGAGGATCTAAATATAGCAACTTATCCTTCACTTGGCTAGAAACTTCACTGAGATACACTAGTTGCCAAGAAATTTCACTGAGGTACATGTCCCCTGGAATTTTGTTAGATGTATTTTTCATCTCTCTACAAGCAAATCTTTGACAAAGAAATCTATAATAGTTTCTATTTCTTCCTCACTAGGTCCAATTAGCATAATGTCATAAATATAACAAGCCATGGTTACATCTTGTGGAAAGGAAAGACAATACGATCTCTGAGAACTAAGTCATACGATATGGATTGGATGTTGCTATACCACTAAAGAGTAAAAACGTATTACAAACTTACCAGCTGAAAGCAAGCTGTTTCTGATAGTCTTTACTAACAAATACAGAGAAAAAGCATTTTCCAGATCAATACCTTCAAAAGGTATTGAGGATGTATTAATTTGCTCAAGCAATGAAACCACAGTTTATGAACTAATTGTAGTACAGTAACATTATCCAAACTTAAAATAATAATTTATATTCTTTTGCACAGAGTACATTTGACAGAGATGTAGTGGAAGTCATCATTCCTGCATCCTTCAATTTACAGTTGGTGGCACTAATTCTGCAGTCCCTCCAAGAATGCAGTAGAGCTTTAGGTTCACTATTCTTCTAGGTAGAGGGAATTCTATTGCATTGTGATTTGCCTTCCCAATCATAATTACCCTCACCCCAGGTCAAGGAGCCAATGTGCCGACTCTGCTAAGTTCTGAGTGTTATTATAGTTGTGCATGCAGAACTGGGGAGATAACCACAGGACAGGCTCAGGGACACACTGTTCTTCTGAAGAACAGATTTTAATTTGCTACTTGGCCTTGGTGGAAACTGAGTGCTTAATCACAGACCACAAAATTACTATGTGAACTGAGCTGCTCATCATGAGCTCGGTGTTATCTGACCCAGAAAGACACAAAGTTTAGTAGGCACAGTAGCACTCTAGCATCATCATCAAATGGAAGTGGTATATGTGTAATCGGGCCCAAGCAAGCCTTGAAGGCACAAGTAAATCACACAAAGAAGTAGCCCAAATGTCCATAGTCCCCACTGTTTCTACACTGGCTTTTCTCTTTCAGCCTGTGCCTATGGCTTCATAGTGAATTCCTTACAATCAGTAACAGAAACAGATCACTTGGGTTTGATTTACAAATGTTTTTATATAATATGCAGATACCATGCAGCCCTCCAGCCCCTTTCTGGGACATCCCTGAAAGACAGTGGTGAAGAGGTATTCAGTGGACAAAACTTTGGGTACACTGCACCTGGTTGTTCATTTCATTTGGAAGAACAAGTGATATATGATTATATAATAACTGATATTCTATGGCCAGTTCTTTGGATGGTTGGCTGTGTTGCTGGGAAAATACGTTACTGAAGAATTTGGATAAGGATAGAACTCTCTGAAAATACAAGAAATGTAAATATATTTCTGCCCCATATGATGCTCACCAAAGATTGTTCTAAGCAGATAAAATGTTAATATTCAGGTGAATAGAATGTTCCATTCTGTGAATACCAGTCAGTCTTTTTTCCCAGCCATCCCTGTCATTGTTAAATGGGCTCATGAAAAAACTGGCTATGGTGGCAGAAATTGACATTATGCATAGGCTCAGCAATATATATTTCCACCCACCATGGCCAATCTAGCCACTTTTGAATGTAGAGTGTGTCATCAGCAAAAATTAATACTGTGTCCCCAGTATGGTATTTTTTTAGGGTGGTCAGTTAGCTGCCTCATGGCAAGTCAATTACATTGGCATGCTTCCATCATGGAGAAATCAATGGGGTTTTTTGTTACTAAATAGATCCTTATTCTATATAAAGGTTTGGCTTCCCTGCACAAACTTTTTGGCCAAAATACCATATGTGGACATACAGATGACTTATCTACTGTCATGGTATTTCACACAGTCTTTTTACTAATCAACAAAGCCAATCAATAACAAAGTAAATGAATAGGCCTCTGCTCATGGAAGTTACTGGCTAGGGAACACACACAATAATTTCCTACAAGTGCTCATAGGTCCTAAAAAGCATGACTCTCCATTACCTCTTGTAGTACATTTCGTATTTCTTTCTACCTTGTTGACTCAATTGTAGGTTCATCAATGCTTTCCCATATGAGAGACACAATTGGCTCATCAATACTTTCCCATATGAGAGACATGATCCTTACTACTGATTTTCACTAGCCATTCACTTTTCCTATATGCTGTTCCCCAATCTAGACTCATAGATTACCACCTTACGTATTCCATATATTTCTCATATATCACTGCTAAGATCCAAGACCCTCCATGGCCACCACAGTTCAGGACTCCCAAGTGTACCCTCTTCAATGATTTGTTGAAAACTTACTAAACTCAGAAAAGCCATTATATTCATCATTATGATGCATTATAGTTAAATAATATAGGTCTAATCAGCAAAGAGGCTTGTAGGGCGAGGTTCAGGAGACACCAGAGACAAGCTTCTCCTTTTTGTAGTGTTTGGGAATTTCAAGTGATGTT
This sequence comes from Homo sapiens, assembly GCF_000001405.40. NCBI lineage: Eukaryota > Metazoa > Chordata > Mammalia > Primates > Hominidae > Homo > Homo sapiens. Next base: position 13,582,988 of record NC_000024.10, read on the forward strand.
CATTAACCAGCCTCCCCAGGAGCTACATTTAGCCTTCAGTTTGATTGCATCAAAGATAAGTGTTCGGTGCCATTCAATACTCAAACAGCTTATGCAAGCAGCACTCTTAACCAAAGAGATAACAGAAGCAGACCAATGACATAGGCAGAGACAGCCAGGGGTTCAGAATACTGTCTGACTAGGAGAAATTTCCACTTGGGTAACATTCTGAAAATTTGGGAGACTCTCCCCTTTTCTTATAGTTAAATTCAGTCCAGGTCCATTAACCAGTATTTTTTTCATAAAGGGAGTTTAAACTATTTTTTAAGTGGTAAGCATTGTTTTAAGGTTTATGAAAGTTGCATATATGCTTAGGAAGTCTTTTCTCCTGAAAATCCCTGGGCCACATTCTATCATACTGCTAAGTGGCACATAGTGTTGATACTATGAGATGCTTGTGTGGCCTTTATTTCTCTCAATAATCTTGTAATCACAATATGTCTCTTATAGTACACTGTGCTTTTCCAGTGGGGTAAAGCCAACAGCTCTTATTCCTCCAGCAACATGCATAGGACTTTCCAGTCAAAATCGTATTCCAATCTAGGGTTTTGTTAGGGGCCAGTAAAATTGGTATTGCTCACCACATATATGACTGCCCTTAAACTCCAGGCTGTCATTGTGAGGCTTATTTCTCACCATAAACTACATTGTTAGCATATTACATTACAAAATATGTTTTATAGACTATTAAAAAAGTTTCAAGATTACTTCTCAGGAACTGGGAGCAGGGGCCAAGTGTTTAATATACAGGATGTGAACAACACAGACTTGTTTAATTTATCTTTTACTCACTTACATAAATTACAACCTACCCCATAGCTCTTTTACAATTGACATATATGTGTTATTTTAAATTCTTTAATTTCAAATAAGTTAAATTAATTCTTGATTCTATAATTCTTAAAATATATTTTATTTATATTTTATATTATTCTATAATAAACATTATACTTATTTTTATTATTCTTAAATTATCTGTTTCCCATAAATTGTAAACTTCATTAGATATTTTTGTTATATTTATTACCACATTACTAGAAGACTGCCCTGCTCCATAAATGTTGATCAATAAAGTTAATGATTCATATAATACACTTGAAATAACAGAAAAGTGTTTTTTGTAGAATATTTTCTTAAGTGTTGATGTTTTAGAGAAATGAGTTTATTTGTTTTATTTAGGTTTTCTACATTTAAAAGCCTTATCTGCCTTACTTTTATGATTTTTTACACCTGTTTGATAACCAAAAATGTACTGTGCCTAATAAAAATATATGTACTCTTTAACTACTTAGCAATATATATGCATAAATACAACTTCTTAGCTTTGCAACTCTGGTCTGGCCTTTACAAATAATTTCTGAATTAGGGACTACTATGAGGTAAGAAGAAAGGTTCAGAATGAAGACATATATTTCACCTCCTAGAAAATCACACAGAAAAACTATTCGTAATAAAAAAGACACAAAAGCAACACAGGTGCCCATTTACAGTGGATTAAATTTTTAAAAACATAGTATATATAAACCATAGAAAATTATGCATCCATAAAAAGGAATGAAATGGTGACTTTTGCACAACATGGATGCAGTTGCAGGCCATTATCTTAAGAAAATTAATACATAAGCAAAAACCAAATACCACATGTTCTTACTTATAAGTAGGAGCTAAATATTGGGTACGCATGGACATAAATATGAAAAAGATGGACACTGGGGACTATAGAAGTGTCAAGAAAGGAGAGAGGAAGGTATGGACTGAAAAGGTACCTATTGGGTACTATTCTCAGTACCTCGGTGACAGAATCATTTGTGCCACAAACTTCACCATCACACAATATACCACTGTAACAAACCTGCACATGTACCTCCCAAACTTAAAAAAAACTGAAATTTTAAAACAATTTTAAAAATAAAGTTGTATCATGCCTGTAATCCCAGCACTTTGGGAGGCCAAGGTGGGTGGATCACGAGGTCAGAAGATCAAGACCATCCTGGCTAACATGGTAAAACCCCATCTCTACTAAAAATACAAAAATTAGCTGGGCATGGTGGCAGGTGCCTGTAGTCCCAGCTACTGGGGAGGCTGAGGCAGGCGAATGGCATGAACCCAGGAGGTGGAGCTTGCAGTGAGCCAAGGTCATACCACTGCACTCCAGCCTGGGCAACAGAGCAAGACTCCATCTCAATAAATAAATAAATAAATAAATAAATAAATAAATAATAAAGTTATATAATATGCCTAACTATATTATTGGTGCCTTCACCGAGAAAAGTGGTAAGCATTGTTTTAAGGTTTATGAAAGTTGCATATATGCTTAGGAAGTCTTTTCTCCTGAAAATCCCTGGGCCACATTCTATCATACAAGTGAAAAACAAATGCAAGTGTTAATGGATGTTGTCAATCCTGTATAACAAAAACTGATAATTCATTATGTCCCTCGAGTAAATTTAATTTTACTGTAATTAAAAACAATAATAAACTTGACAGCTTATAAGAAAATAAAAGACACTGAAAGTTGAAGTATAATTTACTGTCATGGGTTTACCTTTTTGTTTGAGTATGTAGTTCCAACGAAAATATACCTTTGTCTCCAAGAGTATACATTTGAAATAAATTCCAAATTTTAATTAGCAACAGAAATTTGATGAATGACTTGGTTATCTTCATTTAATTTAGACATGTCCAAAGTAAAAGGTGCAGGATAGCAAGCTGGATTTAAAAAACTAAGACCCAATAGTATGCTATCTTCAAAAGATCCATCTCACAAGCAATTACACCCAAAGACTCAATATGTAGGAATGGAGAAACTGTACCAAGCAAATGAAACACAGAACAAAGCAGGAGTTGCAGTTCTAATTTCAGAAAATACAGAGTTTAAAACAAAAAGGATTTCAAAATTACATAGAAGGGCATTACATACTGGTAAAGGCTTCAATTCAGCAAGAAGACCTAATTATCCCAAATATGTATGCACCCAGCATGAGGACTCAGAATCATAAAACACGTTCTTAGAGATCTTTGAAGAGTCTTAGACTATTACACAATAATAATGGGGGACTTCCACACTCCATTGACACTCCTGCTCCTGAATGTGTTTTGGATAAATTATGAAATTGAGGCAGAAATCAAGAAGTTTTCTGAAACAAATGAGAACAAAAATACAACATAGTGAAATCTCTGGAATACAGCTAAGGCAGTGTTAGTAGGGAAGTGTATAGTACTAAACATCAAAAAGAGAGAAAGATCACAAATTAACAACCTAACATTGCAACTGAAAGAAACAGAGAACCAAGAGCAAACCAAGCTCAACACTAGCAGAAGACAAGAAATCACCATAATCAGAGTTGAAGTGAAGGAGTTTGACACATGAGAAGACATTTAAAAAGATCAACAAAATTCAGTAGTTGGTATTTTGAAAAAAAATTAATAAAATGGTTAGACTACTAGCTAGACTAATATAGAAGAAAAGAGAAATGATCCAAAACACATAATTGGAAACAACAAAGGGGATATTACTACTGACCCCATAGAAATAAAAATATCCATCAGAAACTACCATAAACACCTCTGTGCGCACAAACTAGAACATCTAGAAGAAATGAGTAAATTCCCGGACACACATATCCTCCCAAGACTGAATCAATAAGTGAAATCTCTGAGCAGACTAATAATAAGTTCTGAAATTGAATCAGTAGTAAATATCCTGCCAAACGGAGAAAGCCCAGGGCCAGAGGGATTCACAGCTGAATTCTACTGGAAGTACAAAGAATAGCTGTTATTATTTCTACTGAAACTATTTCCCAATTCATTCTATGAAGCAAGCATCATGCTGACATCAAAACCTGGCAGAGACACACACACACACACACACACACACACACACACACACACACACACACAAAACAACTTCAGCCTGATATCCTTGATAAACATTGATACAAAAATCTTCAACAAAATACTACCAAACCAAACCCAGTAGTACATGCAAAAGCTAATTCACCATGATTAAGTAAACTTTAATCCATCAATGCAAAATTGGTTCAACATATGCCAGTGGATATGGTGATTCATGACATAAACAGAACTAAAGACAAATACCACATGATTATCTCAACAGATGCAAAAAAGGCTTTTGGTAAAATTCAAAATATCTTTTTGTTAAAAACTCTCAATAAACTAGGTATTGAAGGAACATACCTCAAAATAATAAGAGTCATATATGACAAGCCCACAGCCAACATCATACTGAATGGGCAAAAGGTGGAAACATTCCTCTTGAAAACCAGTACAAGACAAGGATACCCTCTCACCACTCCTATTCAACATACTATTGGAAGTCCTGGCCAAAGGAATCAGACAAGAGAAAGAAATAAAAAGCACCCAAATGGGAAGAGAGGGATTCAAACTCTCTCTATTTCCAGATGAAAGAATTCTCTATCTAGAAAAGCACATATTCTCAGTCCTAAAGCTCCTTAAGGTGATAAACAATTTCAGCATTTCAGCAAAGTTTGAGGATACAGAAATCAATGTAAAAAAATCACTAGCATTCCTATAAACAAACTTCAAGCCAAGAGCCAAATCAGGAACACAATCCCGTTTAGAATTGCCAGAAAAGGAATAAAATATCTACAAATTCAGCTAACCACTGAGGTGAAAGTTCTCTACAACTAGAATTATAAAACACTGTTCAAAGAAATCAGAGATGATACAAACAAATGGAAAAACATTCTATCCTCATGAATAGAAAATATTGTTAAAATGGCCATACAGCCCAAAATATTTTATAGATTCTGTTCTATTCCTATCAAACTGCTGATGATTTTCTTCACAAAACTAGGGAAAAAACTTTTAAAAATTCATTTGGAACCAAAAAAGAGCCCAAATAACCAAAGCAGTCTTAAGCAAAAAGAACAAAACTGGAGGCATCATGCTATCTAACTTCAAACTATACTACATGGCCACCATAATCAAAACAACATCGTACTGGTACAACAACAGACACATAGACCAATGAAACAGAACAGAGAGCCCAGAAATGAGGCTGCACACCTACAACCATCTGATCTTTGACAAAGCTGACAGAAACAAGCAGTAGAGAAAATACTTCCTATTCAATAAATGGTGCCTGTATAACAGGCTAGCCATATGCAGAAGATTGAAACTGGGTAGTTTCCTTACACCATACAAAAACCAAGTCAAGATTGATGAAAGAGTGAAATGTAAAACTACAAACTATAAAAACACTGGAAGACAACATGAGCAATACCATTCCAGACATATGAACTAGCAAAGGTTTTGTGACAAAGATGCCAAAACAATCACAACAAAGCAAAAATTGACAAATATGGGATCTAAGTTAACTTAAGAGCTTCCATAAAGTAAAAGAAACTATCAACACAGTAGAAAGCATACAGAATGGGAAATAATATTTGCAAACTATACATCTGAAAAAGGTCTAATATCCAGCATGTACAAGGAATGTATTTTAAAGAAAAAAAAACAAACAAGAAACAAACTGATGGGCAAAATTTGCCTATTAAAAAGTGGACAAAGGACATGAATAGACACTTTTTAAATGAAGACATGCATGCAGACAATAAGCATATGAAAAGAAGTTCAATATCACTGACCATTAGAGAAATGCAAATCAAAACCACAATGAGATACCATCTCACATGGTCTCAATGACTACTATTAAAAAGTGAAAAACAACAGATATGGGCACAGTTGAAGAGAAAACAGAATGTTTACACACTGTTGGTTGAAGTGTAAATTAGTTCAACCATTCTGGAAAGTAGTGTGGCAATTCCTCAAGAATTAAAAACAGCACTACCACTGGACTTAACAATTCTATTATTGTGTATGTATATACCCAAAGGAATATATATCTTTCTGTCATAAAGACACATGTACATGTATGTTCATTATAGCAATAGTCACAATAGCAAAGATACAGTACTAGCAAATGTCCATCAATGGTAGACTGGATAAAGAAAATATGGTATGTATATATATACACTACAGAATACTATGTAGCTCATAAAAAGGAACAAGGTCATGAATGAAACTGGAGGCTATTATTTTTAGCAAAATTATGTAGCAACATAAAACCAAATACCACATGTTCTCACTTATAAGTGGGTGCTAAATGATACAAACACATAGACACAAAGAGAGGAACAACAGACACTGGCACCTACTTGAGGGTGGAGGGTAGGAGAAGGGAGATGATGAGAAAAAATAACTATTGAGTACCAGGTTTATTAACTGGGTGATGAAATAATCTATACAACACACAACATGACACACATTAATGTATGTAACAAACTTGCACATGTACCCTTGAACCATAAATAAAAGTTAGAAAAAAAAGAAGAAATTTATTAAATGGCTTGGTTATGTTTGCCCCCAGTGGCCAAATGCTTTACAAAAGAGAATATAAAAGAATTCTGGTTTGAAATACAAACTGTTATGGCTTCTAATACTTGACAAACAGGTATTAAAACAGCAAAAAATAATAATCCGTAGCATTATAAAAATACTTGATATTTCAATGCAAAATAATATTCTGGTGTTGAATGTGTGACAGTGTCTGGAGATGCTGTGTTCTGTATTACCTGCTGATATGTCTGCCATTACATCAAGCTTATTATTCATGCACGTTTTTAGTTTTTTACATTTTTTTTTCAGATGGAGTCTTGCTCTGTCACCCAGGCTGAAGCGCTATGGTGTGATCTCGGCTCACTGCAGCTCACTGCAACCTGACCTTGTAATCTGCCTGCCTCAGCTTCCTAAAATGCTGGGATTACAGGCATGAGCCACCGCACCCGCTGCACTTTTTTACTTCAACTTAATGTTAATATGTCCTATTTTAGCATATTTGTCAACCTGCAGAATAGAAATGTGAATGTACAATACTTAGAGGTTATGGTGACCAAAAAATACATAAAATGGATACTTTTGCCTTTTACTTTTAATAAGTGTGATTCCTTATTACCTAAATTTTGGGTAATGAAGTTTTGAAGCCATCTATTTTTTTAAAGTACTGGCATAAAATTCTGCTTTTGATTATTTATTTCAATTCAAATATATTTTAATGCATAAAGATGATTACATTTTAATAAGAAACACAAACTAAAACCATCTTTCAAGTTTAAGCAATTTCTCTAAGAAACTTTAAAGAACTTACATTATTCAAAATTTATTTACAATATTAATGTCTAGTAAAAGAAAGATAATAGAAATACTCTTAAAATATTTGGAGTAATTTTTAAATAATACTTTGTTTTAATTAAAATTCTCCATTTAACATATACATTACCCTATGTATAGCATTTTCACCTTAGGAACTGTATTTAAAAGTAATCCATTCTGCCTGTAATCTCAGCAATTTGGGAGGCTGAGGAAGGCAGATCACCTGAGGTCAAGATCAGCCTGGCCAGCATTGCAAAATCCCATCTCTACTAAAAATATCTACAAAAATTAGCCAGGCATGGTGGCACATGACTGTAATCCCAGCTACTGGGGAGGTTGAGGCAGATGAGTCGCTTGAGCCCAGGAGGCAGATGTTGCAGTGAGCTGAGATTGTGCCACCACACTCCAGACTGGGCAAGAAAACAAGACTTCAGCTCAAAAAAGATATACAATGTATGTTCTTTTGTTTGCCAAGAATCTTCTTCATGGCAGTACATTCATCATAGCTGAAAAGTAAAAACTGCACATAATATGAATTACTATCAAGAAAGATACATTGTGGTACAATCATACAGTGTAATCCTATACAACAAAAAGAGTCCATGATTACACACAGTGACATAGTAGTATATCACAAATATAATATTAAGCAAAACAAGACAGACCAGAAAGAATACATACCTATATTAGGGTTCCCCAGGGAAACAGATCCAATAGCATATATACAGACAGAGATTTATTATGAATTGGCCCAAATTATTATGGAGGTTGAGAAGTCTCTTGCGTTACTTCTGGAAGCTGGAGAACCAGGAAAGCCAATAGTGTAAATTCTAGCCCAAGATCAGGAAGACTGATGTACCAGCTTTATGAGACAGGTAGGAAACAAAAAAGGTAAATTTCTCATTCCTTTACTCCTTTGTTTTATTCAGAACAAAAACCCTCAATGAATTGGATGATGTCCATCCACATTGGCAAGGGCTGCTTACTTCACTTAGCTCACCAATTCAAATGCTAATTTCATCTTAAAACATGACAGACACACTCAGAAAAATTATTAAATATAGACACCCCACGGCATGGTCAATTTGATACACAAAATTAATTATTACAATACTGACACTAGGTAAGTTACAAAATAAAAACAATACAAATACATGCAATCTGTACACATATTGTTAGAAGTCAAAATAGTAGTTACCCTTGGGATTTAGTAACTAGAAAGGAGAATGATTGATGCACATGCTGCTTACACTAATGTGTGAAGTTTATCCAAATTCATTGAACTACACACTTACAATTTCTGAACTTTTCTGTGTATATTATGTCCTTCAACAAAATGCTCTATAATTTTATGAAAATTCTTCTATTATGGGTTACAAGGGGTTATAAAAAGCTGAGGACTTATGTCCTTAATTGCTTTAGTAGTTCCTTCTGAGGTAGAAGATTAGCAGGACTTCCTTTTCTAGGACCAGTCATGACCCTGCTGGTCAAAACAGGTTGTAGCAAAGACAGTGGCCAAAACATGCTGGGACTAGGAATTACAATGCATTTCCATAAGACACTTTTACCAGCACCATGAAAATTTACAAATGCCATGTTAATGACCCAGAGGTGACATTTTATGGTTCCTGGTTCTCCTGGGTTAAGAGGAGTTCCACCGCCCACTCTTATTTACTATTATAATTCACTTTCCTGACATAATGCTTGCTGTACTTATGCCACAATTTTAGGGTTAGCCTGCATCATCCTGGTAAACAAGAAAGGATGAAGTCATGAAGAGACAAAGATGGAAAGGGATAAACAGGATGAACAAATCTTGCTTACTTAATGCAGATTGGAACAATGGACCTGTAACTTTATAGTTCTGTTAACATTGCAGAGTTGTGCTTTACCTAAAGCCACTCTTCAGAGCCATCAGCATATTTCCTGGTGATTTACAAGCTGAGGGAACCCAAAGGGAGCCTTCGTCTAGGCCCCAAATTAAAAACCAGTTGGCATCATTTGCCTTCCATGGATGGATTAGTTCTCTGTTTGTTCCCCCTTGATATTAAGTAAATCAGGAATAGTCAATGTGGCCTCTTGTTTTGTAGTCATTTCATTGTCTCCCGTTGTTTATGTGCTCTGGATGGGAGCGCGCCTGGCCTGATACATCCTTACGAACCCTTCTCTCAGGACTTTTCCTCTTTAGTCTCTAATAACCAGCCGTTTCACTCTACTGCTTTCAGTGCTGTAATGTATGCTTACATTTGTTTCCTTGTCATGTTTGGGCAGTGACAAATTGTGTCTATTCTATGTATGGTAGACCACTTTGCTTGAAATCTTTTTTTTGTTGTTGTTCTTTTAAAGAGCTCCCCCACTGTGCTGACTCTAGGTTGCTAGAGTCACACATTCCCACAAGCACTATGTGTTAGAGTCCCACTCTAGGTAGACAGAGTGGATTAGAGTCCCACTATCACTGTTACCTGACCCCATATGCTCCAGGGTTTTTAGCATTTGGCTAGGGGATCCTCACTGGTCAAAGCCCAGATGCTCTCAGTTCTTTGACATTCTTATAGAACTGTCAATCAGAGTCCCACCAATGAGGATCTTGGTCTCTGTCAGTACCTTACTTGTTTTCTTTGTCATCCTTTTGCCCAAAAACAAAGTGCTTTCTTTACTTTTTATGAAATCCAACCTACGAGAATCATGTTACTGTATATTCCCCTCTCATTCTATGCTTTCCTTATTAAAACAATTCATTTTTTGCATTTGCATTTTGCTGGTGTATGCAGTCATCATTCTGCTGCCCATTCAAATCTAGTAATTAACTTTCCTGACATCATGCTTACTGTACTTATGTGCTATGTACTACTGGCATTTTCCCTGCTGACCTTTCTTGAGGAAATGGGGAGATAATTTGAAAGAGAAAAATAACTGGGCTCTCTCCAGACTTAAAGGACCTTCTGTGTCTAGTAAAGATCTTTGCTAGACATAGGAACAATGGCAAGCATCCTGAAGCACTCACTGCTAGGATGCCTTTTAGGCAATAGGAACAAATTCAAATTAGATGGCCTAAAAATAAAATCATTTTGTACTGTAAACTATTTGGGTCCAATACAAATCAGGAGGGTAAAAATGATTATACTACTATTTTATAATTTGATTTATTGTTTTAAAAGGAAAGAAAATAGGGAAAGGTCCCTTATGTACAGGTGTTTATGGCCCTTACCTGGTTCCTGACTTCATGGACAATGTGTCAGGAAGACACAACTGCATAATGTGTCTTGCTCATGATACTTCCAGACATCAAGAATCCACACTAGATATCCTAGCTGATGTCCTCCCAGCTGCTACCAATTGGAAGCCCATTCCACCTCATCCTGTGCCCTAAAGCCTCATCAGTCCCCCAATTCTGAGGGGAATCTTACCAGTTCTCCAGCACAGGATTCCACCCCAAGGTCATCAAGACACCCCTTTCCCTTTTCCAACTAGCCTCAGCCTGTATCTCTCACTGCTTGAGGAAGTAAGCCCAAACAGCACTACCAAGAAAGGGGTCCCATATAAACACCTAAAACTGAATGTGTGTCCACTACATGAGGGAGATGGGGGAACAATCAGAGCACATGGGTTTTTCTTTCTTATTTTGCTTTATGCAAGAATAAATTTGATTGGTTTTCAGAGGATCTGGGGAGGTTTTCAGAGGAGTTTGTTAAGTTGGCCATGTCCTTTGACTTGATTTGGCATGACCTGCAAATATTATTGTCCACCTGCTATACCATAGACGAGAAGCAAGGGATTCAAAGTATTACCCATGAATAGGCAGATGGAGTGGCTGCTTATAACCAAGGTTTTGCCATTTATCATGTTGGGGGAGATGCAATTCCAGATCTGGACCCTGAATAGGATAACTGGATGGGTTCCTAAGATCTCAAATGCAGAAACTACATGATAACTTGTTTAATGAAAGGTATAAAAAAATGTGTGGTTACACCACTTACTTATGACAAGGGTTAGAGAAGTAACTCAAAGGAAGGTTAAAAATCCCACTCTGTTTCAGGGTCATTTGGTTGAGACACTCAGGAACTATAGTAATACAGACCCACACTTCCCAAAAGGGCAAGCTGTCATGGCTATGCATTTTATAACTCAATCTGCCCCTGATATTAGGAGGAAGCAACTAAGGGAAGAAATGATAACTCACACAACCATGAGCAAACTCTTCAACATGGCCCTTACATGGATATTATAACAATAGGGACAGGGTAGAAGAGCAGAGAAAATGTATAGAAATGGACAAAAAGCATAATTGTTAGTAGCTGCCTTTGGCCCCCACTGCCACCTCAGGGTTACCCATTGTATCAGTCAGGGTTCTCAAAAAGGACAGAACTAATAGGACATATGTATATGTTGAAGGGAGTTTATGAAAGAGAATTGGCTCACATAATTAGAAGGTGAAGTCCCACAATAGGCTATCTGCAAGCTGGGGTAAAGGGAAGTTGGTAGTGGCTCAGTATGAATGTAGAAGCCTCAAAACAAGGGAAGCCAAGAGTTCAGGCTTTAGTCTGTTGCCAAAGGACCTAAAGTCCCCAGCAAACCACTAGTGTAAATCCAATAATCTAAAACCCAAAGAACTTGGAGTCTGATATGAAAGGGCAGGAGGAGCAGACGGAAGGATCCAGCATGGGAAAAAGGAGTAAGCCAGAAGACTTGGCAAGCAAGATTATCCACATTCTCTCATCTGCTTTGTTCTAACTGTACAGGCAGGCAATTGTATGGAGCCCATCAAATTGAGGGTGACTTTTCTTCTCCCAGCCCACTGACTCAAATGTCAATTTCTGGCAACACCCTCAGAGACACTCTCGGAACCATTACTTTACCAGCTATCTTGGCATCTTTCAACCCAGTCAGGTTGACACCTAGTATTAACCATCACAAGTCTACCCTGTGTCAACTTGACAACCATGCACATTTCCTGAAATCATACTTAATCTCCAAATAAAGATCACAATAAGGTTGTAATTCCACCTAACATAATGCAACTATACATTGTACGACCAAAGTGCACTAATCATTAAACTAAATGCCATTATATAAAGTTAACAACACTTAAATACTGATACAAAGTCAATAAATCTTATGTTACATGAGAAAGGACAAAAAGAAATAAAATGAGAATATTTTCTTAGTACAGGTGTATACATGCACAAATGTATTTTTAACAAAGTAAGAAGGAAATACTTATGACAATTACAGTCCTTGATTTTGCAACCAGTCACATGGCTGTAGCTGGTGTTCTTAAGTATCTTCCCCTACTACCCATCCTGTATTTCCTCTGTCATCAGCAAGCACATCAATCAGCTGGTCATAGTTTTTCACCTGGTGCGGTGACCTGATCCTTCATTCTTAAAGGTCTGGTCCATATGTAGTCCTACCTGGATTGGATTGTTGTAGTTTCCCATTGACTTTAACCACAGGGCATGGTAATATTAAAAGTCACCTTAAAGAATTGCCTATATTCCAGACATACTCTTCCTTACCTCCATTGTGGAATAGTAGTCTGATTTCATCTTTACAGCTTAGGTCAATCATCCCAGTCAGCACTATAACGCCCTACTTGGCCTGCTGATTTAGAGGCAGCAATACAAAGTGGCCAGGTGGAAGTCTTAACTTCCAGTTTAATTGAATCGTTGTTGTGCTTCCTTATGGCAGCATCCTTCCCTCTAGGATGAAGACCTCTCAACCAGCAGAACATAATATTTTGGTAACAGGAAGCAAAAAGTTTCCTAATAGGTCACTAGCGATAATCATGAGTGTTGCCACTTCCACTTCCACCCCTTGATTCCTGAAGTCATGAATCCTGGCTATGCAAGAATGTTGTACGTTATGGCATTTTCTACTATAAGAGGCTTCACCCTACTGTTTAGAGAGCCAGTGTGGGGATTCTGCTAGCTGCTACTCCAATTATGCATTCTGGCACTGGGGAAAAGACCACAGGATGACCCACTGTAAGTGAAACCTGAGCTAAAACTTCATTAATTACCTGACCTACCTAAGCCTCTACTCTACCTGGAGGGCCACAGTGATGTTTTTCATCTTCTGGAACCAATGTCAGCTTAGACTCAGTGTCCAGTAGTACTCAAAAAGTCTGATTATTCTTATTTTCCCAGTGTACAGTTACCCTTGTAAAAGGCCAGCGTTCTCCTTGGGGAAGGATTAGAGAAAGATTAACAGCATAAATTGTCAGTAGTGTAGTGAGGCTCTTCCTCAAGGGGACTGGGTCTGTAAACTGGCTTACGTCTCTTCGTTTAAGGGGTTCTAGGTTGGTAAACTGGCTTAAGTCTTGAAATTGAGAGAAGGGCTGTGATTCTCTGACTTCATCATACAAATTCATCTTTTGTCCCTTTGTCCTGGAAGTTTTCTGCTTATACAAATTCGTAAGAATGTAGTAGACTTTCTACGAATTTCCCTTTTAGAAACAAAACAATTAATTAGCCAATGTCAGACCTATACACTAGTCAGACTATTCTGATTACTGCTTTGCCTGTGCTATCCATTTGGTAATTATATCCATTTGGTAACTATATCCATTTGGTAACTAACTTGCCTTTGATGGTTGAGTGCCACATTTGAGCCCTCCCACCTCAGGGTTCAATAATTCCCGTTGCATTTAAGTTTTCCAATAGAGTGCCTGTGGTTCCCACTGTACAATCTGGCATACAAAGGACTATCACAGAGCTCTTCAAGAATGTTTGTGCTCCCCTCTCAAATCTATTTCACAAGGTATTGGTGAAGGATATGTTTTCTGGGTCCTCCTAGTTGGGATAAATGGGTCTAAAGTGACAATTTTGCTTTAGCTTTCCAATCTCCCTAAGCTTTTGGATCCCTTCCTCTACATTAAACCAAGGGAGATCAGGCATTTCAGTTCAACTCACAGTGGGCTATCTTTTGATTCATGTTTCAGCTAACCAAGTGAACCCCTTTAACCCCTGAGCTGCAATATTAAATGTGGAATCTCAGCTTAATGGATCCATGTCAATAAATTCAGCACTACCCAAATTTATGTTTCTGGCACCATTATCCCATACCTTTTATATCAATGTCCATACCTGCCCTTCAGATTTCTGCTTATATAAATTAGAAAAGTCCAGTAGTTATTTTGGAGTGTAGCACACCTCATCATTGGTCACACTCTGAACCTCACCTCTAGGGACCTGTTGGGACTTGAGTCTAGTTACAGGTCAAGAAGCAAAGAGGGTTGTTGAAGGTGGGTGCTGAGGAGAATCAGCATTGTATTAGCTGGCAACTAATTCAGGAGAGGTCATTGTTCTTTCCTCAGGCAATGCAGGGTTAATATAGCCTTCTAAGTGGAAAGACTGATGGCAGCCTGGGTGGGGTATAGGATGTTGCCACCACTGGGGCTGGGGAGGCTGCTGCTTTCTCTGGCAAAGAAGGCCATCAGAATTTAGGAGTCCAGATTCACCTGGTTCTCAAACATGTCCCCGTGCCATGTTACAGAGTCCCAGTATATCCTAATCAATGCCCTTACTTTAACAGTAGACAACTGGTGAGCCTGAGCATGCACCTTTCACTGTAGGTCAGCCACTTACATGATAAGTGCTTGTGTCTGATTTTCCACAATTCCAGCCCTTTGTTTACAGAAGATAAGACTCTCACCAAGGGCAATCTTAAAATATTTGAGGCTAGGTATGTGCTTTTGGAGCCAGGAAATATAATCCCTGAGCTTATCCTTTTCTTTCGTCACTTCATCCAGTGAATTTAGGTGCCAACAGCCAACTTCACTATATTCCTTGGTTTTCCACAACTTCACTATATTCATTGGTTCAAAGGTATTATGCATAGAGTCACTAAACTCTTTACCTCTCAGGAATGGTGATTCAGGAGTATCAGATGCATGTATTTGGCACAACTCTAATTGATTCACATCAAGGTGTATCAGTGTTCTCTATAGTATTGGAAGTGGAGCCCTTAGCATTTTATGTCTAATCAGATTAAAGAGCCAACTCCAGAATCCTGAAACTGACTAAAGAAATCCATTCTCAAAATTATCTTTCTCTAGAACCACTCATGGTACCAAAATATATATTAGTCAGGGTTTTCTAGAGGTACAGGATAAACGCAGACATTAAAAAGAGTTTATTAAGGAAGATTCACTCCGATGATTACAAGGTGATGTCCCATGATAGACCATCTACAAGCTGGGGAAGGATGAAGCTGGTGGTGACTCAGTCTAAGTCTGAAAGCCTCAAAATAAGGGAACCTGATATGGCAGCCTTGAGACCAATACAGAAAATTGGTACTGATAAGTGGGACATTGCCATAAAAATACCTGAGAAGGTGGAAGCAAGTTTGGAACTGGGTAATGAGCAGAGGTTGGAAGAGCCTGGAGGGCTTGGAGAAAGACAGAAAGATGAGGAAAAGTCCAGAATTTCCTAGAGACTTCTTAAATTCTCGTGATCAAAATGCTGATAGTGATATGGACAATAAAATTCAGGATGATGAGGTCTCAGATAGAAATAAGGAATCTATTGGGAACTGGAGCAAAGGTTTTGCTCTTTTGTTATGTGCTCACAAAGAACTTGGCGGCATTTTGCCCCTGCTCTAGTGATCTGTGGAACTTTAAAGATGGAAGAGATAATTTAGGGTATCTTGTGGAAAAAATTTCTAAGCAGCAAAGCATTCAAAATATTGTCTAGATGCTTCTAACAGCATATGCTCATGTACTTGCAAAAATAAATTACTTGAAACTAGAACACATTGAAAGGGAAGCAGAGTGTACACGTCTGAAAAATTTTCAGCCTGGCCATATGGTATAAAAGAAAATCCCATTTTCTGGGGATAAATTCAAGCCAGCTGCACAAATTTGCCTAAGTAAAGAGAAGTCAAATGTTGATAACTAGGACATTGGGGAAAGGCCTTGAAGTCACTTCAGAGACATTTGTTGCAGCCCCTCCCGTCACAGGCCCGGGGACCTAGGAGAGAAAAATGGTTTCTGGAGCCTAGCCTACCGCCCTGTTGCCCTCCAGAGCCTCAGGACACTTTTCCTTCTGTAGATTCACAAAGTACAAGAGTTGATGCTTGAGAGCCTTTGCTAAGATTTCACAGGATAGGTGGAAAAGCCTGGATGTCCATGCCGAAGCCTGCTGCAGAGGCAGAGCCATCATGAAGAGCATCTAGTACGGCAGTGTAGAGGAGAAATTTGGACTTGAAGCCCCCACATAGAATCCGCATAGGGGAATTGCCTAGTAGAGCTGTGTGGAAGAGGGCCAACATCCTCTAGACCCTGAAAAGGTAGATCCATTGACAGTCTGGAAGACCAACAGGCACTCACTGCCAGCCCATGAGGACAGGTGTGGATGCTTAAGTCTGCAAAGACACAGGGATAGAGCTTCCCAAGGCTTTAGGATCCCACCTCTTGTGCCAGCATGCCCTTAATGTGAGCCAGGGAAGTTATTTTGCAGCTTTAAGATTTAATAACTACCTGGCTAGCTTTAGGATTTATGTAGGGTCTATGGCACCTTTGTTTTGGCCAATCCCTTTTGAAATTGAAGTATTTTTCCTCTGCCTGTACCATGATTGTATCTTGGAAGAGTAACTTATTTTTCACTTTACGAGCTCATAGGTGGAAGGGATTTGCCTTGTCTCAGAGGAAACTTTGGATTTTGAACTTTTGAGTTAATTCCGAAATTGACTTAAGACTTTGTGGGACTAGTGGACAGGAATGGTGGCTCATGCCAGTAATCCATACACTTTGGGAGGCAAAGGCATGTGGATCACCTGGGTGCAGAAGTTCAAGACCGGCCTGAGTAACACAGTGAAAGCCCATCTCTACAAAAAATACACAAATTAGTTAGGCATGGTGACATGTGCCTCTACTCCCAGTAACTCAAGAGGCTGAAGCAGGAGAATCACTTGATCTTGGGAGAGAGAGGCTACAGTGAACCAAGATCATGCCATTGCACTCCATCCTGGGTGACAGAGTGAGATCCAATGTCTTTTTTTAAAAAATAATCACTTTGGGGGAATACTGGGAATGCATAATTGGATTTTAAAATGTGAGAAAAACATGAGACTTTTGAGGGGCCAAGGCAGAATGGTATGGCTTTTTAGCAGGATAAGCCAGGGACAAAACCCCTCAGACACCGGGTTAAAGAAGGAAGTGGCTTTATTCGGCTGGGAGTGTCAGCAGTCTTGTATCTCAAGAACAGAGCTCCTTGAGACATTATTCAGCCAGGAGCATTGGCAGACTTGTGTCTCCAGAATCAATCTCCCCACAGAAAGAGTTCCTGGCCCTTTTAAGGGCTTACAACTATAAGGGGTCTATGTGACAGGGTCATGATGGACTGAGCAAGCATGGGATGCATGACTAGGTGGGGGTAAGCAAGGCAAGTATTTATCCATACCATTGTCTGTGATTTATAGATAGCACAAGCGATTAGGGTGGGGGTTAATCTTTACCCTACAGGCCTGGCCAGTGGCACCAATCAGTCTGTTATTTTTCATTATTTTTCAGTTTTTCTCCCTCCTTCCCTTTGGAGACAGGACAAAAACAGAAATGGCCTCTCTCCTCTGTTTGGATCTGTCTTTTCACCCAAATCTCAAGTTCAATTATAATCCCCACTGTTGGAGGTGGGGCCTGATTTGAGGTGATTGGATCATGGGGGTTGTCCCTTCATGAATGGCTTAACACCATCCCTTTGGTGTTGTTCTTGCAACAGAGTTCTCACAAGATCTAGTTGTTTAAAAGTATGTGGGACTGCCCACCTGTCTCTCTCCCTCCTATCCGGGCCATGTAAGATGTGCTTCCACCTTCATCTTCTGCCATCATTGTGAGTTTCCTGATGCCTCCTCTGAATATCAGCAGATGCTGCCATGCTTCCTGTACAGCCTGCAGAACTTTGAGCTCATTCAGCCTCTTTTCTTTATAAATTACCTGTCTCTTGTATTTCTCTATAGCAGTGCATGGATGGACTAACAAAAAATCAACATACAAAAATTATTAGCATTTGTATACACCACTAATGTTCAAGCCACAAGCCAAGTCAAGAATACAATCCCTCTTTGTGTCCATGTGTTCTCATCATCTTGTTCTCACTTACAAGTGAGAACATGTGATATTTTCTTTTCTATTCCTGTGTTACTTTGCCAAGGATAATTCCTTCCATCTCTATGCATATTCATGCAAAGGACATAACCTCATTTTCTGTTATGGCTGCATAGTAGTCCATGAGTTATATGTACCACATTTTTTAAATCCAGTCTACCTTGGGACACACTGACTCTAAATGCCCACTGATGAAAATTTAGGTTGATTCTATGTCTTTGCTGTTATAATAGTGCTGCAAAGAACATATGAATTCATGTGTCTTATGATAAAATTATTTATATTCCTTTGGGTATATGCGCAGTATTAAAATTGCTTCAATAAATGGTAATTATGTTTTTAGCTTCTTGAGGAAGTGCCACGCTGCTTTCCACAATGGTTGAACAAATCTATACTTCCACCAGAAATTTGTAACAGAGAGAAGTTAGGTAGTTAGGGTGGATCCTTCACAAAAGAAACTCCTTTAAATGGAGAAACAGCCTGAAAAATCAGGCTGCAGGCACAGACAAAAAAACTTGTACAAATTTCAGGCCCACTGAGATGTAAAAAACAAGGCCCAACATAGAAATGCATTTGTTCTTTGTGCCTAAAGACTGGCCCACCACTACACTGATAAGGGAACAAGACCCAACATAGAAACACCATTGTCCTTTTTGTAACCAGTGGGCTTCCAGAAAATAGTCCCTTCTTCTTTTGTGAGTATATACATGATGGGCTCTCATGGGTTCCAGTGGCCACTTTTCTTTTCTTTTTTGGATATCTTTTGGACTGTGAGCCAAGGAATTACAAATCATCACTTCAGCCTCTGATGGGTCCTGGGCCGTGCTTTTATTTCAACTCCTGATTGGTCCTGGACATGAAGCTAGACATGAAACAGGACATGAAGCTAGACAACCAGTTAGACCACAAATTCTCAGAAGGGAGTATGCTTAACCCTAAAGAGGCCTAGAAGAGCTGTGGCAAGATAAGGGATTTTATAGCCCTATCTCATCCATATGAACAGGTGCCACTAATGTGTCCATTTATAGGCTCTCCACAGGGGTTGCATTCCATTCCCAGAGCTATGAATATCTGCTTTTCTGGGCTAGGAATCTTGGTGATGTGAAGCCTCCCTGACTGCACATCCATTTACAGGCTCTCCACAGGGGGAATCACATCATGCACTGTTGGCTCATTCTGGCAGCCCAACCTGGCATTGTCTTTACACAATCCCACATGCAATTTTGTGTTTACAATAATCAGGAGCATTTCGTCTTTTCTTCTGTAGCAACAGTTTCAGGGGGGTCTCCTTACAGAGTCCCACCACTTGGGCTCTGACACCTCAGGGGATGATAATTCCCATTGCATTTAAGTTCCCTAATTGAGTGACTGTGGTTCCCTTCTGTTTGATCTGGCAGGCAAAGAACTATCACAGATGTGTTCAAAAATGCTGGTGCTTCCCTCACAAATCTATTTCATAGAGTATGTTTTCTGGGTCCTTCCAATTAGGACAAGTAGGTTTAAAGTGACAAATCTATTCTAGCATTGCAATCTTCCTAAGTTTTGGATCCCTTCATGAGTCACACTCTGAACCTCACTTCTAGGGACCTGCGGGGACTTGAGTTTAGTTCATGTCTAGAAGCAAGGAGAATTGGTAGATGTGGGTTCTGAGGAGAATCAGCATTGTGTTGTCTGGCAACTATCTCAGGGAAGACCATTGCTTTTTTCCTTAGGCAATGCAGGGTTAATCTCTTCATAGATGGAAAGGCTGATGGCAACTTGGGTGGGGTAAGAAATGTTGCCCACCACTGGAGCTGGGGAGGCTGCTTTTCTCTGGCAAAGAATTCTCATCAGAATTTAGCAGCTCAGTAACCCCAAAATCATCTGGGTCCTCACACATGTCCCCATCCCATGTTACAGAGTCCCATTTTAACCTAATCAGTGCTCTCTCTTTAACAGTAGACACTTGGTGAGCCTGAGCATCCACTTTTCACTGTAGGTCAGCCACTTGCATGATAAGAACTTGTGTCTGATTTTCCTCAATTTCAGCCATTTGTCTACAGAAGACGAGATTCTTTCCATGGGCAATCTTAAAATACTTGAGGTTAAACATGTGCTTCTGGAGGCAGGAGACATAATCCATGAGCTCATCCTTTTCTTTCATCACTTCATTCAGCAAACTGATGCACAGCCAACCAACTTCACTATATTCATTTGTTGCCACAAATGTTCAAAAGTATCATGTGTAGAGTCACTAAAATCTTTCCCCCTCAGTAGTGGTGAATCAGGAACATTGAATCCATTTATTTTGCACAATCAATTGATTCGCATCAAGGAATATCAGTATTTATAGTACTTGAAGCAGAGTCCTTAGAATTTTAGAGCTAATCAGAGTAAAGAGCCAACTCCAGAAACCTTAAACCAACTAAAGAAATTCATTCTTAGGATGTTGTTTTATAGACCACTTCTGGTACCAAAATCTGTATTAGTTAGGATTATCCAGAGGGATAGAAGTAATAGGATATATGTATACATGAAAGGGAGTTTATTAGGGAGATGGCGTCCCATGATAGTCCATCTGCAAGCTGCAAAAAGAGAAGCTACTTGGGACTCAATCCCAAGTGCAAAAGCCTCAAAACCAGGGAAGAAAACAGTGCAGCCTTTAGTCTATGGCTGAGGACTCAAGAGCCCCCAGCAAGTCACTAGTGTAAGTCCTAGAGTCCAAAAAGGCAAAGAACCTGGAGTCTGATGTCCAAGAACAGGAGAGGTATGAGGAAGCATCCAACACAAGAAAATAAGGAAGTGAGAAGTCTGAGCAAACAAAGTTATTTCACCTTCTTTCACCAGATTTGTTCTGGACCTGCTGGCAACTGATTGTATGGTACCTATCTACACAGAGACTGGGTCTTCATCTCACAGTTTGCCAACTCAAACATCAGTCTCCTCTGTTAACACTTTCACAGAAAAACTCAGAAACAATACTTTACCAGCTATCTATGCATCCTTATATCTAATTAAGTTGACACCTAATACTAACTATAATACCTGGGTTTTAACTCCCTCTGGGAGAGTGTGCAAGTTCTAGGATCCTGGATATTCCACTACCAAATCCACCAAAAGGGACATCCAATCATGTCTCCCACATGATAGAGTATAAGCCTATTAGTATCCTATATTATATGATAATTGCATAGTATAATATAGTGATGGTAATAGTATTTGGGCATACATCCTATTACTTGCTACTTCTACCAGAAAGCACCAACTGCTGGCTTGGAGGCTGGCTAGTGCAGATCCTTGCAACAATTCCTGGCAAGTAGGACAGTGGTTGGGAACTAGGAGAGCAATTCATAATCACTGCTTTCACTATCACACATTACACTATGGATGTGGAAAAGATCAAGAGCCTATTTATCTATCTGATACTCTGCTACTGCAACCAGCATCTGAGAAAACACTCAGAGGGCCAAGAACGAGGCTACCTGAAACTTTTAGCACAGGTGCCAGCATGCACTTTCCTGAATCACTAGGATAGAGAGCCTTAGCTTACCACCAATGCCACTGAAATCTGAACGTGTCCCATTAAGCATTCCAGTCTTCAGCACAACTTTAATACAGTACTGACCAATGACTGCACTCTAACACATTGAGGAATTCAAGAATATCACTAAGACTATTTATAGCCAAGAAAATAATATAGTCTTCACCACTGCCCACATCAGAGGCAAAGCCAAATGTTCCTACCCAACAAACATTGTAGTCACATCTTCAAGAAAATAGTCCCCAAATCAATGAAAGTAAATTCAAAAATAAGAGAAAGTAGCTGTTGCACCATGTGCACATATATCAATGTAAAAATGCACAAAGTAATGATGGGCTTTTTTTCATATGTTTTTTGACCATGTAAATGTCTTCTTTTGAGAAGTGTCTGTTCATATCCTTCACCCACTTTTTGATTTTTTTTTTGTAAATTTTTTTAAGCTCCTTGTAGATTCTGGAAATTAGACCTTTGTTAGATGGATAGATTGCAAAATTTTTTCCCATTCTGTAGATTGCTTGTTCACTCTGCTGATAGGTTCTTCTGCTGTGCCAAAGCTCTCTAGTTTAATTAGATCCTACTTGTCAATTTTGGCTTATGTTGCAATGCTTTTTGTATTTTAGTTTGAAGTCTTTGCCCATGCGTATGACCTGAATGGTATTGCCTAGGAAATGCAAATCAAAACCTCAGTGAAATACCACCTCATGACAGTTAAGATGATGACCATTAAAAAGTCATAAAATGACAAATGTTGGCAAGACTGTGGGGAAACTGGAATGCCTTTACACTGTTGGTAGAGAAACAGGAACATTTTTACACTGTTTTTGGGAGTATAAATTAAGTCAACCATTATGGAAGACAGTGTGGAGATTCCTCAAGGTTCTAGAACTGGAAATACCACTTGACCCAGCAATCCCATAACTGGGTATATACTGAAAGGGTTATAAACCATTCTACTATAAAGACATGTGCACATGTATGTTTATTGCAGCACTATTTACAATAGCAAAGACATGGAATCAACCCAAATGTCCATGAATGATTGACTGGATAAAGCAAGTGAGGCACATATACACCATGGAATGCTATGCAGCCATAAAAAAATGAGTTCATGTCCCTTGAAGGGACATTAATGAAGCTGGAACCTATCATTCTCAGCAATTAATACAGGAACAGAAAACCAAACACTGCATGTTTTCAATCACAAGTGGGAATTGAACAATGAGAACACATGGACAAAGAGAGGGGAACATCACACACTGGGGCTTGTTGGGGGTTGGGGGGATGGGGAAGGAGAGCACTGGGACAAATACCTAATACATTTGTGTCTTAAAACCTAGATGATGGGTTGATAGGTGCAGCAAACCACCATGGTACATGTATACCTATGTAACAAACCTGCACATTCTGCACATGTAACCTAGAATATAAAGTAAAATAAAAAGAGGAATGCACAAAACATAAAGGGAATGTAATACTAAACCCTCAAATGAACACAATAACTCTCCAGCTGTTCCTAACCAAAAGGAAATTCTAAAAATGCCAGGTAAAAAATTCAAAATATTGATTTTAAAAAGCTCAATGAGATAAAGAGAAATCTGGAAACCAATAAAAATCAATCACAAAATTAATTTAGGATACGAATAAGAAATCTACCAAGGAGATAGATACGTTTTTTTAAAACAAAAAACCCCAGAAATTCTAAAATAGAAAAACTCATTGAAGGAATAATGGAATATATTTGAAACCTTCAAAAATAGACTAGAACAAGCAGAAGAATCTCAGAACTTGAAGACTGATGTTTGAAAATGATATAGTCAGACAAAAATTCAAAAATAAAAATAGAAGATAATGACCAAAGCATTTAAGATGTTTGGGACTCACAAATTGACCAAATTTACATATTATCCTAAGAGAAAAAAAGACTATTTAAGGTTTATAAAACTTATCTAATGAAATAATTGATGAATATTTCCAAGTCTAGCAAGATATTCAGAACTTCAGATACTGAAAACCAGCAGTTCTCTGGAAAATACATTACAACAATTTATCAGGATCAGCTGCTCTCTTCAGAGCTGCCAAGCAAGAAAGATTCAGCCTGCTGAACCTGCACCCACAGCTGCCCCTCTACTGAGGCATTCTGTCCCAGGGAGGTGAGAGTTTATCTGTAAGCCCCTGATTGGGGCTGCTATATTTCCTTCAGAGATGCTGTGCCCAGTAAGGGGGAGTCTAGAGAAGCAGTCTGGCCAAAGCTGCTTTGCTGCACTGTGGTGAATTCCACCCAGTACAAACTTCACAGTCTCCTTAGCACCATCAGGGGAAAACCACCTACTAAAGCCTCAATATTGGCAGATCACCTCCCCGCACCAAGATCGATTGTCTCAGGTCACCTCCAGACTGCTGTGCGGGCAGTGAGAATGCCAAGCCAATGGTTTTTAGCTATCTGGGCTCTGTTGGAGTGGGACCTGCTGAGTGAGACCACTTGGCTCCCTGGCTTCAGTCCCCTTTCTGTAAGAGTTTGGTTAGAGTGGTGGGAGAAACTATGGAGAAAGGACCAGGCCATCTGAAAAGTCAGAAGACTCTGCATAACTCTGGGGGAGAATAAGCTGAAGGCAGCTCTTCTCTGGCCTTGAGGAAGAGGACAAGGAGTAGATACAATGAAGTAAAGGGGATCTTATCTTAAACCGGCCTATTTACTTATATTGACCAGGAACCAACATTTGATAATCCATGCACATGAGGTTCCCTGAAAAGGAAACAATGAATGTTAATTATCTGCAGATTGTGTTTGCTCCAGGCTTTTGGCATTAGGCCTGAAAAGCAAGCAGCTCCAGCTTATCAGTGCTACTACACTTTGGCCACTAGAACCCAACAGACCCCTAGCTGCTCTTACACTGCATACCTGTGTCTGAGTACTCCTTTCATCATCACTCAGCCATGGTCTGCAGGATGGAGCAGGCAGGTGGTGCCCCATGTGAGGAACACTGCAGTGGATCACAGTGAAATCCTCAAAAGCAAAAGTGAAGTGACTACTCAGTAAGTAATTGGTTCCCACTTG
The DNA here is from genome assembly GCF_000001405.40 of Homo sapiens. Taxonomy (NCBI): domain Eukaryota; kingdom Metazoa; phylum Chordata; class Mammalia; order Primates; family Hominidae; genus Homo; species Homo sapiens. Next base: position 13,607,897 of record NC_000024.10, read on the forward strand.
GGATTTCCAAGTTTGAAGGGGATTTTCAAGTTAGGCTTTTATCATGGGACAACAGTTATCAGCTCAACAGCAACAGTATATAAAAGTATTGAAACAGCTGTTTAAATCTAGCAAAGTCTTGGTCTCAGAGGCTCAATTAAGGGACCTAATGAAAACTGTTGTTTTCCATAACCTATGGTTCCTGGATGAAGGCACACTAGACCTAGAGCTCCAGGAACAAATGGGGAGAAATCTTAAGCAACATCATGCATAAGGATAATGGGCCCCAGTAACATCTTTAGCGTTATGGGCTTTATTCAGGCTGCTTTTTCTCCAGTGAACACAGAATAACCTAAAAAAGGAAGGTAAGAGGAACCATCACCTACCTTACCACCTCCTCCTCCCTCAGCCCTGCTGTTACTGGGTAAAGCTGTCAGGAAGGAGACAGAGATTTTCCCTGAGCCTCTACTGCCAGTAAATTGGAAAAAGACAAGGGATACACTACAGTTATGGAACTCTGTCTTAGGCTAGCAGCATTAGAAGGGAAACTCTTGGCCTGCCTAGAGATGCAAAATCAACCAGGTAATTGGGTACATGAGCCCATTATTTTCAACACTTATAAAGAAATAAGAAAAAGCATTAGAGAAAATGGAGTGGCTATCCCATTTACAAAAAGATTAATTGAGGCCGTAACAGACAACTTCCTTGTGATCCCATGGGACTGGTCAGTGCTAGCTAAAACAACTTTAGAGGCCAATCAATACCTCCTCTGGATGAATTATGATGAGTTGAATATGATGAGTTGTGTGAACAACAAGCCAACCAGAATCAATGGGCTGGGCAAAACATAATAGCTTCAATGCTCAAGGGGAGGGGTCCTATGTTAATATATAACCTGTAATCACACCCATCCCTGTTAATTGTTGGGGATGGGACCTATTAGCCCAATGAGAAGGCACTCTGCAGACCTCTTTCTAATACTAACCACAGTGGTGATCCTCCCCTACCCCTCACATAGCTCTTTCAAGATGCAATTTGGGTAGAACAGTGGCCTTTAAAGGGAGAGAAATTACAATGAGCTCATGAATTAGTTGAGTAACAGTTAAAATCTGGCCATATAGAACCATCAAACAGCCCTTGGAATTCACCCACTTTTAATCACTCCCAAAAGTCTGGTAAATGGAGACTTTTACATGACTTGTGTGCTATTGATGCTAATTTGCAACCTATGGGGCCCCTTCAACAGAAGCTCCCTTTGCCCATGGCAATTCTTCAAGATTGGCTTATAGTCACTATTGACTTAAAAGACTGTTTTTTATACTATTCCCCTTGTAAAACAGGACAGAGAAAAATTTGCATTTACAATACCAGCTATCAATAATGAAAGGCCAGCTCACTGATTTTATTGGAAAGTACTTCCTCAAGGAATGCCAAACAGTGTCAGTATCATGTAAATCAGGGTTTGCTCCCCAGAAAAAAAGAATTTCCTAAATTCAAGATCATCCATTATATGGATGATATCTTACTGGGAGCCCCAGTGGAGCCAATACTTTTGAGTTTATATACCTCTGTCAAAAGGAATACACAGTTAAGAGGTTTAATCATAATACCTGAAAAGGTAAAGGTGTCCTCCCCTTGAAAAAATCTTGATACATACTAACCTCCCAGTCAGTAAGACCTCAGAATATTAAATTGAATACTACAAACTTACACACCTTAAATGATTATTAAAAATTACTGAGTGATATTAACAGGCTTTGTCCTACCTTGGACATAACTACTGATAAATTACAGAACCTGTTTTCTCTCCTAAAGGGCAATGCAGCCCTGGACTCTCCCAGGTATTTAACCTCTGATGCAAAATGGGAAAGTGAGGAAATAGAGCAAGCTATTAGATCACATAGACCCATGATATTCAGTCCGATTATTTGTATTTCATACTAAACATTCCCCAACAGGATTAATAGGACAGAGGGCCCCAGGGCTATGCTTCCTAGAATGGGTTTTTTGCTTACATACTGGGACTAAAACACTATCCCCCCTATAGCCAGCTAATTGATAAAGTCATCTATACAGGCCACAAATGATGCAATCAATTGCAAGATTAAGACCCTGATATCATAAGAATTCCCTTGAGTAAAAAACAATTCAAAGCAGTCCTGCCCGTATCTCTAGACCTTCAGATAGAACTCTCTGATTATGTGGGCCATATAGAACATGGCCTTTCCACTGAAAAACTACTCCAGTTCTTATTTCATACTCCTGTAGTTATGCCTACAAAGGTAGTTCACTCCCCCATACCTAACACTTTAATGACCTTCACTGATGCCTCTGGCAAAAATGGAAAAGCAGTTATCTGGTGGGAACCACATAACTCCCTCACTCAATCTGGATTTACTACCACTCAGAGAGCTGAGATTGGAGCCCTAATATTTGTCCTGCAAACATTTTTCACTCAGCCAATCAATATTGTTAGTGACCCTGTTTACTCTGTTTATTTATTGTAAAACCTTGAAACAGCCCTCATTAAGTCCACTCTTGAGCCCACTCTGTGTGCCCTTTTTCTTTGACTTCAAGAAAGATGGATCAATGAACACATTCTATTTTTATTACACCCATTTGGGCCCACAGCCTGCAGCCTGGTAAACTAGTTCATGGTAATGATCAAGCAGACCTGCAGGTTCTGATGTTACTGCTTGACCAAGCCACCCAATTACATCAATTTTTCTAACAGAAATGGAGAAATTTATCTAAACAATTTCAGTTAACCTAAACACTAGCTAAAAAGTTATCCTGCAATGCCCAGATTGCCAGCTCACAATCACTTCCTCTCCTTCAACAGGTGTTAACCCTAGAGGACTAGAACCTAATCATTTATGGCAAACAGATGTTACTCAAGTCCCTGAATCTGGAAAAGTAAAATATGTACATGTATCTGTTGATATTAATTCCCACCTAATTAACACTCATGCTCTTGCTGGAGAGTTTGCCCAATATGTCATTAAACATCTTCTCTTAACGTTTGCATTTATGGGGCACACCACAAAAATTAAAACTGATAATGGTCTGGCTTACACTAGCTCAGAATTTCACCAATTTTGCCACACGTGGAAAGTCCAACTTTCCATGGGTATCTCATATAACTCTGAAGCACATACCATAGTGGAATATGCCCATTCCACAATTAAAAGTATACTCAGAAAACAAAAAAGGGGAAATATGAGTAAGGATCCTGAAACACTACTGGCACAAGACTTATTTACCTTTAACTTCTTAAATTTAGATGATAAATTTCAATCAGCCATAGAAAAATATTTTGTAAAAGTCCCTCTATACATAAAACCTGTGGTGCTATGCAAAGATGTAAATAGTAATGTATGGTGTGGTCCAAATAATTTGCTAATGTGGAGAGGAGGATATGCCTGTGTTCACAACCCCTCAGGTCCTTTTTGGGCATGGCATGGCTGGGACCCAACCCAGTACCAGAAATGAAAAACATGACCCTGCAGGACCCACAGCCCTGGACAATGTGGCTTCCTCAGACAACACAGGTCCCAGATATTATGCTGAAGAAGACTACTCAGGAGGCTGAGTGAATCCTGCTTTGGACACAAACACCATTCATACTAGAAAATTTCTTCCTTGCTGTGCTTTCTGTTGTACATTGCAACTCTCTTAGGGTATTAACCTTTCTTATTCTCTTACTTTGCCCACAAACCACACCTGCTGCTCTCTACCGGGCCCATTTTCTAGATCTGCCTTTTCCCCACGCTGTTACTTTTGCAGACACCCCCATCTAACTGTGTAACTGCCCGGCTTGCTGGGAGGGGTTGACATACCCTCAGTGGGGTTCCTTAGTAGTGACACACATTGGACTGAGGTGTCAAGTAACACTGCACATCACTTCTTGATTGAAAAATAATAATACTGATTATATTCATGATTGTCTTATATTATTTGCTATATCTAGGATGCAAAGCCAGAGCATGAGCTGTAACTACTGTGCCTGTCAAGCTGGTCACTGTACACATCTGTACTCTTCAATCAATAAAACCTGATGCAAAAAGCAGAAAGGGGGGAGATGTAGGAGATTAGTCAGAGTGGTGGGAGAAGCCAGGGAAAGGAGCAGGCCTTCTGAAATGTCAGAAGGCTCTGCATAGCTTCAAGGGAGAATAAGCTGAAGACAGCTTTTCTCTTACTCTGAGGCAGAGGGTGAGAAATAGGTACAAGGGAGTGTGGGGAAATTTATCTTAAATAGGCTTGTTTACTTATGTTGTCTGAAAACTGACCTTTGATCATCTGCCTGTGTGACTGTTCCCTGAAAGGGGGGACAATAATCTTGATTACCCACAGATTGTGTTTGCTCCAAGCTTTTGGCATCCTGTCTGATTGAATAAAAGCAAGAAGCTCTAGCTGTTTTGGGACTGCTCACTCTTTGGCCACCAATACTTGGTGGTCCCCTAGCTGCTCTTGCACTGCATACCTGTGTCTGAGTACTCCTTTCATTCATTGCTCAGCCAGGGTCTGCACAACAGACCTGCCATCACAGGACCTATAAAACAAAAATACAACAATAAAAAAGGCCCACAAGAAACAAATGTCATGATGAATGGAATAGTACCTCACCTCTCAATACTAACATGGAATGTAATTGGGCTAAATGCTCCAGTTAAAAGATATGGAAGTGCAGAAGAGATAAGAATTAAACAAAACCTCTCTGTTGCCTTCAATAGACTCAGCTGTTGGGGTGATAAGAACCAACACCAGGTTGTGGGGGCTATGAAGTCCTGTTGAGTCAAAGGAATGAGACAAGACAAGTTAAGAATACAGAGAGTGGGTCTGGGGCCAATGTCTAGTATGGAGGCTATGGAGGCCCCGAGCTCTAGGAGCCCACACTATTTATTGGAATTAAACAAAGAAGCAGGTGGTGAGGACTTGCAGACGTCGGGGTAGACAGGTGAGGATGTGAGGACAGGGGGGTAGAAAGGTAGTGGTGAATCAAGCATAGATGTGATGGTTTAGTGTATGCTCTGCTATTTGAGATAAGGGAGAATAGGTTCTTCTAATTCAAGGTACAACCAATTTATAGTCTTCAGAGAGCAAGGAGCAAGGGGCCAGCAAGTCTGGACACATTCCAGAGGCTACAAGGTGTTTTATGCCCTGAACTCTGGGTTCTATCCAAGCCACAAAGGGTTTCATGCCCTGGGCTCAGATTGTATTGTGGTAGGGCAGCCTTCCACCCTTTGGCACAGAGCTTGGTGTTCCATAGTCCACAAGGGGTTTTAGACCTTGGACCCAGGACATGTTCCAAGACTTTTTTACATTAAGTCAGACAAGCAAGCCCTGCCTCAGCTCTTCTGCCAACATGTCTCCCTTTTCTGTTCTGCAAAACTGCCACAGCTATCATTGCTTGTTCTCAGCGGTGGCTTTGTCTCCAGAGGCGACTTCCACATCTGTAGACTAAAAGGACAGCACATGCACATAATTATAAGAACAAAGTTTAAAAGCGCAGGGTTTCCAATGGTCTTAATCCATTTAAGAGAATTGATTGCAGACAACCCATTGGCTGCCTTGCTTAAAATATCAGTTCAGGAGAGCAGTGTTAATTGAGCTTGAAAGGCTTCAAAAGCCTGCTCTTTCCATTTTACAACATAGAGGATGAGATTTTCCTCTCTGCCTTCAAGATGGCATTTAATTCTTTCCCACTGGTGTCCTGTTTCATTGTAACTATGAAGAGTAATGCAAAAATCAGATGTATTCCAATCATATTGCATTGAATTCTGGTTTCTAAACTTATAATGTTATCCCCCATCCCAGTTACTGTCTGATGGAGATCATTAATTTGATTAACTGTCTTTCAACCTATTTGGGCTTGAGAGTTCCATAATTTCATAGAATTCTTTTGCATTTATCAACAAATTCAACTGTTTGCACAGATGGGTGTAAATCCACACCAGCTAGTGCAGCAGTAGTGGTAACTGCAATGAGGCCAATTATAGCAAATGTAAGAGCAACTATACATCTTTTTTAATGGGATAAGAGTTTTTTAAGGATCTCAGTTATAATATGAATGGATGATGATGCCTCACATGGTCTGTTTAGAGACACAGGGATCCAAACTCCTTCTATGGCTCTAATCCACAATATAATTTCACTTTTATCAAAGGTTGAGTTAATGCAAGTAAACAAGTGACAATGTAGGTGATAAAAGAGGTATTCCTGTAAGGAGTAATATTTCCTATTGCTAACATAAAAGGTGGCTGGATGCAACTTTGAATCCAAAATGTCCTGTTAGAAAGAAAAGAGAGAATATATTTATCTTTACCTCCCTCCCCTTTATACTTATTGTATTTACCATCCTAAATTTTGATTGAACTTTGAGCCATTGCCAATTTCCATAATTCTGAATGTTCCTGTCGTATGGCAGGAGATATCATTTTTGAACTAGGGGTGACAATCCATCAGGGCTCATATGATAGTGACATCAGCTTCCATCTGACTATACTGTATATGGTTCTCTTTCCAACGATTCCATCGGCTTATTTCATTTTTTCTACAAGAGGGCATTCTGATGCAATTTTTCTTAAAAATCCCCTTAGGGGACCAATCAATGATGATTCCATAGGAATTATTTTGTAACACCTCAGCCTTACTTGCTATAAAATTTTCCCCATTCCAAGCATCCACACCTTCAAACCAAAGTCTATTTTGTTTACATTCGAGTTTGTCTGGACAGAACTGCTGAGATTTAGTGCTAGAATGGTTATATTTTAAACTTTGTCCCAAAATCATATGTAAAGTAGCTTGTGATTTAGTTTTTTCTGGGGATTACTACCAATCATACTTGTGTGCTAATTTGTAAGCAATCCAGCAGCAGGTCCTAGGCATATTGGAGGATATTTATATCCTATTGACATATTCATCTTCATCCCTTCCTCATTAGGATGCATTGGCCCTCAGTTATCTCTGGGCTCAGGCATCCAGGTACTGTCATTGTTGTGCACCTCAATGACAGGGTCCATCCAACTCACAGACTCACAGGGTCCTCCTTCATTAAAGGAGGAAATGGGACATATGCCCAATAAGTAAAATTTTGAGTTGCTCCTACAGTAGGGAGGCTTATCATTTGTTTCAGGCGTTCTGGCTCTTCCCAGAGTCCTCTCTTCCTGGTGTGGCTCATGACAAATCTTCAGATGTTTGGTGGGAACAAACAGAGGCACCTGATTGACACCTGGAGAGACACAAACATATCCTCTTCCCCATGTAATTATTTTTCCCTTTTATCAGCTCTTTGTATGTGCATCCCTCCAGCATATATCTTGTCCAGACTTTTTATTTTCCTTTTGTCCCATCAGATGTTGTTCAACTGCTGTCTTGGGTTGACCTTTTTGTAAATTAAAAAATTTAATGTTAATAAAGCTAGGTGTAATTTTATATGTGGGGTTTTATATTCCTGGTCTCCATCTTTCTGTTTTTGTAACTGAGTTTTTTAAGGTACAATTAGCTCTTTCAACTATTACTTGTCCCTGTGAGTTATATAGAATACCTGTAGTATGAATAATATTCCACTGTTGAAAAAATGCAGCCATGGCTTTGCTTCAATACCCTGGGCTATTATCAGTTTTGATTTTTTTCTGGGATTCCCCTAACTGTAAAGCAAGAAAAAACATGCTTTTAAACATGAGCTGTAGCTTCCCCTGTTTGACATGTGTCCCAGATAAAATGTGAATAAGTATCTACTGAAACATGAACAAAGGACAATTTTCCAAAAGCAGGAATGTGTGTTACATCCCTCTGCCAGATGGAATTTGGAAATAAACCTCTAAGGTTAACTCCTGCTCCCTGATATGGCAGATGTAGAACTTGACAGGCAGAGCAGTGTTGCACAATTTCCTTAACCTGATTCCAGGATAACCCATATCTTTTTCTGAGGCCTGCAGCATTAAGATGGGATAAGGAATGGAATGTTTATGCATCAGTAAAAGCCACAGAAACCAGTGCATCTGTTCCTTGATTAAATTTAGTTAAAAGACCAGGGAGGTTATTATGTGCTTTTATATGAGTAATATAGAAAGGGAAATGTCTTTGTTGTACCGCTTGTTGTAAAGAATGAAATAAAAGATTAAGTTGTCCAGTCACATTGTGAATTAAGGCACATTCAATATTTTGTGTGGCTTGCACCACATAAGTTGAATCATAAACAATATCAGCTGGCTGTTTAAAAGTTTTCAGTACTGTAATTACAGCTGTAAGTTCAGCCCTTTGAGCAGAAGCAAAGTCAGTTTGAAAAACTTGTGGTCGACGTCCCACAAATGAGGTTTTCCCATTACTAGACCCACCAGTAAAGACAGTAATAGCCCCTTCAATAGGGCCTTTTTGAGTAATAGAAGTCAATATCCAGGATGTTAATTTTAGAAACTGGAATATTTTGAATTTAGGATAATGATTATCAAGAATGCCAACAAAACCTGCCAAATTAACTTGCCAGTCCTGGGAATTAATATAAGCTTGCTGAATTTGTTGTTCATTTAATGGAACTATAATATGATTTGGATCATATCTCATTAAATTTGTTGTGCACAGCCTTGCTTGTCCTATTAGTACAGCAATTTGATCTAGGTACAGAGTAAACATTTTGGTTGTATTGTGAGGGAGAAAAAGCCACTCAACAAAATCATTTTGTTGAAAAATAACTCCTGTAGGTGAATGTTTAGTAGGGAAAACTAAAAACCGTAATGGCTGCATAGGGCTAATTCATTTCACCCATGCTTGTTGAATTTTTTCTTCAATTAATGGAAGTTCCTTTAATGCATCTTTGGACAGGGAGCATTTACTATTTAAGTTAGAATCCCCTCATAAAGTAGAAAAAAGATGAGACATAGCATAGGTAGGAATGCCTAAAGTTGGATGAATCCAATTATTGTCTCAATAATTTTTGAAAGTCATTTAAAGTTTTTAAATTATTTCTTCAAATTTGAACATTTTGAGGCTTAATAGCACTTTGTTCTACCTTCATTCCTAAATATTGAAAGGGAGTAGAAGTTTGGATTTTATTGGGGGCTATAATTAATCCTGCTGCAGTTACAGCCTTTTCTATCTGTTTGTAGCATAGTATTAATTCCTTCTTAGTTTCAACTGCACCTAAAATATCATCCATGTAATGGATAATATAACATTTTTAAAATTGTTCTCTAACTGTCTTAATAGATTTTCCAACATAAATTTGACAAATAACTGGGCTATTTAACATGCCTTGTAATACTTTCCAATGGTATCTGTCCACTGGTTCTTTGTTATTTACAGCAGGAACAGTAAAAGCAAATTTTTCATAATCTTGGGTAGCTAAAGGAATGGTAAAGAAATAATCTTTTAAATCTATCACTATTAGAGGCTGGTATTTTGGGATCATTGTTAGAGAGGGCAGCCCTGGTTGCAGTGCACCCATGGGTTGAGTTACAGCATTAACAGCCCTCAAATCTATTAACGTTCTCCATTTCCCTGATTTTTTCTTAATAACAAACAAAGGAGAATTCCAAGGGGAGAAAGTAGGCTCTGTGTGTCCCTTTTGCAACTGTTTCTGCACTCAATTTTTTAAAGCCTCCAGTTTTTCCTGTTTCAGTGGCCATTGTTCCACCCAAACCAGTTTGGTAGTTACCCAAACCAGTTTGGTAGTTAGCCAAACAAGAGGAATGGGAGCAGGAGGCTTAGCAATGGCTGCTTCTAAAAATGATACCCTAATCTGGTTCTATCTGTTTGCCTTTTTAGTTCTACGGGTTCTGATTGGCCGCTTTCATTCTTTCCTAATCCTTTTCCCAGGGGATATCCCATATTTTTCATCATTTGTTTACCGTTATTACTACACTGATCCAAAGGAATAGATATTTCAGCACCCTATTTGCAATAAGTCTCTACCCCATAGATTGACAGGAATAGGTATAATAATAGGTTGAATTGTTTCTTCCTAGCCATCTGGCCCTTGACATGGTAAAATCAAGGAACTTTGAAAAACTTCTGAAGCAGCTCCTACTCCAACAGTACCGATGGATGCCTTTTGTTGGGGCCAGTGTTGGGGCCACTGATTTAAAGCAATAATAGAAACATCAGCTCCAGTATTTACTAACACTTTAAAGTCTATGTCTTGAATGGCTACTGTACAAATAGGTCTCTTATCAGACACTTGATTAACCCAATATACAGCTTTTCCTGCTGGGCTAGTAATGTTGCTTACTGGTAGAAGCCCTTGCCAGTTGATTTCCTTTTTTACCTTCCTTTTTTGTGTGTCCAAATTGCCCACAATTAAAACAAGAGCCTGGGAAATGGGGCATATATTTTCCCACCTTTAGTCCAGCCATAGCTTGATCTAATAGAGTAGCCTTATGTAAGTTACCCCCAATGCCATCACAAGCCTTATTATATTCAGCCAAATGAACCTTCCTTCTCATAGGTATAATAGCATTTTGACAATCTGTATTAGCATTATTATATGCAAGAAGCTGTATTCCAACATCGTGAGCTGGTTTGTCAGTAATGGCCTTATACACAGCCTCCTGGAGCCAAGCAATAAAATCAGTATGTGGTTCTTTAGCTCCTTGTCAGACAGAACTGAAAGAAGGGTATTTTTCTCCTGTAACATTTATTCTATCCCTCCCCCATATGCACACGGTGAGTAACTGAACAATGGCAACATTCTTCATTACTGCTTCATTTTCTAATCGACCCCAATTAGGGCTGACTCCCATTTCTTTGTTGGTTTAAAGCCTAAAACACCAAAAGCAATAGCAACAAAAGCCAAAATTGACAAATGGGATCTAATTAACTAAAGAGCTTCTGCACAGCAAAATAAACCACCATCAGAGTGAACAGACAACCTACAGAATGGGAGAAAACTTTTACAATCTACTCATCTGACAAAGGGCTAATATCCAGAATCTGCAATGAACTCAAACAAATTTACAAGAAAGAAACAAACAACCCCATCAAAAAGGGGGCAAAGGATGTGAACAGACACTTCTCAAGAGAAGAAATTTTTGCAGCCAAAAGACACGTGAAAAAATGCTCATCATCACGGGCCATCAGAGAAATGCAAATCAAAACCACAATGAGATATCATCTCACACCAGTTAGAATGGCGATCATTAAAAAGTCAGGAAAAAACAGGTGCTGGAGAGGATGTGGAGAAATAGGAACGCTTTTACACTATTGTTGGGACTGTAAACTAGTTCAACCATAGTGGAAGTCAGTGTGGCGATTCCTCAGAGATCTAGAACTAGAAATACCATTTGACCCAGCAATCCCATTACTGGGTATATAGCCAAAGGATTATAAATCATGCTGCTACAAAGACACACACAAGTATATTTATTGCGGCATTATTCACAATAACAAGGACTTGGAACCAACCCAAATGTCCAACAATGATTGGCTGGATTAAGAGAATGTGGCACATATACACCATGGAATACTACGCAGCCATAAAAAATGATGAATTCATGTCCTTTGTAGGGATGGATGAAGCTGGAAACCATTATTCTCAGCAAACTATCGCAAGACAAAAAACCAAACACCACATGTTCTCATTCATAGGTGGGAATTAAACAATGAGAACACATGGACACAGGAAGGGGAACGTCACACACTGGGGCCTGTTGTGGGGTTGGGGGAGAAGGGAGGGATAGCATTTGAAGATACGCCTAATGTTAAATGATGAGTTACTGGGTGCAGCACACCAACATGGCAACATGGCACATGTATACGTATGTAACAAATGTGCATTTGTGCACATGTACCCTAAAACTTGAAGTAAAATAATAATAAAAAATTTCCAGCAAAACCAGTAGGGTTCTGGTGAGGATAAGGAAGTTTTTCAGTTCTTATTTTAAATTCTACTTTTGGTCATGACTGATAAAGTACTGCAGGTTGTGTCCTACAAGACACTGGCACTTCAAGAAGGAAAGAGCGACATCAGAAGGAACAAGAGGAGGATAGATAAAAAGGAGGTAGATCTGGGCAAGGTACTTCACATTATAAATAATACAGAAAAACTGAGGAAAATATTTCAGCAGTCCTTTTAAATTCAGAAATTGTTTTAGACAATTTTTTTTGTTGCATTGAAGAAATAACTTTATTAGAAGACCCATTAGATGTTTCCAAATACCATTTGTATTAGGCTGCTCTCATGCTACTGATCAAGACATACCCAAGGCTGGGCAATTTACAGAAGAAAGAGGTTTAATGGGCTTACAGTTACACATAGCTGAGGAGGCCTCAAAATTTTGGCAGAAGACAAGGAAGAGCAAGTCATGTGTTACATGGATGGCAGCAGGCAAAAAGCAGAGTTTGTGCAGAGGAACTCTTCTTTAAAGAAACCATCAGATCTCATGAGACTTATTCACTATCATGAGAACAGCATGGGAAAGACTTGCCCCCATGATTCAATTACCTCCTGCATGGTCTCTCCTATAAAACCTGGGAATTCATGATGAAATTTGGGTGGGAAGATAGCCAAACCATATCATTCCACCCTGGACCCCCCAAATCTCATGTCCTCATTTCAAAACCAATCATGCCTTCCCAACAGTCCCCTAAAGTCTTACCTCATTTCAGCATTAACTCAAAAGTCCACAGTCCAAAGTCTCATCCAAGTCAAGTCAGGCTCCTTCTGCCTATGAGCCTGTAAAATCAAAAGAAAGTTAATTACTTCTTAAATACAATGGGAGTACAGGCATCAAATAAATACAGCCATTCCAAATGTAAGAAATTGATGAAAACAAAGGGGCTACAGGCCGCATGCAATTCTGAAATCCAGTGGGTCAGTCAAATCTCAGATCTCCAAAATGATCTCCCTTGACTCATGTCTCTCCTCCACATCATGTTGATGTAAGAGGCGGGTTTCCATGGTCTTGGGCAGCTCCACTCCTCTGGTTTTGCAGTGTATAGCTTCTCTCCCAGCTGCTTTCATGAGCTATTTTTGAGTGTTTGTGGCTTTTCCAGGTGTGTGGTGCAAGCTATAAGTGGATCTACCATTCTAGGGCTTGGGGGACAGTGGCCCTCTTCTCACAGGGTTGCTAAGTGGTACCACAGTGAGGAATCTGTGTGGGGGCTCTAACCCTACATTTCCTTTCTGAACTGCTGTAGCAAAGGTTCTCCAGGAGGGCCCTACCCTTGCAGCAAACTTCTGCCTGGGCATCCAGGTACTTCCATACGTCTTCTGAAATCTAGGCGGAGGTTCCCAAACTGCAATTCTTGACTTCTGTACACTTGCAAGCTCGACATGGCATGGAAGCTGCCAAGGTTTGGGACTTACACCTTCTGAAGCCATGGCCTTAGCTGTATGTTGGCCCCTTAGAGCCACAACTAGAATGGCTGGGATGCAGGGCACCAAGTCCCTAGGTTGCACACAGCATGGCGACCCTGGATCCAGCCCATGAAACTCCTTTTTTCACCTCAGTGTCCAGGTCTGTGATAACAGGGGCTGCTGAGAAAACTTCTGACATACTGGGAGACATTTTCCCCATTGTCTTGTGGATTAACATTTGACTTCTTTTTAGTGATGCAAATTTCTGCAGCCAGCTTGTATTTCTCCTCAGTAATGAGATTTTCTTTTCTATCATATTGTCAGGGTTCAAATTTTCTGAACTTTTATGGTCTGCTTCTCTTATAAAATTGAATGTCTGGCGGTGTGCAGTGGCTCATGCCTGTAATCTCAGCGCTTTGGGAGGCCGAGGCAGGCAGATCACAAAGTCAGGAGATCAAGACCATCCTGGGTAACACAGTGAAATCCTGTCTCTACTAAAAATACAAAAAATTAGCCAAGGATGGTGGCAGGCACGTGTAATCCCACCTACTCAGGAGGTTGAGGCAGGAGAATGGTGTGGACTCAGGAGGTGGAGCTTTCAGTGGGCCGAGATCCTGCCACTTCACTCTAGCCTGGGTGACAGAGAGAGACTCCGTCTCAAAAAAAAAAATAAAATAAAATAAAAAAATGAGCCAGGCATGGTGGCATGTGTCTGTAATCCCTGCTACTCAGAAGGCTGAGGCAGGAGAATTGCCTGAACCTGGGAGGTGGAGGTTGCAGTGAGCTAAGATTGCGTCATCAGCCTGGGTGAAAAAGCAAGACTCCATCTCAAAAAAAAAAAAAAAAAAAAAAAAAGAAGAAGAAACTGAATGCCTTTAACAGCACCTATTGAACGCTTGCTGCTTAGATATTTCTTCCAGTAGATATCCTAAGTCATCCTTCTCAAGTTCAAATTTCCACAAATCTGTAGGGCAGGGGCAAAATACCACGTCTCTTTGCTAAAACATAATAAGAGTCACCTTTGCTCCAGTTCCCAACAAGTTTCTTATCTCATCTGAAACCACCTCAGTCTGCATTTTATTTTTCATAGCATTATCAGCATTTTGGTCAAAGCGATTCAAAAAGTCTCTAGGGAGTTCCAGACTTTCTCACATTATCCTGTCTTCTGAGCCCTCCAAAGTGTTCCAACCTTTGTCTGTAACCCAATTCCAAGGTCACTTTTACATTTTCAGGTATCTTTTCAGCAGCTGATACCAATTTACTGTATTAGTGTGTTCTCATGCTGCTGATAAAATATACCCAATACTGGGCAATTTATGATAGAAAGAGGATTAATAGACTTACATTTCTACATGGCTGAGGAGGCCTCAAAAACATAGTAGAAGACAAGGAGGAACACGTCTCATTTTACATTGATGGTAGCAGGCAAAGGGAGAGAGCTTGTGTAGGGAAACTATAAAACCATTAGATCTCATGAGACTTATTCACTATCACAAGAACAGCACAGAAAACTCTTGCCCCATGATTACTCCCACAGGTCCCTCCCACAACACATAGAAATTCATGGAGAGATTTCAGTGACAACACAGACAAAGCATATTAACATTGTCAGAAAAACTCTCTGAATTATTTTGTTTTCTCTTACAGCTGGCTATTTCTTTTTAAATTCAGTGTACATGTAAGTTCATTTAGGCATGTCAAGGTTACCGCATTTTTGGCATTGCGATTTTGGATATTCACAAATTATGTGAGATTGTTTTCCTAAATAATTACAAAAGATGGCACCATAAGTATTGTACATGAACCCTGTTGGGTCTCTAAAACTGGATCTCTCGTTAAGGAGAAAGACTTGGTTTTGAATGAACACTTGTCTCTAATTTGGATTCTCTTCTTAAGTGACCAAAGTCTGTAAGGAAAATTTTGGTCAGTCAAGAAGAAATTATATATACAAATACATATCAATTGAACCAAGCTTTAGTTTTAAAAATAATAAATTTTGCTCAAGCCAAGATGACTCCATTTTTCTTTTCAGAGGTAAATTCTTTTTTTTCCTCCTTGACCAAATTTGAGCTAGAGGAAATGTTACAAACAAGAAAGGCTACAAGCAAGTAAGACAAACAAAACCTTAAATTCAAAGGAAAGTGAAACCCACACCTGCAAACAGCAGAATATCTGGAGAAATAACACACAGAATTCTTTTTTTTATATATATACTTTAAGTTCTAGGGTACATGCGCACAACGTGCAGGTTTGTTACGTATGTATACATGTGCCATGTTGGTGTGCTGCACCCAGTAACAGGTCATTTCCGTTAGGTATATCTCCTAATGCTACCCCTCCCCCCTTCCCCAGCCACACAACTAGTCCCAGTGTGTGATATCCCCCTTCCTGCATCCAAGTGTTCTCATTGTTCAATTCCCACCTATGAGTGAGAACATGTGGTGTTTGGTTTTTTGTCTTGCGATAGTTTGCTGAGAATGATGGTTTCCAGCTTCATCTGTCCCTACAAAGGACATGAACTCATCATTTTTTATGGCTGCATAGTATTCCATGGTGTATATGTGCAACATTTTCTTAATCCAGTCTATCGTCGTTGGACATTTGGGTTGGTTCCAAGTGTTTGCTATTGTGAATAGTGCTGCAGTAAGCATACTTATGCATGTGTCTTTATAGCAGCATGATTTATAATCCTTTGGGTATATACCCAGTAATGGGATGGCTGGGTCAAATGGTATTTCTGGTTCTAGATCCCTGAGGAAACTTCAGACTGACTTCCACAATGGTTGAACTAGTTTACAGTCCCACCAACAGTGTAAAAGTGTTCCTATTTTTCCACATTCTCTCCAGCACCTGTTGTTTCCTGACTTTTTAATGATTACCATTCTAACTGGTGTGAGATGGTGTCTCATTGAACACACAGAATTCTTACCTTAAGAAACAGAGTTTCAAATTCAGCTCCATTAGGGAACTTGAATAAAGTCTTAATCTTGGCTTAAACCAGGGAGACTATCCCAGAGAAACACCACAGAAACAATCCCAGCCACCCGTACAGCCTCTGATGATGTCAGAAGTTATGACAGGAAGTGGACATTGAACATCCTTATTATGCCCTCCTCCCTTTGGTGTTTAGGCACAACTGACCAGCATTAACATTAAAACAGAAATCATAAGACTGATAAAACATAGTTTTTATAAGAATAGGATATTCAGCTCTAACCTGACTGATACGACATCACATGAGAGATAGTAGGCAGTGAAGGAAATGAATGTATTTTACCCCAAAATGTATTTCTTTGACATATTTGGAAATGACTCTGCAAAACCATCTCTTGTGAGGAAAACTTACATTCTGCAGAGAATCTATTTCCCTTACTAGTTCTCTGGAGAGTCTGATACTTTTAGTAAGAGACATTCACATGTATTCTCCTTAAACCCTGCTACCTGAAGGCTTTATCCACATTTCAAGAACCTTGGCTTCTACACTCCTACACCTTCTTACCATACCTCAATCATTTTTTATGACAATTTTAACTCTTCAGACAAGCTTAACTCTTTCAACCAGCTGCTAATTAGGAAACCTCTGAATCTTCCTATGATTCAGAGATGTTTCCCATATCTAGTACTATAAAACTGAAGTCACATAAATCTTCCCTTTGAGAAATGTTAATTGGACATGCGAACTAGGAACTAGGAAGATCACTTGAGCCCAAATAGTGTAAAGTAGAAGCTGGGGTGCTAGTCAAGAAAAATCCTCCACTTCATAGCCTTGTGGAAAACTTATTGGGGCTTATACCAAAAGCCTGTTAGCACTTCCCAATGACAATGACTTAAATAGAGAATTTCCACTTGAGGGGCACTTACTGCCTTGCTATGGGATGTTTACTGAGCTTCCCCTATGCTAATGGAAATAATGGTGCCCAAAATTTTCATGATAAATTAATAATGTTTTACATGGGATCTTGCTATCTGCCAAAGCAAGGAGGAAACACTTATGAGGAGCGATCCTCCTTTTTCTCCAGGACTGACTCTAATCATGTGAAGAGCTGCCAGATTTTACAATGTCTGGTAGCTCTCATCTGTCAAAAGCGGCTAGCATATGAGTGGCAGTTCCAAGGTATACAAATAAGATCTTGTTTGAAAGACGGATGCTCTGGCTAAAATAGAGTCAAGGAAATCTTTTTCTTTTGGTTTATTTATGGCTTAGTGCCTTTGGGTGAAGTGTGCTTTTGTGAGCAAATTTACCTTTTTCTCTGAGTTCCCCAAAATTTAGAAACTATAATTTTATGACACCACAGTTATTTCTGTAAGTTTACTAAGTCTTTTCTTTTAAAATAGGACAACTGGAAATATTGGTTACGTTAAGAAGACTGACTAGAATAACATATTATTAGGTAAAATTCCAGCAAATCCAACTTAAAAGGAGCATATATGTCCAATCCATTCTTGTATTTTATGCAAATAATTAAGCTAAGTACAACAAACCTGAAACTTCTTTTACACAAAAATTTGTCCTACTCTTATTTCTCTTTAACAAAAAATGAGGGCTAGAGGGAGAGAAATTGTTTCAAAGGAAAGGTACAACATTTGTTTCTAGATTTCAATTCTGACCTTTGTTTTTGAATGCAGATTCAATTATGAGTTATTTCTTGGCTACAATGATACTTTTAAGAGGGCCAGATTACAACTTTTTTCATATTTTTATTTGGCATACTAATGGAATAGCTTCCTTTTTTTGTTCTGACACACAAATGCTCTTTTGATGCCAAAATACTAACGTTATTTTTCTCTCCTTGTTTTACTTCCAAGGAAATCGGAATTAAGGTATTCTGAACACTAGAGATGCCAGTCTCCCTCATTTGACATCCAACTGGACCTGACCTGTTTTTCTCTGCAAATGCCCTGCTGCTAAGACTATATAAGTACTCTCCCTCTAGGCAGAGACTGTCACAAAGAGGTGGCCATGTGAGATTGTAAACGCTGGTATTGAGGAATAGAATTATTTCAGATGCTTCAAATTAGGAATGGACATTGTGATGCCTAAACAGCTGGTAAAATGACTCTGCCTTCCAAGCTATTTTGTGACACCTTTTTATCCATTCCAACCATAAAGTTTGTTAAATCTATTGACTTTATGTCTCTTTTCTATAGGAGTGTCCCACTGAGAAATAGGATGTATGCAGGGAAGGCAGCCATGCTACTCCAGCAATACTATGGGACAAAATAAAAATTTGGTAGTCAGTGATGTTGCCTCTGGCAAGTCTTGGCCAGAAATGGGAGAATGTAAACAAAAAATAAAATTCTAAGCCTCCTGATCATCTGAAAGCATGCTTCCTCTAGGAAAGGCATTACAAAGCTAAGCTGAAAAATTAATTCAGGCCATGATATGAAGTGGGGGTTGGACATGCCTTATTATACCTTCCTCTCTTTTGTAATTAATGATAGAACAGAGGGTTTAAGTTTGATAAGAAACATTTATTGGCTGGGCACTGTGGTTCACACCTGTAATCCTGGCATCTTATGAAGTAGAGGCAAGCAGATTGTTGAATTCCAGAGTTTGAGACAGGGATGGGCAACATGGTGGACCCCTATCTGCACAAAAAATACAAAACCAAGGTATGAATGGTGATATATGCTAGAAGTCCCAGCTACTTGGGAAGCTGAGGCAGGAGGATGACTTGAGCCCAGAAGATGAAGGCTGCAGTGAGCCAAGATCGTGCCACTGCACTCTAGTCTGGGTGACAGAGTGAAAACCTGTCTCAAAAGGGTAAAAAATACAAAAGAAAAATATTTATTCTATTCTTTATGAAGTTTGCTACCTAGAAGCTTCACATGCCTAATAAAACAACCCCTTCTCATAACCTAGACATTTCTAAGTCTTTAGACAGTAACTTAACTTTCAACCAATTGCCAATTATAAAATATTTGAATTGACCTGTGATTTGGAAGCCTCTCTCCCTTGTCCCCGTTTCCAGTTTCCCACCTTTCTGAACTGAGCCAATGTACATCTTACATGTATTTGATTGATATCTCCATGTCTCCCTAAAATGTATTAAGCCAAGTTTTACATCAACCACCTTGGACATGTATTCTTAGGGTCTTCTGAGGGCTATGTCATAGGCCACTAGTCACTCATATTTGGCTCAGAATAAATGTGTTCAAATATTTTACAGAATTTGATTCTTTGTTGACCCTACTGAGAGCTGAAGCCAGCTGGGCTTCTGGGTCAGGTGGGTACTTGGAGAACCTTTCTGTCTAGCTAAAGGATTGTAAGCACACCAATCAGTGCTCTGTGTCTAGCTAAAGATTTGTAAATGCACCAATCAGCACTCTTTAAAAATGCATCAGTCAGCACTCTGTGTCTAGCTAAACGTTTGTAAACACACCAATCAGCACTCCATAAAAATGGACCAATCAGCACTCTGTAAAATGGACCTATAAGTGCTACATAAAATGGACCGATCAGCAGGATGTGGGTGGGGCCAAATAAGGGAATAAAAGCTGGCCATCCTAGCCAGCAATGGCAACCGGCTCAGGTCCCCTTACATGCTGTGGAAACATTGTTGTTTTGCTCTTCACAATACATCTTGCTGCTGCTCAGTCTTTGGGTCTGCATTACCTTTATGAGCTGTAACACTCATGGCAAAGGTCTGCAGCTTCACCTCTCAAGTCAGCAAGACCACGAACCCACTGGGAGGAAGAAACAACTCCAGATGTGCCACCTTTAAGAATCATAACACTCACTGCAAAGTTCTTCAACTTCACTCCTGAAGTCAGCAATACCATGAACCCACTAGAAGGAAGAAACTCTGGACACATCTGCACTACCTTTATGATCTGTAACACTCACTGCGAAGGTCTGCAGCTTCACTCCTGAAGTCAGGAAGACCAGGAACCCACTAGAAGGAAGAAAGTCTGGACACATCTGAACATCAGAAGGGACAAACTCCAGACACACCATCTTTAAGAACTGTAACACTCACCATTAGGGTCCAGAAGGAATAAACTCCAGACACATCTGGATATTAGAAGGAACAAACTCGAGACACACCTTCTTTAAGAACTGTAACACTCACCATGAGTGTCTGCGTCTTCATTCTTGAAGTAAGCAAAATGAGGAACGCACCAGAATGAAACAATTCTGGAAACATTTTGGTGACCATGAAGGGACTATCACCAAGCAGTGAGTACCATTGGATCCCTTTCACTTGTTATTCTGTCCGATTTTTCATTAGAATTTGGGGGCTAAATACTGGGCACCTTCAGCCAGTTAAAAGTCACTAGCACGGCTGCTGGACTAAAGACATGGGTGTCAGGCTTTCTGGGAAAGGTCTCTCTAACAACCCCCGACTCTTAGGATTTGGGAGCATTGGTTTGCCTGGAACCAGCTTCCGCTTTTCCTGTACTTCCAGGCTGAGGCAAGGGTCAACAGAGCGGAAAGCCATTCAGCCCTCTGGTCCTGATAAAATTTGGTTGATCCTGTGGCCATGAGTGGAACTTTCAAAGTCATGTCATCCAAGTGATACTCCCCATCTATTCTATCTATCCTGACCATTGCCACCTGGGTCTAATACCTGTCAGACAAACTTCCTCTTGGCTCTCTTCTCTGAGGCTAGTCCCACTTCTAAAAACCACTCCCTGTCTCTGCCGCTTTTCTAGTTTCTCCTATAAGAATGATTTCTAGTATAAACTTTAGGACTCTGTTACCTGCTTAAGCACCTGGGCTCACCAATTAGAAAGACACAATTTTTGCCCAAAGCCCCATTGTAGGGTGGACTGTCTGGAATTTTAAGATACCCCCTGAGACAAGCAGGCCTAACAAAAGCTATTCCTGAAGCTAGGATATGGGGAGCCTCAGAAATGATATCCTTCCTATTCAAAAGAGGACAAAAGGTATCACTCTACCAACTCTGGAGATCCCTCTCCTCCCTCAGGATATGACCCTCCCCTTCATTTTTGAGGCATAACATCTTTATAGGATATGAGCAAAGGAGAACACTTAGGACTCTAACAAGTTTTCAAGAATGCATTAGTAAGGGCCTCTAAATCCAATTTTTCTTGGTCCTCTTTGTGGTCTAGGAGGACAGGCAATGGTACAGGTTTCTGAGAATGCATTGGTAAAGGCCACTAAATCTGACATTCCTCAGTCCTCCATGTGGTCTGGGAGGAAAACTAGTGTTTCTGCTGCTGCATCGGTGAGTGCAACTATTCTGATCAGCAGGGTTCAGGGACAATTGTGGGTTCTTGGGTAAGAGGTGTTCCTGCTGCTGTGTTGGTGATCACAACTATTCCAATCAGCAGAGCCCAGGGGCCATTGCAGGTTCTTGGGCAGGGGGAGAAACAAACCAAAACCATGGGTGGTTTTGTCTTTCAGATGGGAAACACCCAGTCATCAACAGGCTCACCGTTGAAATGCATCCTAAGCCATTGGGAGCAATTTAACCCACAAACCCTGAAAAAGAGGTGGCTCATTTTCTTCTGCACTATGGCCTGGCCCCAATATTCTTTTTCTGATGAGGAAAAATGATGATCTGAGGGAAGTATAAATTACAATACTATCCTGCAGCTTGAACTTTTCTGTAAGAGAGAAGGCAAATGGAGTGAAATACCTCATATCCAAGCTTTCTTTTCATTGAAGGAGAATACATAACTATGCAAAGCTTGCAGTTTACATCCTACAGGAGGATGTCTCAGCTTACTCCCATATCCTAGCCTCCCTATAGCTCCCCTTCCTGTTTATGATAAGCCTCTTCTAATCTCCCCCACCCAGAAGGAAATAAGCAAAGAAATATCCAAAGGACCACAAAAATCCCCAGGCTATTGGTTATGTCTCCTTCAAGCTGTAGGGGGAGGGGAATTTGGCCCAAACCAGGTACATGTCCTCTTCTCCCTCTCTGATTTAAAGCAGATCAAGGCAGACCTGGGGAAGTTTTCAGATGATCCTGATAGGCACATAGATGTCCTACAGGGTCTAGGACAACCCTTCAATCTCACTTCTAGAGATGTCATGCTATTGTTAGATCAAACCCTGGCCTTTAATGAAAAGAATGCAGCATTAGCTGCAGCTTGAGAGTTTGGAGATACCTAGTATCTTAGTCAAGTAAATGACAGAATGACAGCTGAAGAAAGGGATAAATTCCCTACTGGTCAGCAAGCCAAGCCCAGTATGGATCCCCACTGGGAACTTGACTCAGATCATGGGGATTGGAGTTGTAAACATCTGTTGACCTGTGTTCTAGAAGGACTACTGAAAATTAGGAAAAAGTCCATGAATTATTCAATGATGTCCATCATAACTCAGGGAAAGGAAGAAAATCCTTCTGCCTTCCTTGAGTGGCTACAGGAGGCGTTAAGAAAATATACTCACTTGTCACCCAACTCACTCAAGGGTCAACTGATTTTAAAAGATAAGTTTATTACCCAATCAGCAACAGATACCAGGAGAAAGCTCCAAAAGTGAGCCCTGGGCCCTGAACAAAATCTAGAGGCATTATTAAATCTGGCAACCATGGTGTTCTATAATAGGGACCAAGAGGAACATATCCCAAAGGAAAAGCGAGATAAGAGAAAGGCCTTAGTCATGTCGCTCAGACAAACAAACCTTGGTGGTTCAGAAAGGAGAGAAAATGGAGCAAGCCAATCACCCCATAGGGCTTGTTGTCAGTGTATCTTACAAGGACACTTTGAAAAAATTGTTCAAAAGGAAACAAGTCCCCCCTCATCCATGGCCACTATGCTGAGGCAATCACTGGAAGGCACACTGCCCCAGAGTGCAAATGTTCTCTGGGACAGAAGCCCCCAACCAGATGATCCAACAACAGGACTGAGGGTATCTGGGGCAAGCACTAGCTCATGTTATCACCCTCACTGAGCCCCAGGTATATTTAACCATTGAGGGCCAGGAAACTGACTTTCTCCTGGACATGGGTGTGGCTTTCTCATTGTTAATCTCCTGTCCTGGAAGACTGTCCTCAAGGCCCGTTACCATCTGATGAATCCTGGGACAGCCTGTAACCAGGTATTTCTCCCACCTCCTCAGTTGTAAGTGGGAGACCTTGCTCTTTTCACATGCCTTTCTTGTTATGCCTGAAAGTCCCACACCCTTATTAGGGAGGGATACGTTAGCCAAAGCTGGAGCTATTATCTTTATGAATATGGGGAACAAGTTACCCATTTGTTGTCTCCTACTGGAGGAGGGAATCAACCCTGAAGTCTGGGCATTGGAAGGATAATTTTGAAGTGCAAAAAATGCCTGTCCAGTCCAAATCAGCCTAAAATATCCCACCACTTTTCCTTATCAAAGGCAATATCCCTTAAGGCCTGAAGCTCATAAAGGATTACAGGATATTGTTAAACATTTAAAAGCTCAAGACTTAGTAAAGAAATGCAGCTGTCCCTGCAATACCCCAGTTCTATGAGTACAGAAGCCAAATGGTCAGTGGAGACTAATGCAAGGTCTTAGACTCATCAATGAGGCAGTAATTCCTCTATATGCAGTTGTACCCAACCCCTATACACTGCTCTCTGAAATACCAGAGGAAGAAGAATGGTTCACTCTTCTGGACCTCAAGTGTGCCTTTTTCTGTTCCCCTGCACACTGACTCCCAGTTTCTCTTCGCTTTTGAGGATCCCACAGATCACAGGAGGATGTCTTAGCTTACTCCCATATCCTAGCCTCCCTATAGCTCCCCTTCCTATTAGTGATAAGCCTCCTTATGTGGACGTCCACCTTACGTGGACAGTCTTGCCCCAAGGGTTTAGGGATAGCCCTCATCTGTTTGGTTAGGCACTGGCCCAATATCTAGGCCACTTCTCAAGTCCAGGCACTCTGATCCTTCAGTATGTGATGATTTACTTTTGGCTACCAGTTTGGAAGCCACATGCCAGCAGGCTACTCTAGATCTTTTGAACTTTCTAGCTAATCAAGGGTACAATATGTCTAAGTCGAAGACCAAGCTTTGCCTACATCAGGTCAAATGTCTAGGCCTAATCTTAGCCAGAGGGGCCACAGCCCCCAGAAGGGAATGAATACAGCCTATACTGGCTTATCCTTGCTCTAAGACATTAAAACAGTTGTGGCAGTTCCTTGGAATCACTGGCTTTTGCTGACTATTTGTCCCTGGATACAGTGAGATAGACAGACCCCTCTGTACTCTAATCAAGGGACCCAGAAGGCAAATAATCATCTAGTAGAATGGGAACCAGGGGGCAGAAACAGTCTTCAAAACCTTAAAACAGTACCACTAGTTCTAATACAAGCTCCAGCTTTAGGCCTTCCCACAGGACAAAACTTCTCTTTATATGTCACAGAGAGAGCAGGGATAACTCTTGGACGGCTTACTCAAACTCGTGGGACAACCCCACAACCAGTGGCCTACCTAAGTAAAGAAATTGATATAGTAGGAAAAGGCTGGCCTCACTGTTTATGGGTAGTTGTGGCGGTGGCCATCCTAGTGTCAGAGGCTATCAAACTAATACAAGGAAGGATCTCACAACTATACTACTCATGATGCAAATGTCGTATTAGGTGCCAAAGGAAGTTTATGGCTATCAGGTAACTGCCTGCTTAGAAACAAGGCACTGCTCCTTGAGGGACCAGTGCTTCAAATATATACATATGTGACCCTCAACCCTGCAACTTTTCTCCCAGAGAATGGGGAACCAATTGAGCGTGACTGCCAACAAATTGTAGTCCAGACTTATGCCACCCGAGATGATCTCCTATAAGTCCCCTTAGCTAATCCTGACCTTAACCTGTATACCAATGGAAGTTCATTTGTGGAGAATGGGATATGAAGGGCAGGTTTTGCCACAGTTAGTGATGTAAGCGTGCTTGAAAGTCAGCCTCTTCCCACAAGGACCAGCACCTAGTTAGCAGAACTAGTGGCACTTGCCAAAGCCTTAGAACTGGGAAAGGAAAAAAGAAAAAATGTGTATACAGATAGCAAGCATGCTTATCTACTACTACATGCCCATGCTGCAACATGGAAAGAAAGGGAATCTCTAACCTCTGTGGAACCCCAATTAAATATCACAAGGAAATTATAGAGTTATTGCACGCAGTGCAAAAACCAAAGGAGATGACAGTTTTACACTCCCAAAGCCATCAGAAAGGTGAAGGAGAAAAGGCAGAAGGAAACCATTGGGCATATGCTGAGGACAAAATTGCTGCCAAGCAGAAACTCCCAAGAGAAATACTTATGGAAAGACCCTTGGTATGCAGCAACTCCCACCAAGAGATTAAGCTCCAGTATTCCCTGACTGAAACAGAATGGGCACTTTCACGGGGGCATAGTTTTCTCCCCTCGGGGTGATTAACGACAGAAGGAAAGGTACTTATACCCAAAGCCAGCCAGTGGAAAATACTTAAAACCCTCCATAAAACTTTTCATATGGGTATTGAAAACACTCATCAAATGGCCAAATCCCTATTTACAGGGCCAAACCTCCTCCGGACAATTCGACAGGTAGTCACAGCCTGTGAGGTGTGCCAAAGGAATAATCCCTTGGTCCATCATAAGACCCCTTTGGGGGAAAAAGAATATGTCACTGTCCTGGAGAGGACTGATTGTTAGACTTCACTCATATGCCTAAGTCAAAGGGATTTTAATAGTTGTCGGTCTGTGTTGATATCTTTACAAATTGGATAGAATACTTCCCCTGCAAGACAAAGAAGTCTCAGGAAGTCATTAAAGTCCTAATTCATGAAATAATTCCTAGATTTGGGCTTCCCCAAGGATTACAGAGCAACAGTGGTTCGGCTTTTAAAGCCATGATAGCTCAGGGAATTTCCAGGGCATTAGGGATACAATATCTCCTTCACTGCTCCAGGAGGCCACAATCTTCAGGGAAGATCAAGAAGGCAAATGAAACACTCAAGAGGAACTTAGGGAAACTCACACAAGAAACTCATCTCCCTTAGCCTACCCTTTTGTCCATGGCCTTGTTGAGAATCTGAAATTCTCTTCACAAAATGGGGCTCAGTCCATATGAAATGCTCTATGGATGACATTTTCTCACAAATGACCTCTTACTTGATCAGGATATGGCCAACTTGGTCAAAGATATAACTTCTTTGGCAAAATGTCAATAAAACCTTGAAAAACTACCTGAAGGATGTCACAGAGAAAAGGGAACAGAATTGTATCAACCAGGAGATTTAGTGTTGGTCAAATCTCTCCCCTCTACCTCACCATCTATGGACTCTTTGCGAGAAGGACCATACTTGGTAATCCTCTCTACTCCCACTGCAGTTAAGGTGGGAGGAGTGGAATCTTGTATTCATCATACCAGAGTTAAATTTTGGACACTCCCTGTGGAACCTGTGGGACTGTCAGCTCAGGAGTCCCAAGATCAGCCAGACCAGTCTTGATAAACCTGTGAACCATTGGAGGACTTACATCTCCTATTTCAGAAGGAACTATCCCAGACCAAAATGCTCCTACAAGTGATCCTGAAGAGAAATCCCTTCCTCCTTAAAAAAGATAAGTGAAAACCTACATAATCTTTAACACTCTTCTTGCCCCTTTAATGGAATCCTTTCATTATTATTAAGCAGTATATTAACCATATATTATTCATTATTATTAAGCAGTATACATTATTAAGCAGTATACTAACCATACTCTTTGCAATAGGACTAAATACTGTAGCTCCTGCTGGGATGAAAATCATAATCACATCAACCTTCTTTCTATCTTCCTTCTGACAGCAATTTACTCCTACATTTAACTCAGCCTGGATAAAATGATCTCATCTTCCAGAGCACCTTCCTTACCTTCCTATTTACCCTTTGCCTATCTATCCCTCCTGCTTCCTTGGATACCTCATACAATCACCCCTCCCCTTCCACTAGCTCCTAACTACCTCTACAACACTCTCAAGTTAACTCACTCTCTGTTAAAGCAGTCCAATCCTTCCCTGGCAAATTACTGTTTGCTTTGTATCTTTGTCAACCTCTGCTTATGTTGCCACTCCCATTCCCACAAAAAACTGGGTCTTTACCAACTTAACCTAGCACCCTCATTATGAAGGAAAATACCCTTTCTGACTTCTAAATATGCAATCATTAGCAGACTTCCTCATCTCTGATAGGACCAAGAACACCCTAACAGGAAATGCAATTCAACTTTTTCATTCTTACATTTCCAACCTCACCGATTACACAAGTAATGAAAAGCCCATACACAGCCCTGTAACTGCGAATACCATCTTAACTGTCCAAGCCCCTTTATGCATCCAACACAACCTGTAATCAGGCCTGCCCTGGGGAACCTACTACCTCATCAGCGTAATTACACCCTACAACTTCAAGCCGCAACTGATCATAGTAACTTCCGAGTCACCCAAAGAGCTCCATTCAGATGGCTTGTCCACTTCTCAGGACCCCCCAAAATCATCACCTCCTCCGTGCTCAACAAACAGTCCAGGTTTTGTAATGGCAAACAAACTCCCAGCAGGACCATTCACCCCTGGACCCCCTGCAGCAAATCCCCCACCATTAGTGAGTGCCTTCTCATCCCCTCTTTCAATCACTCTCTCGAATTGTTCCTAGTAGATACAAAACAGTTTTTTCTCTAATGGGAAAATAGAACACAGGGAGCCACTCAGTTTCCTCCCAACACCCCTTTCCAGCCATCGTTGGAGCTACCTTGGCAACTACTCTAGGAGTATGGGAAAATGAAAATAACAAACTCACACACCTTTTTAACATATACAACCAGTTCTGTCTACCCAGCCAAGGTATATTATGTGGAACGTTGACCTATATCTACCTTCCTGCTAACTGGACAGGCACCTGCACATTGGTCTTTCTAAGTCCCAACATTAACATTGCCCCAGGAAATCAGACCTTATCTGTACCCCTCAAGCTCAAGTCCATCAGTGCACAGCCATACAACTAATACCCCTACTTACAGGGTTACGAGTGGCTACTGCTACAGGAACTGGAATAGCTAGTTTATCCACTTCATTATCCTACTACCACACACTCTCAAAGCATTTCTCAGACTGTTTGCAAGAAATAACAGAACACATCCTTACTCTACAATCCCAAATAGACTCTTTGGCAGCAGCAATGTTCCAAAACTGCTGACGTCTAGACCTCCTCACTGCTGAGAAAGGAAGACTCTGAACCTTCTTAGGGGAAGTGTCGTTTTTACACTGACCAGTAAGGGATAGTACAAGATGTTGCCTGGCATTTACAGGAAAAGGCTTCTGAAATCTGACAATGCCTTTCAAACTCTTATACCAGCCTCTGGAGTTGGGCAACATGGCTTCTCTCCTTTCTAGGTCCCATGGCAGTCATCTTGCTATTACTCAACTTTGGGCCCTGTATTTTTAACCTCCTTGTCAAACTTGTTTCCTCTATGATCAAGGCCATCAAGCTTCAGATGGTCTTACAAATGGAATCCCAAATGAGCTCAACTAACAACTTCTACTGAGGACCCCTGGACTGACCTGCTGGCCCTTTACTGGCCTAAAGAGTGCCCCTCTGGAGGACACTACAACCGCAGGGCCCCTTCTTCACCCCTATCCAGCAGGAAGTATCTACAGCAGTCATCGCCCAATTCCCAAGAGCAGTAGGGATGTCCTGTTTAGAGGCAGATTGAGAGGTGAAGCTGGCTGGGCTTCTGGGTGGGGTGGGGACTTGGAGATCTTTTCTGTCTGGCCAAAGGATTGTAAACACACAAAACAGTGCTCTGTGTCTAGCTAAAGGTTTATAAATGCACCAATCAGCACTCTGTAAAAAGGCACCAATCAGTGCTCTGTGTCTAGCTAAAGGTTTGTAGATGCACCAATCAGCACTCTGTAAAAATGGACCAATCAGCACTCTGTAAAATGGACCAATCAGTGCTCTGTAAAGTGGACCAATTAGCAGAACGTGGGCAGGGCCAAATAAGGGAAGGCTGGCCACCCCAGCCAGCAGCAGAAACCCACTCAGTTCCCCTTCCATGCTGTGGAAGCTTTGTTCTTTCACTCTTCACAATAAATCTTGCTGCTGCTCACTCTTTGGGTCCACACTACCTTTGTGAGCTGTAACATTCACTGTCAAGGTCTGCAGCCTCACTCCTGGAGTCAGTGAGACCACGAACCCACTGGGAGGAAGAAACAACTCTGGAAGCACCACTTTTAAGAGCTGTAACACTCCCTATGAAGGTCTGCAGCTTCACTCTTGAAGTCAGAAAGACCACGAACCTACCAGAAAGAAGAAACTCTGGACACATCTGAACATCAGAAGGAACAAACTCGAGACACCATCTTTAAGAACTGTTAACACTCACCATGAGGGTCCAGAAGGAAGAAAGTCTGGACACATCTGAATATCAGAAGGAACAAACTCTGGACACACCATCTTTAAGAACTGTAACACTCACCATGAGGGTCCACAGCTTCATTCTTGAAATCATCGAGACCAAGAACCCACCAGAAGAAACCAATTCCAGAAAGACTACCTTGTCATTTTATTCATTTGTTTTCAAGAAGAAGTCTACTGGGATAAAGTAGGAAAAAATAAATGATAAAACATCTTTTTTTTTTTTTTTCTAAATGGGTCACCTCCTTGTATTTGGATTGTTTTTTCCATAATGAGACTTTGATATTCATGGTATTTACACTTTACAGAGATTAGCCTATAATTAGAATTATTTCAAAATTCACAAGAAAAAATGTTTGATCATAAATTTACTAGATAAATTTCTACTGGAACCTCAGTATTTAAAACTGAAAATACTTTATAAACATTTCTTATCCACAGTATAGATACTCCTCATTGAGGAATTTAAACATTATGTCAGAAAAAATCTGTATTTGATTAGCTTTCTAGGGAGATAAACACGACATTAATCTACAAACAGGAATTTTTACAAATTATCCTTTATTTGTATAGCGTTCTCTGTGATTTTCAGCCAGGCAGCCATCCCCTCTGGTTCTATCTAGTGCCATATACATGCCCCCTCAGCCCCAGCTGCAGGCAGCCTCCCTACCATGATGTAAAATCCCTTGTTTCCACAGGGATTCCACCTGACTTGAGAGACCCCCTCCCCTATAAATGTTAATCCAACATTGTGTTTTAGGCTCAGTCAATGTGGCTTTCTTCTCTTCTTTAATGTTGAAAGTTGCTTGGAGGAGCAGCTGAATCTCATAGCCCATGGAGTTTCCAACGGGCTGGCTTTCTGACAGGTTTGTTGGGTAAGAGAGTGTAATCAGGAGAAGGGCAAAACTTTTCTTAACCACTATAAAAATAAACGGATACCCCAGGTTTCAAATATTCTCTCTCTCTCTTTTTTTTTTTTGAGATGGAGTCTCGCTCTGTAGCCAAGGCTGGAGTGCAGCGGTGTGATCCTGGCTCACTGCAAGCTCTGCCTCCCAGGTTCATGCCATTCTTCTGCCTCAGCTTCTCGAGTAGCTGGGACCACATTCTCCCGTCACCACACCTGGCTAATTTTTTCTTTTTCTTTTTTTTTTTTTTTTTTCGTATTTTTAGTAGACACGGGGTTTCACCATGTTAGCCAGGCTTATCTCAATCTCCTGACCTCGTTATCCACCCGCTTGGCCTCCCAAAGTGCTGGGATTATTTTCATTTCCATATAAGTTTCCCTTTATAAAGAATCCTGCTGAAAACAATCTAATCTAAGCATATAATACCTATGCAAATAATATATATAATAAACACCAGATCTGGAATGCCAATTTTATACAGAAAGTTGAAGGGTTTTTTTTGCTGGAGTGCAGTGGAGATAATTCCTCATTGCCATCACACTCTACCTCCTTATTCAGGAAGCATTCACAAACTCTGCCTGTATGACACCAAAAGTATCACAGTTAGTTCCCTGAAATTAAACCCCAGTAAAATCCTTAACCAGTTCATTCAGGGGCCCCTTCTGTGCAGCCCAAGTGTTGGCACAAAACAAGTAGTTGGTGCTTCAGATGTCCCACTCTTTCCTCACTGGCCTGTCCCTGGGCTCCATAGAGAAACAGTGAGAAACATCCTTATCATAAATGGATATGATCTACCTACAAATGGAAAAAACAAACAAACATAATTTATCTTTATACAAATGATGCTCTTTACCTTTGATTATAGTTTACCTGCTTAAATGATTTTGTCTGCATTGCAAAGTATTTTATCCAAAATAAAATTTCTGTCCAATGATCTTTAAAACTGTCTTGTTATGTAATGCCATATATTTATAAATAACTGATACCTTGATGTGTCAACATTAGATAGTTTTGATGGGATATTCTAAAAGAGGATGTCAAAAACATTGATTTACAGTTGCAAAGCAGAAATAATAATTATACAAATTTTCTTAATTTTTTGGGGGATGGAAAAAGAAAAAAAACCGCTAACATTGAAAATGTTCAGTTTTAACTTCAGTAGTTAGGTACTGAAGTACTACCCAAAACAAGGCAGAGAACTAAGACATTATTGAGTCACACATACTTCAACCTGTTTATAAATTCTCATGAGTTTAAAGTTTGAAATCCAACCGATTACATTTATTTAAGAAGGAAATTTTGTACAGAGCCATCTCTGCCCTTTGGAAATAGTGTGATGAATTCTGATCCTGGAGCATAAAGTTGAAAACTTTTTACTTTCTTCATATATAAGTATGCCAGAAGTTTTAATTTAAATACAATGGCAAATACAGAGTAAATGAAATATTTCCAAAGGACATGTAATCAACAAGTGACAAAAATTTCCAAGTTAATCTCCAGAGGGTGTAATCTCTCAAGCAGTAAGTTGCTTGAGTCAACTATTTGATAATTTTTATTAGCCAACAGAGGCACTGGACAGGGCAAATGCTAAAGCTGAAAAAAAAGAGCAACTGCAGTTTGTAGGGGGAAGTGTGAATCTAATTGTAGCCCTGGTCATGAGTCTGGTTTTGACAGACCTATCTGCAGATCTACTTCTAGCTTATCTCTTGGACACTCTTTTAGGTCCAGATTGCCTCTTACATAGGGAATACAGTACACGGAGACATGTCCTGACACTGAAATAATGGGTAACGTGTGCTCATCTGTAAAAAAGCTGTGAGGAGAAATTGGAATTTTTTCTCTGCCTCTGCTGCAGACGCTCAGTGACAAGGAGCACTGTTTATAGGAAAGGTTTATTCACGGACTATGGGAGGGCAGTCCTTTATGGAACTGTGGAGCACCATGCACCAGGAACAGTTAGTTATGACACAAACTGCCAGTGGCATCTGCTGGAAGATGAAGCCCTTGACCCTAAGATGTGTTGGGAATTATTTGTGTCATAGAAAGCCAGTACCTATGTGGGATGATAATGACCAAATAACATGAGCAAGAGGACTCAAAAAGAGATGCCATAAATAACAGAAAGACAGAAAATTAATCAATCTTACTGAGTTAATAATAAAATGAAGAAAAACCAACCAGTCAACCAACCACTAACCAACACAGTGAAGGGGAAGGGTTAAAAAGAGAACAAGTCTCAAACTTGTTGAGATGGTGCAGAAAGGGCCTTAAGACATAGGACTCCCCCATGCCAGTAAGAATAAAATTACAGCATGAAGTTTCACACAGGTTCAGAGGTTTGCCTCCTCCTCCTCCTCTTTCTTCTTCTTCTCCTTCTTCTTCTTCTTCTTCTTCTTCTTCTTCTTCTTCTTCTTCTTCTTCTTCTTCTTCTTCTTCTTCTTCTTCTTCTGTCACTTTTCCAAATTATTTTCTTTTGCCTTCCCTCAGTTCCCTTTTTGGCTCTAGATACCCATGGCAAGTGTCAAGCAATGCACAAGAATGAACAAAAGGCAGCCATTGTTGCTGGTAGATTATTCTGTTTGGAAGGTATGGTTTTGTGTGCACTTTTGGTTGAAAACCTATGTCTAACATCCATGTCAGACAAGGTTTGTCTGGAAGGTATGGTTTTGTGTGCACTTTTGGTTGAAAACCTATGTCTAACACCCATGTCAGACATTGATGGGGAGAGAGGCAGCCTCCTCTCCCCACAAATTTCAGTGAGAATGACCTTCAAGAATCAGCTCCATAAGACCTTCCCTGGGTGTCACTGTCTAGACTCTCCACCACCTTGAAATTCACTCTTTCTTCTTATCTAAAATTTCAAGGATGGGAGCTAAGAAACTAGATGCAACCTAATATTTAGTCTCTCTCTCTTTTTTTTTTTTTTTTTTTTGAGACAAGGTCTGGCTCTGTCACCCAGGTTGGAGTGCAGTGGTGTGATTACCTAACTCAACTTCTACCTACCAGATTCAAGCCATCCTCTCACTTCAGCCTCTTGAGTGGTTGGGATTACAGGTGTGTGCCACTACATCTGGACACTTGGTTAATTTTTGAATTTCTTGTAGAGATGGAGTTTCATCTTGTTGTCTTGGCTGTTCTCAAATTCCTGAGC
This sequence comes from Homo sapiens, assembly GCF_000001405.40. Taxonomy (NCBI): domain Eukaryota; kingdom Metazoa; phylum Chordata; class Mammalia; order Primates; family Hominidae; genus Homo; species Homo sapiens. Next base: position 13,641,538 of record NC_000024.10, read on the forward strand.
TTAAGTGATCTTTCTGCCTCAGCCTCTCAAAGTGCTGGGATTATAGGGGTGAACCACCATGCCCAGACTAATGCTCAGTACTTAAGGTTCTCCTAATCTCTGGTACTAATTAATTTCTAACTTGTCTGTCATGACATGTCAGTGTTTGCTTGTCTTCATATGTTTATCACTGTCCCCTGTTCATCATTTATATTTATTAAATGTTTTGAAGGAGCTCAGACTTAAAATGACTGGTAGGAGTTTCAGTGTCTCACAATAAGTACCCTTTTGAAATAGTCTGGTAGAATTGGGCTGGAGATAGAAAGTTTTGGGGATCTCTTGGCAGTATTCAGATATCCCTAGAGTGAAGGTAAAGAGGACATTGTTGCATATATCGAATTTCCAGCACCATTTATTGAAGGAATCTTCTTTCTCCAATGTATATTCTTAGCACTTTGTCAAAAAAAGTTGATGGAGAGAGGCAGAGTGAGATGGCAAAATAGAAAACTCCAGCAATCCTTACCTTTGCAAAGACACCAATTTAACCACTATCTACACAGAAAAACAACACCTTCATAAGAACCAAAATATCAGGTGAGCACTCATGGTACCTGCTTTTATGTTTATATCACTGAAAGAAGCACAGAAGAGACAGAAAGAAACAGTCCCTAATTACCAGTGTCACCCTTCCAAACCCCTGGCAGGGGCAGTATGGTGTGGAGAGCATCTCTGTGCTGCAGGAGGGACAACACAGAAATCATGAGACAATGAACTCAGGGCTGTCCTGTTAGGGTAGAAAGAAAAACCGGCCCAACTCAGCTGATGCTTGGTCTTTCAGGGAGCATTTAAGCCAGAATTGCAGATCCCTCTTGTCCATCCAATCTTGAGTTCCTGCAAATCTTAGGGGAACCCATTGCCATAAAGTTTGATGCCTAGGCCAGGCAGCATTCACAAGCTGATTTAAGAGTCCTTGGCCAGGCTCAGTGGCTCTCGCTTACAATCCCAGCACTTTGGGATGCTGAGGAAGGTGGATCACGAGGTCAAGAGTTCAAGATCAGCCTGACCAACACATTGAGACCATATCTCTGTTAAAAATACAAAAATTAGCTGGGTGTGGTGGCAGGAACCTGTAATCCCAGCTACTCAAGAGGCTGACGCAGGAGAATCTCTTGAACCCAGGAGGTGGAGGTCGCAGTGAGCCAAGATTGCACGACTTTATTCCAGTCTGGGTGACAGAGCTAGTCTCCATCTAAACAAACAAACAAACAAACAAACGTCATTGGGCCTTTAGAAAACATTGGTGGTAGTCTGGCAGCACTCTTTATGTCCCAGACTGATGATGGCTATGTGATGAAACTCCTCTACCATTTGAAGGGTTACAGAAGAAAGGGAAAGTTGCAATGCAATAGCACACTGAGTAGTCTCCCAAGGTTTTGAACCTGTCTCCCAGATAGCACTTCTGGACCTACCCAGGGCCTAAGGAGCCTCACCACCCTAAAGGAGAGAACACAGACCAGGATGACTTTGCCATCTGCTGACTGTAGAACTCTAGGGCCTTGAGTGAACATAGGCAGTAGCCAAGGAGTGGCTACAACAGGCCTTTGGTGGGACACAGGCTGGCTTTAGGTCTGATCCAATCCAAAACAACCATAGTGGTGATGGCAACAGTAATGTTTGTGTCACTCCATCCTCACCTAAGGTGACACAGAAAGGAGGGAGACAGAATCTGTATGTTTAGGATGAAGTAAGGGAGAACAAGAGTTTCTGCTTGGTAATCCAGAGAATTGTCCCAGATCTTGTCAAGACCATCAAGGCAGTGTCTCTGCAAGTCTTCAAGAACCACAGCATTACTGGGCTTAGGTTGCCTTCTAATGCAGATACAGTTTATACATCACATACCTAAGTCCTTTCCAATATCTACAAAGCCTTCCCAAGGAGGATGACTACAAATAAGCCTAGACAGTGAAAACTACAACAATGCCTAATTCTTCAATGTCCAGATGACAAAGAACATCTTCTAGCATCAACATAATCCAGGAAAACATGGCCTAGGACCAATTCTTGGAGAAACAGAGATAAATGATCTTTTAGAAAATTCAAAATAGGAGCTGTGTTGAGGAAACTCAAAGAAATTCAAGATAACCCAGACAAGGAATTCAGAATTCTATTGGATAAGTTTAATAGGGAGATTGAAATAATTAAGAAGAATTAGGCAGAAATTCTGGAAGTGAAAAATGTAACTGGCATACTGAAAAATGCATCAGAGTCCTTTAATAGCAGAATGAATCAAACAGAAGAAAGAATTAGTTAGTTTGGGCCAGTATCTTCAACTGAAATATCCAGGTTCTCACATTGGGACTGATGGGGCAAACATCTCAACCCATAGAGTATGAAGAAAAGTGGAAAGTAGTGGGTGTCAGCCTGCCTGGGAGCAGCACAGAACAAAATGAACCCCACTTCCAGCCAAGCAGGCTAAAGTGGCTGACTTGACTGCTGTGGGCAGAACTTTGATCTCTCCTTAGGATAGAGCTCCTGGGAAAAGGTGTGGCCACCATCTCTGTGGCTCAGTAAACTTGGCTACTCCAGCCTGCTAGCTTTAAAGAATACAGACAGCCTGGGAAGAGGAAGGGTTCCTCTTCTTTGCAAAGGGTTCTTCCCATTGCAACACACCTGTGCTACCAAAAAGCAACCGGACAGTTTTGGGTTTCTTTTTGTGGTTGTTGTTGCTGTTGTTGTTTTTTTGATATGGAGTTTCACTCTTGTTGCCCAGGCTGGAGTACAATGGTGCAATCTCAGCTCACTGCAACCTCCACTTCCTGGGCTTAAGCCTCCCAAGTAGCTGGTATTAGGCACCTGCAATCACACCCAGCTAATTTTTGTATTTTTAGTAGAGATGGGATTTCACCATGTTGGGCAGGCTGGTGTGCAACTCTTGACACTAGGAGATCCACCCTCCTTGGCCTCCCAAATTGCTGGGATTACAGTTGTATAGTAACAAACCAGAGTGGACTGTGTGTCCTAGCTCATCAGACTAACAGCAGACCTCTCAGCAGAAACCCTACAAGCTAGAAGTGATTAGGGGCCAAAATTCAACATTCTTAAAGGAACGAATTTCCAACCCAGAATTTCACATCTGGCCAAACTAAGCTTCATAAATGAAGGAGAAATAAGAATCTTTATAGGCAAGAAAATGCTAAGTGATTTATTGACACCACACTTGCCTTGCAAAAGCTCCTGAATGAAGCATAAATATGGAAAGGAAAGACAATTATCAGTCACCACAAAAACACACGTAAGTACACAGACCAGTGACACTATGAAGCAACCACATAAACAAGTCTGCAAAATAAAAAACTAGCATCATAGTGATAGGATCAAATTCACATGAAGCAATGCTAATGTTAAATGTAAACTTTACATGTAAAACATCCCTTAAGTCTACCAATACCATCTTCTGTGACTTCTTTTCATTTTCACTAACATCTATCAGCTCATAAGTGCAAGACCAGGCTAGATGGATAGAACAGCCCTTGGACCTAAAATGTGTAGAGTCTGCTAGAGAAAGTAACATGGAGTTACCAAAATAACATATGGGGAACGTAGCAAATGCAACAGAGCTTTCAGTTCAAATCTCAGCTTTGTTGCTGAATTTGGGTAAATGAGTCTTATGAGCCTATTTCTTCCTCTGAAAGTGGAGAATATGGCAAGAAGCAGAAAGAATGGAAGGAGTGGGTGGGAAGAGCCTTAGGTGGGTGCCTGGTACAGAGGATTCCACCCCATCTGGGCCACACAACATCAAGAAGCACATAAGGGCCTGGGGACAAAGAACACGCAGAATTCCTATCTCCCATGAAGTAGAAAAATCAAACTATCAGGAACTGATTTGCCATTTCCCAGCCTATGCAACAATGTGTTCTCACATGGTTAGGTCCTATGGCAAGGGACACAGCAGGTTACCCTGAGTCCCATTAGATGAGAGGTATACTGTTCCTTACACTGCCTATCTAGATCCTTATGGTGGTTTCAGGTTTTGCATCAGAAGAATGTATTCTGTTTAGTAAGGAAAATATGTTCATTTAGGGCATGAATGACTTTTGGTAAGTACTGTGTCCACAGAGGAGGAGGGCATGTCTTCTGGAGTCGCTGCTTTAGCATTCTATCATCCATTCAATCAGCCCCACTGCTGTAGGGCTGTACAGCATGTGGAAATGCCACTGAATATCCAGAGCTTCCACTCATTCCTGTACTTCGTTTTCAGAAAAGTAAAAGCCGTGGTCACTATCAATATCAGTGGGGACACCATAGACTGCAGACAGCTGCTGTACTCCTTTTATGGTATTTTTCTAGGCAGGACCCTGACTGGGACGTGTCTGCAGTAGTACAGTGCAACCATCTGTGCAAGCCAAGGTAAAGTGGCAGACATCAGACATAAGCAAAGGTTCTATGTAGTTTATCTGCCACTATTGCAGCAAAGGCCTGAGATTTTTCTGTGCAAAACTAGGACATTGTTGACAGTTAAATACTATGTTTTTATACTGTAATCATAGGCCACATTTCTTCACTGTGGCCAAAAGTGTACGTTGTCACTAGTGCCTTGCCCTCTTACATAGCCAGTAGACCACATCTTCTCCAAGAACTTCCTCAAAGAGGGGAATGCAAGCTACCTCAACCCCCTGTTGATTTCCAGGTGGAGTAGTAGCAGTAAGGATAACCACCTCATAGCATTTCATGCATCCCCCAAATGTGATGGAAAATGTCCTTCTAAATGTCAGCATGCCAAAGGGGCCTGCCCACTACTGTACCATCCTGTACTTTCCATTGTGGTATCTACATTGTAAGTCTCTTAAAAATGACCCAGTTATCAGTGCACAGTACTATTGGCTCTGGCTTGTGGAGGAGGACCATCCAGGGAGCTCACGACTCAATTCATTCCCTATTGTGTCCTTTAATATTATTTTTATTATACTTTAAGTTCTGGGGTACATGTGCAGAATGTGCAGGTTTGTTACATAGGTATACACATGCCATGGTGGTTTGCTGCGCCCATCAACCCGTCAACTACATTAGATATTTCTTCTAATGCTATCCCTCCCCTAGCCCCCCACCACCCAACAGGCCCTGTTGTGTGATGCTCCCCTCCGTGTCCATGTGTTCCAGTTGCTCAATTCCCACTTATGTATGAGAACGGGCAGTGTTTTGTTTTTTGTTCTTGTGTTAGTTTGCTGAGAATGATGGTTTCCAGCTTCATCCATGTCCCTGAAAAGGACATGAACTCATCCTTTTTTGTGGCTGCATAGTATTCCACGATATATATATGTGCCTCAGTTTCTTTATCCAGTCTATCATTGAGGGGCATTCGGGTTGGTTCCAAGCCTTTGCTATTGTGAACAGTGCCACAATAATTGTACATGTGCATGTGTCTTTATAGTAGAATGATTTATAATCCTTTGGGCATATACCCAGTAATGGGATCACTGGGTCAAATGGTACTTCTAGTTCTAGATCCTTGAGGAATGGCCAAACTGTCTTCCACAATGGTTGAAATAATTTACACTCCCACCAACAGTGTAAAAGTGTTCCTATTTCTTCACATACTCTCCAGCTTCTGTTTTTTCCTGACTTTATAATTGCCATTCTAACTGGTGTGAGATGGTATCTCAATGTGGTTTTGATTTGCATTTCTCTGATGACCAGGGATTATGGGCTTTTTTTTCATATATTTGTTGGCTGTATAAATGTCTTCTTTAGAGAAGTGTCTGTTTATATCACTGGCCCACATTTTTATGGGGTTGTTTTTTTCTTATAAATCTGTTTAAGTTCTTTGTAGATTCTGGATATTAGCCCTTTGTCAGATGGACAGATTGAAAAAATTTTCTCCCATTCTGTAGCTTGCCTGTTCACTCTAATGATAGTTTCTTGTGCTGTGCAGAAGCTCTTTAGTTTAATCAAATCCAATTAGTCAATTTTGGCTTTTGTTGCAATTCCTTTTGGTGTTTCAGTCATGAAGTCTTTGCCCATGCCTATGTCTTAAATGGATTTGCTAGGTTTTCTTCTAGGGTTCTTAAGGTTTTATGTCTTATGCTTAAGTCTTTAATCCATCTTGAGTTAATTTTTGTATAAGGTGAAAGGAAGGGATCTAGTTTCAGCTTTCTGCATAGGGCTGGCCTGTTTTCCCAGCACCATTTAGTAAATAGGGAATCCTTCCCCCATTTGCTTGTTTTTGTCAAGTTTGTCAAAGATCAGATGGTTGTAGATGTGTGGCATTATTTCTGAGGCCTCTCTTCTGTTCCGTTGGTCTATATAACTGTTTTGGTACCAGTATCATGCTGTTTTTGTCACAGTAATCTTGTGGTATAGTTTGAAGTCAGGTAGTGTGATACCTCCAGCTTTGTTCTTTTGGTTACAATTGTCTTGGCTATGGGGGCTCTTTTTTGGTTCCGTATGAAATTTACAGTAGTTGGTTCCAACTCCGTGAAGAAACTCAGTGGTACATTGATTGAGATAGCATTGAATCTATAAATTACTCTGGGCGTATGGCCATTTTGACGACACTGATTCTTCCTGTCCATGAGCGTGGAATATTTTTCCATTTGTTTGTGTCCTCTTTTATTTCCTTGAGCAGTGGCTTGTAGTTCTCCTTGAAGAAGACCTTCACATTCCTTGTAAGTTGTATTCCTAGGTGTTTTATTCTCTTTGCAGCAATTGTAAATGGGAGTTCACTCATGATTTTGTTCTCCGTTTGTCTGTTATTTGTGTATAGGAATGCTTGTGATTTTCCACATTGATTTAGTATTTTGAGACTTTGTTGAAGTTGCTTATCAATTCAAGGAGTTTTTGGGCTGAGATGATGGGGTTTTCTAACTATACAATCATGACATTTGCAAGCAGAGACAATTTGACTTTCTCTATTCCTAATTAAATAATATTTATTTCTATCTTTTGCTTGATTTCCGTGGCCAGAACTTCCAATACTATGTTGAATAGGGGGATGACAAGATATCCTTGTCTTGTGCATGTTTTCAAAGGGAATGCTTCCAGTTTTTGCAAATTTTGTAGATATTGGCTTTGGATTTGTCATCAATATCTTTTATTATTTTGAGATATGTTCCCTCAATACCTCATTTATTGAGAGATTTTGGCATGAAGGGCTATTGAATTCAAGGCCTTTTCTGCATCTATTGAGATAATCATGTGGTTTTTGTCATTGGTTCTGTTTATGTGATAGATTACTTTTATTGATTTGTGTATGTTGAACCAGCCTTGCATCCCAGGGATGAAGAAGACTTGATAGTGTTGGATAAGATTTTGATGTGCTCTAGATTTGGTTTCCTAGTATTTTATTGAGGATTTTTGCATCGATATTCATCAGGGATATCGGCCTGAAATTTTCTTTTTTTGTTGTGTCTCTTCAGGTTTTGGTATCAGGACTATGTTGGCCACATAAAATGAGTTAGGGAGGATTCTCTCTTTTTATATTGTTTGGAATAGTTTCAGAATAAATGGTGCCGGCTTCTCTTTGTATCTCTGGTAGAATTTGGTTGTGAATCCATCTGGTTCTGGATGTTTTTTGGTTGGTAGGCTAATAATTGGTGCCTTAATTTCAGAACTTCTTATTGGTCTATTCAGGGATTCGATTTCTTCTTGTTTTACTCTTGGGAGTGTCATGTGTTTAGGAATTTATCCATTTATTCTGGATTTTCTAGTTTATTTGAGTAGAGGTATTCATAGTATTCTCTGTTGGTAGTTTGTATTTCTTGTGGGATTGGTGGTGATATCCCCTTTATCATTTTTTTACTGCTTCTAATTGATTTTTCTCTCTTTTCTTCTTCATTATTCTGGCTAGTGGTCTATCTATTTTGTTGAGCTTTTCAAAACACCAGCTCCTGGATTCATTGATTTTTTTTAAAGGTTTTTCATGTCTCTATCGCCTTCTGTTTTTCTCTGATCTTAGGTATTTCTTGTCTTCTGCTAAATTTGAGTTTGTTTGCTTTTGCTTCTCTGGTTATTTTAATTGGGATGTTAGGGTGTTGATTTTAGATCTATCCTTTCTGATGTGGGCATGTAGTGCTATAAATTTTCCCTCCACACACAGAGATTCTGGGATATTGTGTCATTGATTTATTAGTTTCAAAGAACATCTTTATTTCTGCCTTAATTTCGTTATTTACCCAGTAGTCATTCAGGAGCAGGCTGTCCAATTGCCATGTAGTTGTGTAGTTTTGAGTGTTTCTTTATCCTGGGTTCTAATTTGATTGCACTGCGGTGTGAAAAACTATTTGTTATGATTTCTATCCTTTTCCATTTGCTGAGGCATGCCTTACTTTCTATTATGTGGTCAATTTTAGAATAAGTGCAATGTGGTTGTGAGAATAATGTATATCTCTTGATTTTGGGTGGAAAGTTCTGTAGATGTCTATTAGGTCCTCTTGGTCCAGAGCTGAGTTCAAGTCCTGGATATTTATTCTTGTTAATTTTCTGTCTTGTTGATCTGTATAATACTGACAGGGGGGTGTTAAAGTCTCCCATTATTATTGTGTGGGAGTCCAAGTTTCATTGTAGGTCTCTAAGAACTTGCTTTATGAATCTGAGTGCTCCTGTATTGGGTGCATATATATTTAGGATAGTTAGCTCTTCTTGTTACATTGATGCCTTTACCATTATGTAATGTCTTTCTTTTTCTCTTTTGATCTTTGTTGATTTAAAGACTGTTTTATCAGAAACTAGAATTGTAAACCCTGCTTTTTTTTTTCTTTCTATTTGCTGGATTTATATTCCTCCACCCTTTTATTTTGAGCCTATGTGTGTCTTTGCTCACGAGATGGGTCTCCTGAATACAGCACACTGATGGGTCTTGCCTGGCTGTCAAATTTGCCAGTCTATGTCTTTTATGTGGGGCATTTAGCCCGTTTACATTTAAGGTTAATATTGTGATGTGTGAATGTTATCCTGCCATTATGATGCTAGTAGGCTATTTTTGCCCATTAGTTGGTGCAGTTTCTTCATAGCATCAGTAGTCTTTACAATTTGGTATATTTTTGCAGTGGCTGGTACCAGTTGTTCTTTTCCTTGTTTAGTGATGCCATTATGATGCTAGTTGGCTATTTTGCCTGTTAGTTGATGCAGCTTTTTTCATCGTGTCAATGGTCTTTACAATTTGGTATGTTTTTGCAGTGGCTGGTAATGGTTGTTCTTTTCCATGTTCAGTGCTTCCTTCAGGAGCTTTTGTAGGGCAGGTCTGGTGGTGACAAAATCTCTCAGCAATTCCTTGTCTGTAAAGGATTTTATTTCTCCTTCGCTTATTTAGCTTAGTTTGGCTGGATATGAAATCCTGGGTTGAAAATTCTCTTCTTTAAGAATGTTGAATATTGGCCCCCACTCTCTTGTGGCTCATAGGGCTTCTACTGAGAGATCCACTGCTAGTCTGACTGGCTTCACTTTGTGGATAATCTGACCTTTCTCTCTGGTTGCCCTTAACATTTTTTCCTTCACTTCATCCTTGGAGAATCTGATGATTATGTGTCTTGGTATTACTCTTCTCAAGGAATATCTCTGTGGTGTTCTCTGTATGTCCTGAATTTGAATGTTGGCCTGCCTTGCGGGGTTGGGAAGTTCTCCTGGATAATATCCTGAAGAGTGGTTTCCAAGTTGATTCTATTCACTCCATGACTTTCAGGTACCCCAATCAAACATAGATTTGGTCTTTTCACATAGTTCCATACTTCTTGGGGTCTTTGTTCATTTCTTTTCACTCTTTTTTCTCTAATCTTGTTTTCTTGCTTTATTTCATTGAGTTGTTCTGCTATCTCTGACATCCTTTCTTCCACTTGATTGGTTCAGCTATTGATAATTGTGTATGCTTCTCGAAGTTCTCGTGCTGTGTTTTTGAGCTCCATCAGGTCATTTATGTTCTTCTCTAAACTGATTATTCCAGTTAGAATTCATCTGATGTTTTTTCAATGTTCTTAGCTTCCTTGAATTGGGTTAAAAATGCTCCTTTAGCTTGCAGACATTATTACCCACCTTCTGAAGCCTTCTTCCATCAATTTGTCAAAGTCATTTTCCTTCCAGTTTTGTTCCCTTGCTGGCGAGGAGTTGTGGTCCTTTGGAAGGGAAGAGGTGTTCTGGTTCTGGAATTTTCAGCCTTTCTGTGCTGGTTTCTCCCCACCTTCATGGATTTATCTACCTTTGGTCTTTGAAGTCGGTGACCTTTGGGTGGGGTCTCTGAGTGGACATCCTTTGTGTTGATATTGCTACTATTCCTTTCTGATTGTTAATTTTCCTTCTAACAGTCAGGACCCTCTTCTGCAGGTCTGCTGGAGTTTGCTGGAGGTACGCTCTGACCCTTTTGCCTGGGTATCACCAGCAGAGGATGCATACCAGCAAAGATTGCTACCTGTTCCTTTCTCTGGAAGTTTTGTCCCACAGGAGCACCTGCCGGACGCTAGCCAGAACTCTCCTGTATGAGGTGTCTGTTGGCCCCTGCTGGGAAGTGTCTCCTAGTCAGGATACATAGGGGCATGGACCCACTTGAGGAGGCAGTCTCTTCCTTATCAGAACTCCAATTCTGTGCTGGTAGATCTGCTGCTGTCTTCAGAGCTGCCAGGTTGGGACATTTAAGTCTGCTGAAGCTGTGCCCACAACTGCCCCTTCCCCCAGGTGCTCTCTCCCAGGGCAGTGGGGGTTTTCATTCATAAGTCCCTGACTGTGGCTGCTGCTTTTTTTTCAGAGATGCCCTGCCCAGAGAGGAGGCAGTCTGTGTGCATGGGCCTTACTAAGCTGGGCTGGGCTGTGCCCAATTTGAAATTCCCACAGCTTTGTTTATACTGTGAGGGTGAAACTGCCTACTAAAGCCTCAGCAATGGTGGACACCTCTTCCACCACCAAGCTTGAGCATCTCCCGGGTTCAAGAAATTCTTCTGCCTTAGCATCCCAAGTAGGTGGGATTACAGGAGTCTGCCACTAAACCCAGGTAGTTTTCTTTGTATTTTAAGTAGAGTTGGGTTTTCACCATGTTGGCCAGGCTGGTCCTGAACTGCTGACCTCGTGATTCACCTGCCTCAGCCTCCCAAAGTCATGGGATTACAGATGGGAGCCAAAGTGCCTGGCCCTGTCTGATTTTTTTAGCCCATTTTCATAACCCATTTCTTCATGCTATATGTCCTTACAACTCATAGAGGTTGCCATATAGGACAGTGCACTCAGCCCCAGTCTCCACCAGAGCATGCATAGTCTGTTTATTCTTAGGTTACCAGTGTAAAGTAAGTTATACTTGTGGCCTTAGTCACCAGACACTCTGTCCACCATTACACTTATTAGGATTCTGTGGCCATGGCCTTCATTCTAATCTAAAGTGGTTGGCATGTGCCAGATGTAATAAGTTGAGACTGAGATTACTTGGTGAACCACTGTTCTGGCTTCAGCTTCTGCCACAGGACAGCGTAAGGGTGTGTATCTATTTTCACTGTAGGTGTTCCTCTTACTACCAACTTGTACCATATTACCTTTATTGGTGCATCAACCTGGCATGCCCGTTGGCTTTCATCTCTCTTTTCACTCATTTGTTTTCCATCCCAGCAGGAGACAACCCTTGCTTACACAGTTTCTCCTAAGTGAGTAATCACTTGGACAATACAATACACTGGCTGTCATATCATAAGGGCTCAGGAGAACACAAGGACACCATAATATTGTTTGGGTGCCAACAGTAGGGTGGCATTTTTCATGTGGGCAGTAAACAACGCATGGTTGGGATATGATAATATTTGACATAGATTGCACATTTTATCCCTAATTCCCAGAGTATATTCCTCCATAGTGTTCCATCCATCACAAAGGAGACATGGGGATGTTTTCTTTATTTGCCTAGGTCCCTTTGCAGCCCACAACCACCCAGCTAAAATAGGAGATGGCTCATTATGGGCACCAAAGAGGTGTGGTCTCAGGGATAAGTGGTTTGCGATGAAAGCTGTTTTACTCATCTCAAGTCTAGAGAGCATACTATTCTCCACACCTCTGTTCCAGAGACAGAGAAATCTCCCTAGGCTCAACTCTCTCCACTTTTGTCTCAACCTATTTCCCAGTTCCACCAATTCCACAGTGGCATAATCCCACATAGTGGCGTTTTGCCATCTTTCAGTGGAGGTGTAGTTGATGGACCTTTATCTTTTTACTGACCGGCAGATGAACACCGACAAAGGGAACCTCTATGGGTTTATTGCATTTCTCAATGTCCTCCCACCTAGAGCTTTTCATGGGGTCCCAGGACTTAGGGTTTCAGGATGATTTTGTTATGATAGCCCTGATTTGTCGATGTGATGGCTGGCAACTTTTCAGATGGGTTTCATGGCAAGCTAGGTTCTCCATTTTGCCATGCTTCTCCCAGAGACAGGACAGTAAGGTCTCCAACATTTCAACCTTAACTAATCTGGCATCTGATTCTAGTTGCAGCTTGTTTTGTAACTGATAAACCCTCACCTGCACTGCAAACTCAGCCTCAGTCGCTGAGGTCAGCCAGCAGCAGACAGCCAATCACAGCTCAGAAACCTGACTTCTGCTTAGAAGCAGGTGCCTGACTTAGAAGCCAGGTGTCTGATTCTGCTGAACCAGACAGTTCAGCATTTTTAGGGTATCCTCATACTCATGCTGTAAGCTCAATCCATCGATAGTGGCTGTTGAGCCCCACACAGATGTAAATGGCCAGCCTGGGAATTTCCTCATAGATTTCCCCTTCCTTAATCCCACTATGTCAGCCCTCATGGAGTTTTCTGTGACCTCCTGAAAGATTTACCAATTGATGTGATGTAACCACTATTGAGTCCAATAGAGATGACAGCAGGTAACTGAGGCCAAAAGAAAAGACCTGGAGCCATCAAACAAAGACATAGGGTTTACTGTGGGGACATACATAAGGGGTGTCCAGTGGCAGTAGCCTGGACAGGAAGATCACTATCATTTGCAAAAAAGCATGCAGTTCCTGTAGGCTTTTCTCTTAGTACCCTCCACTAAGCAACCTCCATTTAACCCCAAACAAATGGGTTTGAATGTATAGCTTGCATTTCAAGAGACAGGTCAGAGGTTTTGTTGTCCTTGAGAGATAAGGAGTGAATCTCTAGGTTGGCCACTCCCACATCTCTCTCCTTATAGGTTCGTGGTGGCAGCATTAATCTGCTCCTGTACTAGATGGAAAACAGGTTCTCATCTTGTTGATGATAGGAAACTCATTGCATAAAAAGCTGTTGGTGCTAAAGGAAAACAGGTGAAAAAAAGAGCATACCAAAACCTGTGGGATACAGCAAAAGAAATGTTAAGAGAAAAGTTCATAGCAATAATTTCCTACATCAAAATAGTAGAAGAATTACTCATTAACGATGTAACAATGCACTTCTGTGAACAAGCAAAGTGAAAATAAAAACAAACCGAAAAATAAGAACAACAACAAAAGAATAAGGATCAGAGTGTAAGAATAGTTTGAACAAGACCAACTCCATCTTGAATAGGGGCTGGCTAAAATGAGGCTGATATGTATGGGGCTGCATTCCCAGATGATTAAGGTATTCTAAGTCACAGGATGAGATGAGGCTTGGCATAGGTTACAGGTTACAGGTCACAAAGTCCTTGCTGATATAATACGTTGCAGTAAAGAAGCCAGCAAAAATATACCAAAACCAAGATGGCAATGAGAACCTGATTGTCCTCACTGCTACACTTCCCACCAGTGCAGGGACAGTTTACAAATATCATGGCAACATCAAAAAGTTATTCTATATGGTCTGAAAAGTGGAAACATGACTAATCCACCCCTTGTTTAGCATATAATCAAGAAATAACCATAAAAATGGGCAACTAGCAATCTTTGGAGCTGCTTTGTCTATGAAGTAGCCATTCTTTTATTCCTTTACATTTCCAATAAACTTGCCTTCACTTTACTCTATGAACTTGCCCTAAATTCTTTCTTGCACAAGATCCAAGAGCCCTCCCTTGGGTTCTGGTTTGCAACCCCTTTCCATTAGTATCTTTCTGGCAAATGCTGAAAGGACAAACTGAAGCAACTCCTGACCCAAAGGAAAATTATCTGCATGTGCCCATTATCTGATGTTCAGTAAGTGGGCTGCATTTACCCTGGTAAAGTGATAGGGTTCGATGCTTAACTTGGGGGAGTTACAGTCTCTCCTAAGACAGAGTGGGTTAAAGGCTCCTTTTAATAAAAGGCAAAGATGCTTACCCCAACTCGAGTTTGAGGCCCAACTTAAAAGTGTTCAAGTTCTTCCTAAGATTTAGGGGGTTAGATTCTCCTCTCAGTAAACTCCTTCCAGTTAAGAGCAGGTTTGGCACTGTGAGATGTTAAGTGTTATTCCTTTTTGATTAATCTGCCTTGCAATCTTTGCTAATGGCTGTGGATAACAGGATTAGGGAAGTACAGAATCCTGGAACATGGGAAGCCTTTTTTTCTCCCCCTAAAGTGGGACACTTGAGAGCTGATGGGACTGCTGACTATAATGTCATAAAATAATTAACAGTTTTCAAATTTGGGGAACTCAGAGTGAAAGCTAAATTTGCTTACAAAATGCTGCATCAAAATGCTCTAAACTGTAAATAACTCAAAGGAAAAATGTTTTCTGACTCTTCTTTAACCAGAGCAGCAGATTTTTAAACAACATCTTATTTGTGACACTTGGAACTGCCACTCACATGCTAAGCAGCTCTTGTCATATGATAATTATCAGGCACTGGACAATCTGGCAGCTCTTCCCATGGTTAGAGTCTGTACTAAGGAAAAAGGAGGCTCTCTGCTCATGAGTGTCTCCTCTTTGTATCTTCTAGGTAGCAAGATTCTATGTAAAGCATTATTAATTTTTCAAGAAACTTTTGGGCACCATTATTTCCATTAGCTTCAGTTAACATTCCATAGCAAGGCAGGAAATGCCCCTCAAGTGAAAATGTTCTAGTTCAGTCATTGACATTGGGAAGTGCTCATAGACCTGTGGTAGAAGCCCCAGTAAATGCTCCACAAAGGCTGTGAAGTGGAAGATTTGTTCTATCACTCCAGCTTCTACCTTACATTCTGTGGGCTCAGACAGTCTTACTAGTTCCTATTTAGCATGTCCACTTTAATGAACATTTCTCAAAGGGCAGATTTTCATGCCTTCAGTTATGGTTGTTCTCCCTTTAGCTTCTTCAGGTTGAATACATGCCTCCAGTTTTACAGTACTAGTTAGGGGGAACATCCCTGAGTCAGATACATTGGTACACATTTTCATAACACATTTAGGTAAAGGAGTCAAAACTACCTTACAGACAGCCTTTATAAACACTCACATTTCATAATCTTACTGTGTCTGGAGTTGGTTCCTGACGGTAGATTCATGGTCTCGCTGACTTCAAGAATAAAGCTGCAGACCTTGGCAGTTACAGCTCTTGAAGGTGGTGCAGACCCAAAGAGAGATCAGCAAGATTTATTGTGAAGAGCAAAAGAACAAAGCTTCCACAGCAAGGAAGGGGACCTGAGCCGGTTGCTGCTGCTGACTGGGGTGGCCACCTTTTATTCCCTTATTTGTCCCTGCCCATGTCCTGTTGATTTTAGTGTTGTTTGGTCCATTTTACAGGATGCCGACTGGTCCATTTTACAGAATGCTGATTGGTCCATCTTACTAGGGGCTTATTGGTCAATTTTACAAACTTCTAGCTAGCCACAGAGCACTGATTGGTGCATTTTTACAGAGCACTAATTGGTGCATTTTACAAAGCTCTTGTAAGACAGAAAAGTTCTCAGCCAGGCGAGTGGCTCACGCCTGTAATCCTAGCACTTTGGGAGGCTGAGGCAGGTGGATCACGAGGTCAGCAGATCGAGACCATCCTGGCTAACAGGGTGAAACCCCGTCTCTACTAAAAATACAAAAAATTAGCATGGCATGGTGGTGGGCGCCTGTAGTCCCAGCTACTGGGGAGGCTGAGGCAGGAGAATGGCATGAACCTGGGAGGCAGAGCTTGCAGTGAGCTGAAATCATGCCACTGCACTCCATCTTGGGTGACAGAGCGAGACTCTGTCTCAAAAAAAGAAAAGAAAAGAAAAGTTCTTCAAGTCCCCACTTGACCCAGGAAGTCCAGCTGGCTTCACCTCTCAGTCTACCCTCTAAACAGGACACCCCAACTGCTGTTGGGAATTGGGCAATGACTGCTCTAGTTACTTCCTGCTGGCTTGAGGTGAAGAAGGGGCCCTACAGTGGTAGTGTCCTCCAGAGGGGAATTCTCTAGGCCAGTCAAAGGGCCAGTGGGTCGATTCAGGGGTCCTTGGTAGAAATTGTGAATTGAGCTCATTGGGGTTTCACATGTAAGATCATCTGTAGCTTGATACCTTCAATCCTGGAGGAAACAAATTTGACAAGGAGGTTAAAAATACAGGGTCCAAAGGCTAGTAATAGCAAGATGGTTGTCATGGGACTTAGAAAGGAGGAAAGCCATGACACCCAACTCCAGAGATCAGTATAAGAATTTGAAAGGTGTTGTATGATTTCAGAAGCCTTTTCCTGTAAACACTGGACAGTGTCTTGTGCTATCCGTGACTGGTTAGTATAAAAGCAACACTCTTCCCCTAAGAAGCTGCAGAGTCCTCCTTTGTCAGCAGTGAGGAGATCTAGGCTTCAGTGGTTTTGGAGAATCACTGTGCCAAAGAGTCTATTTGGGATTGTAGAGTAAGGATAGATTTTGCTATTTCTTGCGAGATGTCTGAGAAATCCTTTGAGAGTGTGTGGTAGTAGGATAATGGAGTAGATCAACTGGCTATTCCAATTCCTATAGCAGTGGCCATTCTTAACCCTATAAATAGGGGGAATTAGTTGTATGGACTTGAGCTTTGAGGGGCACTGATAGAGTCTGATTTCCTGGGGCTATGTTAATGATGGGACTTAGGAAGACTAAGGTGCAGTTACCTGTCCAGCTCGTGGGGAGGTAGATATAGGTTGAAGTTGGGCATAAGAAGAATATGCCTTGACTGGTAAGACAGAACTGGTTGTATGTTAAAAAGGTGTGTGAGTTTGTTGTTTTTATTTTCCCATACTCCTAGAGGCCTTGCCTAGGTAGCTATGGTGAGCAGCTGGAAAGGGGTGTTGGGAGCAAACTTAGTGGCTCCCTGTGTTTTATTTTCCCATTGGAGAAATAACCATTTTTTATCTACTAGGAACCATTCAAGGAAGTGATAGAAAGAGGGTATGAGAAGGCATTCATTAGTGGTGGGGTCATGGCTGCAGGGTGTCCAAGGGTGAATGGTCATGCAGGGAGTATGTTTGCCATTACAAAACCCAGACTGTTTGTTAAGCAGGGAGGAGTTGAAGATTTTTTGAGGCCCTGAGAAGTGGACAAGCTGTCTGAATGGAGCTGTTTGGGTGACTCGAAAGTTACTATGATCAGTTGAGGCTTGAAGATGTAGGGTGTAATTACACTGATGGGATAGTAGGGGCCCCAGGGCCAGGCCTGATAACACGTTGCCTTGGATGCATAAAAGGGCTTGGAAAGTTAAAATGGTATCCATGGTTACAGGGTCAAGAATGGGCTTTTCCTTGCTTGTGTAATAGGTGAGTTTGGAAATGTAAGAAGATAAAAGTTGGAATGTGTATCCAGTTACACATTCATCCTATCAGAGATGAGGAAGTCACCTACTGATTGCATATTTAGAAGTTGGAAAGGGTCTTTTCCTTCATAACGAGGGTTTTACATTGTTAGTAAAGAACCAGTTTTTTTACAGTAACGGGAATGGCAATGTAAACAGTGGTTGATAGAGAGATACAAAGCCAGCAGTCATTTGCGAGGGTATTGGACTGCTTTAACAGAGAGTGGGTTAAGTTGAGAGTGTTGCAGAGGTAATCAGGAAGGGAGAGGAGACTGTGTGGGGTATCCAAGGAAGCAGGAGGGACAGATAGGCAAAGAGTAATTTGGAAGGTAATGAAGGTGTCCTGAAAGATGAGGTCACTTTATCCAGTCTGAGTTAAAGGTAGGAGTAAATTACTGTCAGAAGGAAGGATGATAGGAAGAAGGTTGATGTGATGAGGATTTTCATCCCAGCAGGAGCTACAGTATATAGTCCTTTTGCAAAGAGCATGGTTATTATGCTGTTTAATAATGTGATGAAACAGTAAAACGATTTCATTAAAGGGTCAAGGAGAGGTGGTAAAGATTATGTAGGTTTTCACTTATCTTTTTTTTTATGTAGGAAGGGGTTTTTCCTCAGAATAAGCTGTAGGAGTCTTTTTAGTTTGGAATGTTTCCTTCCAAAAGAGGAGATGCAAGTCCTCCAATGGCTTACAGGTATATTGAGGCTGGTCTGGCAGATCTTGGGACTCCTGAGCTGTCAGTCTCACAGATTCCTCAGGGGGTGTCAAAAGTTTAACTCGGGTGTGGTGAATCCAAGATTCCAGTCCGGCCACCTTGACTGCAGTGGGGGTAGAGAAGATTACCGAGTATTGTCCTTCCCACAAAGAATCCATAGATGGGGAGGTAGAGGGGAGCGATTTGATCAACACTAGATCTCCCTATTGAAACAACTCCATTTCCTTTTCTCTGTGACATCCTTCAGGTGGATTTCTAAGGTTTTGTTGATATTTTGCCAAATAAGTTATATCTTTGACCAAGTTGGCCATTTCCTGATCAAGTAGATCATTTGTGAGAAATGGTCCTTAATACAGCATTTTATATAGAATGAGCCCCATTTTGTGAGGAGAATTTCAGATTCTCAAGAAGGCCATGGGCAAGAGAGTAGGCCATGGGAGATGAGTTTCTTGTGTTAGTTTCCTTAAGTGCTTCTTGAGTGTTTCATTTGCCTTCTCCACCTTCCCTGAGGATTGTGGCCTTCAGGTGCAGTGAAGGTGATATTGTATCCCTAGTGCCCTGGAAATTCCCTGAGCTATTGTAGCTTTAAAAGCTGGACTGTTGTCACGTTGTAAGCTTTCAGGAAGCTGAAATCTAGGAATTATAACCACTTCCTGAGACTTCTTTTTCTTGCAGGGGAAGGCTTCTAACCAATTTGTAAAGATATCAACACAGACCAACAAGTATTAAAATCCCTTTGACTTAGGCATATGGGTGAAGTCTAACTGCCTATAGGTCACTATCTCCAGATATCCTGGAGAATAGTGACCTATTCTTTGTTCCCCAAGAGGGCCCTTATGATAGACCAAGGGATTATTCCTTTGGCACACCTCAGAGGCTTTGACTACTTGTTGGATGGTCTGGAGGAAATTTGGCCCTGTAAATAGGGATTTGGCCATTGGATGAGTGTTCTCAATACCCATATGAAAAGCTTGTTGGAGGGTTTTAAGTATTTTCCACGAAAGTTTCCATTCTGTTTCAGTCGGGGAATATTGGGGCTTAATCTCTTTGAGAGGGTTGTTCCATACCAAATGTCTTTCCGTAGGTACTTCTAATGGGAGTTTCCACCTGGCAGAAATTTTAGCCTCAGCATATGCCCACTGGTTTCCTTCTGCTTTTTCTCCACCTTTTTGATGGCTTTGGCAGTGTCAGACTCCCAACTCCTTGGGTTTTTGCACTGCATACCATAACTCCATGATTTCCTTGTCGTATTTAATGGGGTTTCCCATAGAGTTTAGGAACTTCCTTTCTTTCCATATTGCAACATCAGCATGTAGGATTAGATAAGCATACTTGCTATCTGTATATATATTTATTCTTTTTCCCTTTCTCAGTTCTAAGGCTCAGGCAATTGCCACTAGTTCTGCTAACTAGGTAGTGGTCCCTGAGAGAAGAGGCTTATTTTTGAGTATGGTTACATCACTAAGTATGGCATAACCCGCTCTTCATATCCCATTCTCCACAAATGAACTTCCATCATTATATAGGTTAAGGTCAGAATTAGCTACTGGGACTTCTAGGAGTTCACCTTGGGTGGTGTAAGTCTGGACTATAATTTGTTGGTAGTCATGCTCAATTGGTTCCCCATCCTCTGGGAGAAAAGTCACAGGGTTCAGAGCCACACACATATGTATTTGAAGCACTGGTCCCTCAAGGAGTAGCACCTGGTATCTAAGTAGGTGGTTGTCTGATAGCCATAAACTTCCTTTGGCACCTAGTATGCCATTTACATCTGAGTAGTTCAGTCATGAGATCCTCTCCTTGTGTTATTTTGATAGCCTCTGATACTACAACAGCCACTGCCACAACTACCCATAAACAGTGTGGACAGCCTTTTGCTACTGTATCAATTCCCTTAGGTAGGTCACTGGTTGTGGGGTTGTCCCCTGAGTCTGAGTAAGAACTCCAAGAGCTATTCCTGCTCTCTCTGTGACAAATAAAGAGAAGTTTTGTCCTGTTGGAAGGCTTAAGGCGAATCTTGTACTAGGGCCTGCTTTAAGGTTTTGAAGACTGTTTCTGCCTCTGGTTCCCATTCTACTAGATGAGTATTTGCCCTCTGGGTCTCATTGGTTAGAGTATAGAGAGGCCTGTCTATGTTGCTGTATCTGGGGATCCATAGCTGGCAAAAGCCAGTGATCCCAAGGAACCCCCACAACCATTTTAATGTCTTAGAACAAGGATAAGCCAGTATAGGTCTATTTGTTTCTTGCTGAGGACCCTGGTTCCTCTGGCTAAGATTAGGCAAAAATATTTGACTTGTTGTAGGCAGAGCTGACCCTTCAATTTAGACACCTTGTACTCTTGGTTAGCTAGAAAGTTCAAAAGATCTAGAGTAGCCTGCTGGCATAAGGCTTCTAAACTGTTAGCTAAAAGTAAATCATCCACACACTGAAGGACCACAGTGCCTGGACTTGAGAAGTGGACTAGATCTGGGGCAGTGCCTGACCAAACAGATGAGGGCTATCTGTAAACCCTTGAGGCAAGACTGTTCACTAAGTTGGGAAGTGTGGTTGGTAGGATCCTCAAAAGCAAAGAGAAACTGGGAAACAGAGTGCGGGGAAACACAGAAGGCATTTTTGAGCTCCAGAACAGTGAACCATTCTGCTTCCTCTGGAATTTGAGAGAGCAGTGTATAGGGGTTGAGTACAACTGCATATAGAGAAATTACTGCCTAATTGATGAGTCTAAGATCTTGCCTAGTCTACACTGACTGTTCAGTTTTTGTACTCCTAGAATTGGGGTGTTGCTGGGACTGCTGTATTTTGTTACTAAGCCTTGAGCTTTTAAATGTCTAACTATATCCTGTAATCCTTTATGGCTTCAGGCCTTAAGGGATATTGCCTTTGATAAGGAAAGTGGTAGAGTCTTATATCGTGATTTGGACTGGGCAGGCATTTTTTGCCCTTCAAAATTGTCCTGCCCAGAATTCAGGGTTGATTCCCTCCTCAAGTAGGAGACAACAAATGGGTAACTTGTCCCCCATATTCATATAGATAACAGCTCCAGCTTTGGCTAATATATCCCTCCCTAATAAGGTTGTGGGACTTTCAGGCATAACAAGAAAGCCATGTGAAAAGAGCAAAGTCTCTCAATTACAACTGAGGAGGTTGGAGAAATATCTGGTTAGAGGCTCTCCCAGGATTCCTTGGATGGTAATGGGCCTTGAGGACAGCCATCTAGGACAGGAGATTAACACTGAGAAGGCCATGCTCAAGTGCAAGAGGAAGTCAATTTCCTGGCACTCAATGGTTAAACATACCCAGGGCTCAGTGAGGGTGATAACATGAGCTGGCACTTGCCCTAGACACCCTCAGTCCTGCTGTTGGATCATATGGTTGGCGGCTTCTGGCCCAGAGAACCTTTGCCATCTGGAGCAGTATGCCTTCCAGTTATTGCCTTGGCATAGTGGACATGGGTTAGGGGGAAGCTTGTTTCTCATTGACAATCTTTTTTAAAGTGTCCTTGCAAACCACACTGATAACAAGCCCTACAGGGTGATTGGCGTGCTCCATTTCCTGTCCTTTCTGAACGACCAAGGTTTGTTTTTCTGAGGGACATGACTAATGCTGTGGCCTTTCCCTATTCTCACTTTTCCTTTTCAGCCTGTCCCTCTTGGTCCCTACTATAGAACAGCGATGTTGCCAGATTTAATAATGCCTCCAGATTTTGTTCAGGGCCCAGGGCTCACTTTTGGAGCTGTCTCCTGATATCTGCAGCTGATTGGTAATAAACTTATCTTTTAAGATCAGTTGACCCTTGAATGAGTCAGGTGACAGGGGAGCATATTTTCTTATGGCCTCCAGCAGCCACTCAAAGAAGGCAGAAGGATTTTCTTCCTTTCCCTGAGTTATGGTGGACATCATTGAATAATTCATGGGCTTTTTCCTAATTCTCCTTAGTCCTTCTAGAATACAGGTCAGCAGATGTTTATGACTGCAGTCCCCATGATTTGAGTCTAGGTCCTGGTGGGGATCCATACTGGGGTTGGCTTGTTGACTGGTTTAGAATTTGTCCCTTTCTTCAGCTGTCATTCTAGCATTTACTTGACCAAGATATCAGGTATCTCCAAACTCTTGGGCTGCAGCTAAAGCCACATTATTTTCATTAAACGCCAGGGTTTGGTCTAACAAAAGCATGACATCTATCCAATTGAGGTCAAAGATTTGCCCTAGACCATGTAGGACATCTATATAACTATCAGGATCATCTGAAAACTTCCGCAGATCTACCTTGATCTGCTTTAAATCAGAGAGGAAGAAGGGGACATGTACCCAGGTTGGGCCAAATTCCCCTCCCCCTACAGCTTGAAGGGACATAACTGATACCCCAGGGGCTTTTGTGGTCCCTTGGAGATTTCTTTGCTTGCTTCCTTCTGGGTGGGGGATATTAGAGGAGGCTTATCATTAATAGGAAGTGGAGCTGTAGGAAAGCTAGAATATGGAGGTAAGTTGAGAAGTCCTCCTTTGGGATGTAAATTGTAAGTTTTGCATAGTTGTGGATTCACCTTCAATGAAAAGAAAGCTTGGACTTAAGGTATTTCCCTCCATTTGTCTTCCCTCTTAAAGGAAAGGTCAAGCCGTAGGATAGTATTGTAATGTATACTTTCCTCAGGTTGCCATTTTTCCACATCAGAGAGAATATTGGGGCCAGGCTGTAATGCAGAAAATAATAAGCCACTTTTTTTCAGGGTTTGTGCGTCTAATTGGTTACAGTGGCTTAGGATGCATTTCAAGGGTGAGCCTGTTGATGCCTGTTTCCCATCTGGAATAAAAATCTGCCTGCAGTTTTGTTTTGTTTGCCTCCCCAAGAACCCACAACAGTCCCTGGGCCCTGCTGATCAGAATAGTTGCACTCACCAAAGCAACTGCAGAAACACTACTTTATTTCCTAGACCACAAAGAGGACTGAGGAAGGTTGGATTTAGTGGCCCTTACCGACATATTCTCAAAAACCTGCAACTTTGCCTTTCCTCTTAGACCACAAAGAGGACCAAGAAAAATCGGGTTTAGTGGCCTTTACTGAAGCATTCTTGAAAACCTGTAAGAGTCCTGAGCATTATCCTGTTAGTGTTGGGACCTTACCCTTGTCCTATGAAGATGATATGCCTGAAAATGGAGGGGAGGGCCATAACCTGAAGGAAAGAAGAGATCTCCAGGGTTGGAAGAATGGCAGTTTTGTTCTCACTTCTCATCATATGAATAGGAAGGATAAAATTTCTGAGGCTCCTCCTATCCTATCTTTGGGAATAGCCTTTGTTAGAACTACTAGTCTGAGGAGGCATCCTAAAAGGATAGATGGCATTCCAGATAGACTCCCTGCCAACAAAGGGACTTGGGCAAAAATTATATCTTTCTGATTGGTGAGTCTGGGCGCCTAAAAAAATGAACAGAGTCCTGAAATTTATACTAGAAATTATTCTAATAGGAGAAACTAGAAAAGCACTAGAGATGAGAGTGGTTTTTGGAAGCAGGACTAGCCTTGGAGAAGAGAGGCAGGAGGAAGTTTTTCTGACAGGTATTAAGACCCAGGAAGCAAGGGTTAGGATAGATACATTAGATGGGTGAGTCTCGTTTGGGCAATGTGATTTTGAGAGTTCCACTCATGGCTGCAGGGTCAACCAACTTTTTTGGGAACCCAGAGCTGAATGGCTTTCCTCTCTCTTGACCCTTGGATCAGTCTGGAAGTACAGGAATAGTGAAAGCTGGTTCCAGGCAAACCAACATTCCCATATCCAAAGAGTTGGGGATTGTTAGAGAACCTTTTCCCAGAAAGCCTGACACCCATGTCTTTAGTTCAATGGCTGTGGTAGTCACTTTTAACTGGCTGACAGTTGCCTGGTGTTTAGCCCCCAAATTCCAAGGAAAATAGGACAGAATAGCAAGCAAAAGGGGTCCAACAGTACTCACTGTGTGGTGATATCCTGGATGAGCACCAAAGATGTGTCTGGAGTTAGTTCCTGCCTGTGGATTTGTGATCTCACTAACTTCAAGAATGAAGCCATGGACCTTTGCAGTGTTATAGCTCTTAAAGGTGGCATGGACCCAAAGAGTGAGCAGCTGCAAGATTTACTGTGAAGAGTGAAAGAACAAAACTTCCACAGCATGGAAGGGGATGTGAGTGGGTTTCTGCTGCTGGCTGGGGTGGCCAGCTTTTATTCCCTTATTTGTCCCTGCCCATGTTCTGCCAATTGGTCCATTTTACCTAGTGCTGATTGGTCCATTTTACAAACCTCTATCTAGCTACAGAGCACTGATTGGTGCATTTTTACAGAAAACTGATTGGTGCATTTTACAAACATCTTGTAAGACAGAAAAATTCTCCAAGTTCCCACTCGACCCAGGAAGTCCAGGTGACTTCACCTCTCAATACCAATCTTTACGTTTTTTATGTTCTGGTCCCAGGAATCTTTCTTTTCTACTCCCAGACCATTTTATCTTTTCTGGAAAAAAAGTATTTGGGTTTCTAGTAGGGCATCCATCCAAAGAACTCAGATTGCTTTGTCAATCTTTATCTTAATTGGCTTCAGCATTGCTCCAGGCAATGCCAGTTTTTCACTGTGTTTTACCTTTTGATTTTTCTTAAATTTCCTTAATATGGTGCAAATAGTAGAAAACTATCTTTTGGGTTTTTTTTTAATGTTGGGGTACCAAAAGGGGTTCCCCTTGGTCCACTCAGCCTTTGATATTATTGTAAATACCTTTGTTTTGACCCTATCAATTTTTATGTATGTATGTATGTATTTTTGAGATGGAGTCTCACTCTGTTGCACAGGCTGCAGTGCAGTAGCATGATCACGGTTCACTGCAACCTCCATCTCCATGTTTCAAGGAATTCTGCCTCAGTCTACTGAGTAGTTGGGACTACAGTTGCATGCCACCATGCTCGGCTAATTTCCTTTTTTTTTTTTTTTAGTAAGTAGAGACAGGATTTCATTGTGTTAGCCGGGATGGTCTTGATCTCCTGAACTCATGATCCACCTGCCTTGGCCTTCCAAAGTGATGAGATTACAGGTGTGAACCACAACACCAAGCTTCATTTTATTTATTAATAACCATTTAAAAGATTTCTACCCACCTTCCAGAGCAAGTCCTTTGATTTTCTTTCCCTTTCCAATTTCATTGTTATTGTTATTCATCTTAATGTTTTATTAAGCATCTGTAGGAAACAGGAGGTAGAGCAAATTTAAAAAGTCTTCTTAAGTAGTTGTATGATTTGGAAGGAGTAATGTCACATGAGATGCCCATGTGAAAGGGGCCTTCTTAACCCCAGCATTTAGTATGACATAGGTAATAGGCATATTCAGTGGGACCATATACAGTCATCATAAACCTAGTCCCATATGGCTTGCATGGGAAGCATATTAATTTGTTCATCTGGGTTGCTCCACTTGACATTTTATTAGGGAGAATTGGACAGTTGCCTTCTAAGGATCAATGAACCTTATGGTGGCATTTATCCAATCCAGTGGCTGGTTGTTCTCTTAGAACTAGACTCCTGTGCATCTGTGTCCCGTATACTCATTAGTAATTGTTTAATATAGTGCGTTGTGGATCATGGATCAACCAAACAAGCTCCTTCATTCTGTAGGATTTAAAATTAAGGACACTGTTTTTAAAATTATTTTTAGAATCCATTATAGTAAAGGTTTTTCATGAAGCTAATGATACCAATCTACAAAATGTAACAATTTCTTAACATTACACTCTCTGATTTTAATGGTAGCTTAGTTTTGTCCTTCCCTCACATTGACTATATTTTTGGTAACTATAGGTTTCAGATGTAATTTTTTTTTGCTCGTTTAATTTTCCTTCCTAGGAGTAGCTAAGAATCCACTCAACATTCTTTAGTCTCATCTTGGCTATTCTAAATAATAACCAAGGGATCAAATCAAATTTTCACTTTTTCCTTATTAGTTTGCATTTGCTTATGCATTCAGTGAACTAATTCCCTGAGAGTATGAGTATGATCCATCTCTTAATTCCAGTGGTAAAATTTGCCTTTAGTGACTGAAGGCAGCCCAGCTGCAGTTCCATGCTGTGAGTGATCACAGGGCCACCCAAGGGTCAAAGTTTCTAATTTCCCACCCTTTTATTAGGTTAGTGCGATAGTAATTGTGGTTTTTGCCATTACTTTCATATGGCAAAAAGCACAATTACTTTTGCACCAAGCTAATATTTTTCTCTATATCCATTTAGTTTTATTTATATATATTTTTAATTTTAGAGTGACTTTTAAGGAGCCTCTGAACTATAAAAATGACATTTTCTTCAGCAAAAAAACACTTATGTTTTATAACTTTACTAAATCCACATCTAGCTGTCCTACTATTCTAATTCTTAGTAACCCAGATTCCCAGTGGAAAACCTATGATTACTTATTTTAAATATAAAATGACTTTAAAGATGTAAATTACTAGAGATAATAAAGATTGAATTTACCAAATTAATCTTACCAGAGATTACCAAAGTCAAGTAAACTAAAAGACATTAATCAAGATAATGTTTATCCATCTGATAAACATTCACATTATTTAAACCAATTAATTAGAGCTTTTTCTATAGTTTGGTAGTGAAATATTAAACATAACATATATACACATGTAGATAAAATAGACATATAGATAGAGGCAAATTGTATAAGATTTTTTATTTGCCTATTTTTAAAAATCTTTTTTACTTCAGACTGTTATTGTTACAAAATATTACAGGAGTAAACACAAGATGAAGGAGAAAACTTACTATCCTAGGCCTTCTCAAATGAGAGAAAAAGCTGAAGAAGCAGGGCACAGAAGTCAAACTTCTCAGATATTGATACAGGAGCTAAAAAAATTATTTGGGCAGATACTAGGGTAACAGAGTCTTCAGCAACATTTCCCTTTTAACAAAAATTGACCCCCAAATCATTCATTTTCTAACAAAGAGCATCCTGAAGAGTAAAGCTGAAGATGTAGTTAAGCAAGCTGGACGACGGCACATAGGAATACCAGCAGCTGTGCCAATAGAAAAGGGCTATCTGAAAGTCAGGTATGTTCAACATGTGTACAGTAAAAAAGTAGATAACAAGGCAGAGAACTAACCTGCATAATAAAAGATTAGGATTGGGCTGGCCAGCTTCCTCACATGTTATGCAAATTGTGTACATGGTTCAACCAATCTTTCACACCTTATGTCTGACAACTCCTTAAGATAGTCTATAAAACCTTGTGAATTTCACCACAGAACTGGAAACTCATTTTATCTGGGACCCTTCTCTCTGCAGCAGAGAGAAATTTTCTCTTTCTTTTGACTATGAAAACTTCAGCTCTGAACCTCACCCTGATGTGCCCATGTTTTAGTTTCCCATGGCTATGAGACAACAAATCTCAGGTATTACCCCAGATGAATGACACTGCCTCAATAACAAACTGAAAAATTTCAAAAAGAAACAGATTATACAATTAAAAAATTAAAAGCTTCTTTCCTTAACAGATCAAATACTTCTGGCCAAGCACAGTGGCTCACCCCTGTAATGCTAGCACTTTGGGAAGCCAAGGCAGCTGGACTACCTGAGCTCAGCCATTTTACACCAGCTAGGAAAAGATGGCCAAAGCCTTTCTCTACCAGCCTGAGAGGCAGAGGTTGTAGTGAGCCAAGATCACAGAAACAGTGAAACTCTGTTCCAGAAAACAAGCAAACAAACAAATAAGTAAACAAAAAGGTGTCAAATATTTTTAACAAAACCTTGTTCTAACCAATTATTTTTTTTGTATTGTGTATTTTTAAAATCAGTCATTTTTAGATTATTAATCTTTGTATTTAATTATAGCTATCTTAATCATGTAACTTTTTTATAAATTCAATTTTTAATAACGTTTTATGACTTACGCAAACCATTCACAATATGCCTGGACTTTTGGGTTTGTCCTGAACATCTCTCTTTGAAAACCAGTCATTTTATTTTAGTGCAAAAATTTGCCATTAAAGACTCTTTTTTATTAAAATTATTTTTCTTTTAATCTTTCTTACCAAAAATACCTCCCCATATCTATAGCTTTATTTCTATTTTATTTCCTTGTTACTTTTACTTCATTTTGTACATAACCTTAGAATTGGACACAATTATTTACCTTTAATAAGAACATATTTTTAGCAATATTTTTCTATAATTTTTAATTGAAAATTACCCAGATATTTAGTTAAATATCTGCTATTTAACATTACTTCAGGTTCTAAATTATGATGTTTACAAACATTTATTCCATGACATTTACCTAATTATTTTATTTTAATAGTTTATTTAGATTATGACAACTATGATAGTCATCAATTGAACGTTATTTCTTTGTCAACCATTTTTATAGCCTGTTAATTTCAGGTGTTTACTTAAGTAAAATATGTGGTTATTTTTACCAATACCTCAAGATTTAGCTTTTTAGCTTTTTCCACTAACTAACAATATTAAATGTTTTATCAAAAATTACACAAGCCACCAGGCCTGGCAGCTAATGCCTGTAATCTAAGAACTATGGGAGGCAGAGGTTGCAGTGAGCCAAGAGTGCACCACAGCTTTCCAGTTTGGGCAACAAAATGAGACTCTGTCTCAAAACAAAACAAAACAAAAATTACACAAGCAAAGACTGTTCTGTTTTTGACTGGGTTTATAGTTTTATAACCCATTGCCAAATTTATACACCATATAATATTTGACAAGAATAGGCATAAAATCACTTGATTAAAAAATGCAAAAAATGCTGACAATTCTTAAGACATTTCTATTATTACTTCACCAATAATTTTAAAGCCAGCTATTTATCAGAATTTTCTGAAGTCATATGCACTTAGATGTGTTTGGGCTTATTATTTACTAAATGTATGAGTACTCCTTAACTCAAGCCAATTTGGTAACTTGTGGCCACTAAGAACCTAACAGAATACATGTATGTACATGTAAACACGCATGAATATCCATAGAAATTCATAGAAAAATCCTACAGCTTTTATTTCAGAACTCTCACCATGAGATACCACAAACTTATCAGTTACAAAAAAAGTTTAAAACAAATGGTGGGTTTTTGCTTTTATCTCAACACTGGTGGAAAAGCAACAGCAGACTTAACCAGAAGAGAAAGTGGAGAGATAGACACAGAACTTAGAAACTTTCTAGTGGCAGGTTGATCTTCAGGCTCTGAATTTTCCTTGATGTAGTTTGTCCATCAGTTTAAAATGTGCACAAGAGCAGACCTAATGTGTAAGCAGCTGGAGTGCCAGAAACCCTGGAAGGTCCTCCCATTTACATCACCATTTGAAGGTACAGGTGCCATAAAACCAAAGGGGGTGCCTGAAAGTGAGTCATTCTCCTGGTCTTTTCTCATTCTTAGATAATTTGTTTTCCAGTTTTTTTCTTAAAAAGAAGAACTGAGCTGTGTTGTAGGGCTTAGTGTGATGGGTCAAAGTTTGCTGGTTGTGGGTGTGACTCAATAGTGTGTAATGACTGAATCATTTTCACCCTCTTACATATCTCAGTTTATCTATCCAGAGTTCTAGCACCTTCGAGACAGTCCAAAGCGTATAATGATCAGCTCCTCTCTGTGCCTCCTGGATGAGCCTTTTTAAACTAAGTTGATGATAGTTCCCTGTAGGGCCACTGCATATCACTGGGGTTCAACCCCACAGACACTCCTTCAATACCTTCAGTCACCAAGGGGCAACTTACAGCTGGGAGGAGCAAATGCCCTTGCTCTTCAGAGCTGAGGAAACTCAGTCTCTCATTTACCTGTGAAAACAATAGTTCAGCCCCTCACACAAATGTGCACACACGTCAAATTGAGATGAATTTTGGAAGGAAAGGCAATAGAGAAGACTCTTCAGAATGCTTTTCTGAGCTAGAATTAGGATTCTAAACAATAACTTCCTAAGAGGGGGAAAAAAGTCTTCGACCACTTTCTGTAAACTCTCCTCAGTCACTCCTAACTTTATAGCTCTTATCTGCCATTACACATGCCAAGGTCAAATCCTCTCACAGTACAAGATAATCTCTAGCCAAAGAGGCCAGGCAATGTAATACAAGAAAGCAGAGCTTTAGACTTAAGAAGAATCTCCCATGACTCTTGAAACTTCACCAACATCACCCCAAAAAGAGATAAGTGGAGTTTTGTTCAGAGTTCTTTAAGGTGTTTGAGGCACTAGAAACCTTCTCTAAATTTCTCATTTCTCTTAGTATCAAAGATGGCAAAAAGGAAAGGAAGGGAGGAATGAGGTGAAAGAAAAGTAAACAAGAAAGCAGTTCTTTTTTAAGACAAGAAGCAAACACGGAGGGTCCAACAGCCTCCCTGTCTGTCAGCTCACCATCACTGGGGCTTGTCAAGGCTGTAAACATCTGAGGGGTTTCTATCCTTGCTGCTGTTTTCTGGTGATCTCAATTAAAATCAAGATGCAGCATATCCCTCTCAAAACCCTTCAGTTGATACAGTGGCAGATCATGGTGGACAAGAGACAGGACTATATTAAAGCTCCCTCTCTGGCAGACACAGCAGTGTGTGGAGGGTCACATCATGAATTTTTGCTCCAGAATGACTACAGAAATAATTCAGGAAACCTGGGAGGATCCACAGACCCTCTGAAGGAAGTTGATTTCTCCCACAGGACCTGGGAGACACTGAAAATACTGTTTAGTGCCCAAACTCTGGAAGTGAGAAAGTGATACTATCCACTCCCAAACACACATCCCCACTGGAAAAACTGAAGGTCTAGATACAAGAGAAGATTCTGACCTTACCTGGAACTGAGTCAATTTAGAGGGTAAAGCAAAATACAGGGGTAAAGGAAGCAGTCAGAAAAGCCCTGTGAACTCAATGAGCCCCCTAACAAACCATTTCTGCCTGCCCTCACAGGAGTCCTTTGAGGGGATGGCCAGAGGCACTGCGAAAAGGACACAGGGAGAAAAAAATGTCCAGTTGAACTGTGTAGCAATTTAAATTGACCCAGAAATCTCCTGGCCAGAACTCAGAGGAGGATGTGAATCTTGTATGCAGACTCCACAGACAGGGGATGAAGGAAAGCAATAATTACTTTCAGAGCTGGGAGGTGGGTAGCCTCAGACAAGTTCTCAGCCCTACTTGCCCACTGCCTGGAAACAGTCTTGGTGATAATGGGGAAGGCATGGTGGGAGTGAGAGTGGCCCTTTAGATTGCATGGGAGCTGGGTGAGGCCTGTGACTGCCACCTTTCCCTGACTTTCTTGACAACCTGCATGACAAAGTAGAGACAGCCATGATCCTCCCAGAAATATAACTCCATTCACCTGGGAACTTCATCCCCATCCCACACCACAACAGCAGAAAGACCCATCCAAGGAGAATCTGAGCTCAGACACATCTAGCCCTGCCCCCACCCAGTGGTCCTTCTTTACTCACCCTGGTAATAGAGGACAAAGGGCATATACTTTAAATGTCTAGGGCTCCACACACCACCTATTCCTCCCCATACTACCACAGCTGATGCTCTCTGGAAAGGACCACCTCCAGGCAGGAGGCCAATCAGCATAAAAATAATGCATTAAACTACCAAAGCTAAGAACCCTAAAACCCCTGCTACCTTTGCTGAAACAAGTGCTGGTATCCATGGCTGAGAGAACCACAGACAATTCACATCCCAGGACTCTAGGCAGACAATGCCTGGTACCAGTGAAGAGCCCAGGAGACTTGCTGGGTGGCTAGGCATAGAAGAGAGATAACAATCATTAAACTGAGCTCTCAGGAAGCCACATCCATAAGAAAAGGGGGAGAGTAGTACATCAAAGGAACACCCCATGGTGCCAAGACCAGCTCAGTCAGGGAGACCCTAACCCACTGGCACTAGAGGAACAAAAGACACACACACAGAAATACACAAGTGTAGAGTGGGAAATCAGGGGTCTCAGCCTTTAGAGCTGAGAGCCTTGAACAGAGATTTACCCACATATTTGTTGACAGCAAGCCAGTGATAACCATTGTTTCTACAGATTATAGATTAACTAAAGGTATTTCTTTTGGGAAATAAAGGGATGGGCCGAAGTAAAGGGATGAGTTTGGCTAGTTATCTGCAGCAGGAACATGTCCTTAAGGCACAGATGGCTCATGCTATTGTTTTTGGTTTAAGAATGCCTTTAAGTGATTTTCCACCCTGGGCAGGCCAGTTGTTCCTTGCCCTTATTCCAGTAAGCCCACAACCTTCCAGCGTGGGCATCATGGCCATCACGAACATATCACAGTGCTGCAGAGATTTTTTTTTTTATGGCCAGTTTTGTGGCCAATTTATGGCCAGATTTGGGGGCCTATTCTCAACACCATGGGACAGAAGAATCTGAATAACAGCTTTCAGCCCTAGACTCTCTCTGACTGAGCTTACCCAGATAAGAATGAATGAGAAAACAAACTCTGATAATATGACAAAACAAGGTTATTTAGCACCCCCAAAAATTACAGTAGCTCACTAGCAATGGATCCAAGCCAATAATAAATTCCTGATTTACCTGAAAATGAATTCAAGAGGTTAGTTATAAAATTAATCAGGGAGCCACCAGAAGACAAACCCCAATGTAAAGATATAGAAAAATACAAGAAACGAAAGGAGAAATATTCAATGAAATAGATAGCATAAATTTTAAAAAATAAAAACTTCAAGAAACAACAGATAAACTTATAGAAATGTAAAATGCTTTGGAAAGTCTCAGTAATAGAATCAAACAAGTAGAAGAAACAAATTTAGAGCTTGAAGACAAGGTATTTGAATTAACCCAATCCAACAAAGACAAAGAAAAAAGAATAAGACAATATGAACAAAACTTCCAAGAAGTGTGGGATTATGTTAAATGACTAAACTTAAGAATAACTGGCATTTCTGAGGAAGAAATCTGAAAGTTTGGAAAATACATTTGGGGGAATAATTGAGGAAAACTTCCCCAACCTTGTTAGAGACCTAGACATCCAAATACAAGATGAACAAAGAACACTCAGGAAATTCATCACAATAAGATCATCAGCCAGACATATTGTTATCAGGTTATCTAAAGTTAAGATGAAGGAAATAATCTAAAGGGCTGTGATATTAAAGCATCACATAACATGTAAATGAAAACCTATCAGATTAACAGCAGATTTCTCAGCAGAAACCCTGCAAGCCAGAAGGGATGAGGTCTTATCATCAGCTTTCTTAAACAAAGCAATTAGGAGTGAAGAATTTTATATGCAGAAAAATTAAACTTCATAAATGAAAGGAAAGGTACAGTGTTTTTCAGATAAACAAATGCTGAGAGAATTCACCACTACCAACCCAGCACTATTAAGAACTGCTAAAGGAGGTCTAAATCTCATAACAAATCCTGAAAACACATCAAAACAGGACCTCTTTAAAGCATAAGTCTCACAGGTCATATAAAACAAAAATACAATTTAAAAACAATAACAAAAAAGGGGTACCATCAAAAAATAGCACAATGAATGAAATGGTACTGTTGCAGGAATTAAGGGATAGGAAAGACCAATGGGTGAAATAGGATTAAAAAAAGCCTAGACCACTTTCTGTAAACTGGAGGATTTATTTAGGTGCACTGGCCCAGTGGATTAACATCCAGAAGCTGAGCCTCAAACAGAGACAGGGCTTAACTTTTATACATGCAACTGAAGGGGGTTGTTGAACCAGTGGCAGGAAACTTGCAGGCAGTGTGGGCAAGCAAGCTTACAGAAGCAGAACAAACGCAGTTCATCGAACAGTGACAGGTGCTGCAACTTAGTCATGTCTCATGACCTTCACCATACTGCAGGTGGGAAAACAGGAACTTACAAAATCCTTGCAAACTTGCAGAAGTAATTACAAAAATAGTTATGAGAGCAGAACAAAGAATAATGGTATGGGGAGGGATTTCAAAGAGGGGATACTGATAAGAAAAACTTGTTTTTCTCATCCCTGCTCCTGAAGGCCATTCTTTCTGGGCCTCAGCTCTGCTGATAGTGCTGTCAGAATCCTGCTACAGTCTTGTTTATCACTGGGCCTTAGAGAGTGAGTTAGCCTAGTATAGAATACTTGTTTTGTTTTGTTTTCTTCTTTTTTACATCTCCTGCTTCAGTATCTCAATACTATCTCAATACTATCTCAATAGTAACATTAAATGTAAATGGCCTAAATGCTCCAATTTAAAGATACAGAATGGCAGAATGAAGAATTCACTAACCAACTATCTGCTGCCCTCAAGAGACTCACTTAATACATAATGACTCATAAAAACTTAAGGTAAATGGGTGGAAAAAGACATTTTATGCAAATGGACACCAAAAGTGAACAGAAGTAGCTATTTTTATATCAGACAAAAAATCTTTACAGCAACAGCAGTGTAAAAAGACAAAGAGGGACATTATATAATAATAAAATCTTTGTCCTAAAGGAAAATATCACAATCCTAAACATATATGCAGCTAACACTGCAGCTTCCAAATTTGTAAAGCAGTTCCTAATAGACCTAAGAAAAGAGATAGACAGCAACACATTAATAGTGGGGGACTTCAATACACCACTGACAGCACTGGCCAGGTCATCAAGAGAGAAGGTTAACAAAGAAACAATGGATTTACACTATACCCTGAAACAAATGGACTTAAAAGATATATACAGAACATTCCATTCAACAACTGCAGAATATACATTCTATTCAGCATTGCATGGAACATTCTCCAAGATAGACCATATGAGAGGCCACAAAATTGGTCTCAATAAATTTAAGAAAAGTAAAATTATATCAAGCACACTCTCAGAGCACAGTGGAACAAAACTGGAAATCAACTCCAAAAGGACCTTCAAAATCATGCAAATACATGGAAATTAAATAGCCTGTTCCTGAATAATCATTGGGTCAAGAATAAAATCAAGATAGAAACTAAAAAATTTTTGAACTGATCGACACATTGACACAATCTATCAAAACCTCTAGGATACAGCAAAGGTGGTGCTAAGAAAAAATTCATAGCTCTAAATGCCTACATCAAAATGTTTAAGGTCAAACCTCAAGGAACTAGAGAAACAACAGCAAACCAAACCCAAACCGAGCAGAAGAAAGGAAATAACTAAGATCAGAGCAGAACTAAATGAAACTCAAACAAGTGAACAAACAAATAAACAAAAAATAAATAAAACAAAAAGCTGGTTCTTTGATAGACCATTAGCAAGATTAACAAAGAAAGAAGAATAGAGAAAATCTAAATAAACTCAGTAAGAAATGATACAGGAGATATTACAACTGACACCACAGAAATTCAAAGGATTATTGAAGGCTACCATGAACACCTTTATGTGCATAAACTAGAAAACCTAGAAGAGACGGATAAATTCCTAAAAAGATACAACCCATCTAGATTAAATCAGGAAGAATTTGATACCTGAACATACGAATGACAAATAGTGAGATTTAAATGATAATTTTAAAATTACCAAAACGAAAAATCCAGAACCAGCTGGAATCACAGCAGAATGCTACCACACATTCAAAGAATAATTGGTATCAATCTTATCGACACTATTCCACAAGATAAAGAGGAAACCCTACCTAAATCACTCAATGAATTCAGTATTACCCAAATACCAAACCCAGAAAAGTGCATAACCACAAAGAAAACTAGTATCGTTAATGAACCAATATGCATAATAAACATAGGGATAAAGAAGACCAATATCACTAATGAATATAGATGCTAAATTTCTTAATAAAATACTAGCTAACCAAATCCAACAATGTATTAAAAAAATCCACCACAATCAAGTGGGTTTCATACCAGTGATGCAGAGATAGTTTAATGTATGCAAGTCAATAAATGTGATACAACACATAAGCAGAATTAAAATAAAAAAATCACATGATTTTCTCAATAAAGGCAGATAAATCATTCCACAAAACTCAGCATCCCTTTATGCTTATAACCCTCAGCAAAATCTCCATACAAGGGACACACCTCAATGTAATAAGAGCCATCTATGATAAACCCACAGCCAACGTAATACTGAATGGGGAAAAATTAAAAGCATTCCCTCTGAGAACCGGCATGAGACAAGGATGTCCACTGTCCCCACTCCTCTTCAATGTAGTACTGGAAGTCCTTGCCAGAGCAATCAGACAAGAGAAAGTAATACAAGGCATGTAAATTGATAAAGAGGAAGTGAAACTGTCACTGTTTGCTGATGATGTGGTTATTTACCTAGAACACCCTAAAGACTCCTCCAGAAGGTTCCTAGAACTGATAAAAGAATTCAGCAAAATTTCCAAATACAAAACTAATGTACAAAAACCACCAGGTCTTCTATGCACCAACAGGAACCAAAATGAGAGTCAAGTCAATAACTCAACCCCTTTTACAATAGCTAGAAAAATAAAATACTTCAGAATATACTTTACCAAGGAGTTGAAAGACCTCTATAAGGGAATCTACAAAACACTACTGAAAAAAATTATAGACAACACAAACAAATGGAAATGTATCCCATGTTCATGGATGGGTAGAACCAATACTGTGAAAATAATTATACTGCCTAAAGCAATCTACAAATTCAATGCAATTCCCATCAAAGTACCACCATCATTCATCACAGAGCTAGAGAAAATAATTCTAAAATCCATATAGAATCAAAAAAGAGCTCACATATCCAAAGCAAGTCTAAGCAAAATAACAAATCTGAAGGCATCACATTATCTGATTTCAAACTATACAATAAGGCCATAGTCACCAGAACAGCATGGCACTGGTATAAAAATAGGCACAAAAACCAATGGAAAAAAATACAGAACCCAGAAATAAACCCAAATGCTTACAGCCAACTGATTTTCTACAAAGCAAGCAAAAACATAAAGTGCAAAAAAGACACCCTTTTAAACAAATGGTGCTGGGATAATTGGCTAGACACGTGTAGGAGAATAAAACTGGATCCTCATCTCTTACCTTACACAAAAGTCACTCAAGATGGATTAGGGACTTAAATCTATCATCCAAAACTATAAAAAATGTAGGCAATAACATTGTAAAAGCTCTCTAGACATTGGCTTTAGCAAGGATTTCATAACCAAAACCCCACAAGCAAATGCAATTAAAAAAAGATAAATAGCTGGGACTTAATGAAACTAAAGAACTTTCACACAACAAAAGGAACAGTCAGCAGAGCACACAGACAACTGTGTTGGAGAAACAGACAACAGAGTGGGAGAAAATCTTCACAATCTATACATCTAACAAAGAACTAATATCCAGGATCTACCATGAACTCAAACAAATTAGCAAAAAAAACCAATTCCATCAAAAAGTGGGCTAAGGACATGAATAGATAATTCTCAAAAGAAAAATATACAAATGGTCAATAACTGCATAAAAAATGCTCAACATCACTAATATTCAGGGAAATACAAATTAAAATCACAAGGTGATACCACCAAACTCCTGAAAGAATGGCCATAATAAAAAAATAAAAAGAAACAGTTTATCTTGGCATGAATGCAGTGAACAGGGAACACTTCTATACTGCTGGTGAATATGTAAACTAGCACAAACAGTATGAAAAACAGTGTGGATATTCCTTAAAGAAGTAAAGGTAGAACTGCCATTTGATCCAGCAATCCCGCTACTGGGTATCTACCCAGATGAAAATAAGTCATTATACAAAAAAGATACTTGGGCATGCATGTTTGTAGCAGTGCAATTGGCAATTGCAAAAATGTGGAACAAAACCGAATGCACATCAATCAATGAGAGGATAAAGAAACTGTGATATATATATATACACACACACACATATAAAAATATATACATATATAATACATACAAAATATACATATACATATATACACATATGTATATATACATATATACACACGTATATATGTGTATATATATATACTCATATATATATATATGAATACTACTTATCCATAAAAAAGAATGAATAAATGGCAACCTGGTTGAGATTGGAATTTGTTATTCTAAGTAAAGTAACTCAGGAATGGAAAACCAAACATCATATATTCCCATTCCTAAATGGGAGCTAAGCTATGAGGATACAAAGGTGTAAGAATGACACGGTGGACTTTCAGGACTCAGGGGAAAATAATAGGAAGCAGGTAAGTGATAAAGGACTAAACATAGGGACAGTGTATACTGCTCAGGTGATGGGTGCATCAAAATCTCAC
Organism: Homo sapiens; assembly: GCF_000001405.40. Classification (NCBI taxonomy): domain Eukaryota; kingdom Metazoa; phylum Chordata; class Mammalia; order Primates; family Hominidae; genus Homo; species Homo sapiens. The sequence goes on from NC_000024.10 coordinate 13,680,045, forward strand.
CAATCACCACTAAAGAACTTACTCATGTAACCAAACATCACCTGTTCCCAAATAATGCATGGAAATAAGAAAAATGTTTTAAGAAACAAACACAGAAAACAAACGATTTTGTTTTGTCTTGTTTTGTTTTCCTGCTGCAAGGAATTTTAGCCACTTAAGAAGTCTTGTTCCTCGTAATTTGGAATTCTTATTCAAATTTGACAAAGTCAGGTAGCGTTGGTCCAGTCCAATAATAGAAAGACTACAACAACAACAAAAACCCAGAAATGTGATTTCTGAGCACTCTAATAATAACAAGAAATTAAGACAAGCTGGTTCTCAATTTTAAGTTTTAATCATGAAGGAGAATTTCCAAGACACAAACCCAATTTTTCTGTTACTTATCTAGTAATCAAGACTCAAGGCTGCTTTTCCCATTCTTAGAAGCAGGATAAAATACTCACACTTGGGAGGATTGTGGCAAGATGGTTGAATGGGAACAACTCCAGTCTGCAGCTCCCAGGGAAACCAATGCAGAGGGCAGGAGACTTCTGCATTTCCAACTGAGGAAATGTTGATGCTGATGAACAGGGAAATAACCGTGTTCATCTCACGAGGATTGGTTAGACAGTGGGTACAGCCATGGAGGGTGAGAAGAAGTAGGGTGGGGCATTGCCTCACCTGCGAAGTGCAAGGGGCCAGGGACCTCCCTCCCCTAGCCAAGAGAAGTCATGATGGACTGTGCTATCCAGCCCAGATACTATGTTTCTCCCATGGTTTTTGTAATCTGCAGACCAGGAGATTCCCTCGTGCACCTACACCACCAGGGCCCTGGGTTTCAGGCACAAAACTGGGCACCCATTTGGGCAGACACTGATTTAGCTGCAGGCTTTTTCTTTTTTTTTCATACCCCACTGGTGCCTGAAACCCCAGTGAGACAGAACCGTTCACTCCCGTGGTAAGGAGGCTGAAGCCAGGGAGCCAAGTGGTCATGCTCAGGGGGCCACACTCCCATGGAGACCAGCAAGTTAAGAAGCAATGGCTGGAAATTCTCACTGCCAGCAAAGCAGTCCAAAGTCGACCTGGGATGATTAAGCTTGGTGTGGGGAGGGGCGAATGCCATTACTGAGGCTTGAGTAGGCAACAGTGGTTAACAGACACCTCATACAGGGGAGCTCCAGCTGGCATCTGGCATGTGCCCCCTTCAGGGATGAAGCTTCCAGAGGAAGGAGCAGGCAGGAATCTTTGCTGTTCTGCAGTCTCACTGGTGATACCCAGGCAAATAGGGTCTGGAGTTGACTTTCAGCAAATTACCACAGACCTGCAGAAGAGATGCTTGAGTGTCAGAAGAAAAACTAACAAATAGAAAGTGACAATATTAACATCCCCAAAAAGGACCCCACCACACACAGAGAAACCCCATCCAAATGTCATCAGCCTCAAAGATCAAAGGTAGATAAATACACAGAGATGAGGAAAAAACAGTGCAAAAGTGATGAAATTTCCAAATATCAGAATGCTTTTTCTCCTCCAAATGATTGTAACTCCTCTCCAGCAAGGGAACAAAACTAAAAAGAGAATGAGTTTAATGAATTGACAGAAGTAGGCTTCAGAGAATGGGTAACAACAAACTCCTCTGAGGTAAAGGATCATGTTCTAAACCAATGCAAGGAAATTAAGAACCTTGATGAAAGGTTACAGGAACTGATAACTAGAATAACCAGTTTAGACAAAAACATAAATGACTTGAGGGAGCTGAAAAACACAGCATGAGGACATGGTGAAGCAAACAAAAGTAGAATAACTGAATCAATTAAGTGGAAAAAACAGTATTAGAGATTGAAGATCAATTCAGTGAAATAAAGCTTGAAGACAAGATTAGATAAAAACTAATGAAAAGGAAGAAACAAACAAATATGCGACAAACAAACAAAAGAAATATGCGACTATGTGAAAAGACCAAACGTAAGATTGAGTGGGCTCCCTGAAAGTGATGGGGAGAATGGAACCATGTTAAAAAAAAAAAACACTCTTGGCCGGGCGCGGTGGCTCACCCCTGTAATCCCAGCACTTTGGGAGGCCGAGGCGGGTGGATCACGAGGTCAGGAGATCGAGACCATCCCGGCTAAAACGGTGAAACCCCGTCTCTACTAAAAATACAAAAAATTAGCAGGGCGTAGTGGCAGGCGCCTGTAGTCCCAGCTACTTGGGAGGCTGAGGCAGGAGAATGGCGTGAACCCGGGAGGCGGAGCTTGCAGTGAGCCGAGATCCCGCCACTGCACTCCAGCCTGGGAGACAGAGCGAGACTCCGTCTCAAAAAAAAAAAAAACAAAAAAAACAAAAAACACTCTTCAGGATATCATCCAGGAGAACTTCCCCAACCTAGGAAGACAGGTCAACATTGAAATTCAGGAAATACCGAGAACACCACTAAGATACTCCTCGAGAACAGCAACCTCAAGACACATAATTGTCACATTCTCCAAGGTTGAAACAAAAACAAACAAACAAAAAAATGTAAAGGACAGCCAGAAAGAAAAGTTAGGTTACATAAAAAGGAAGTTTATTAGAGTAACAGCAGATCTTTCTGCAGAAACCATATAAGCCAGCAGAGAGTGGGGCCAATAGCCAACATTCTTAAAGAGAAGAATTTTAAACCCAGAATTTTATATCTAGCCAAACTAAGCTTCCTAAGTGAAAGAGAAATAAAATCCTTTCCAGACAAGCAAATGCTGATGGATTTTGTAACCACCAGGTCTGCCCTACAAGAGCTCCTGAAGGAAGCACTAAGTATGAAAAGGAAAAACCAGTACCAGCCACTGCAAACAAGCTTTAGACCAATGAAGATAAAAAAAGACAAGGAATGGCATTACACAATTGTAAAGGGATCAATGAAACAAAAAGAACTAACTACATTAATATATAAGCTCCCAATACAAGAGCACCCAGATTCATAAAATAACTTCTTAGAGACCTACGAAGAGACTTAGACTCCCACACAATAATAGTGCAAGGCTTTAACACCCCACTGTCAATATTACACAGATCAGCAAGACAGAAAATTAACAAGGATATTCAGGACTTGAACTCAGCTCTGGACCAAGTGAACCTAATAGACATCTACAGAACTCTCCACCCCAAATCAACAGAATATACATTCTTCTCAGCACCATATTAATACTTATTCTAAAATGGACCACATAAATGGAAGTAAAACACTCCTCAGAAAATGCAAAATAGTGGAAATCATAACAAACAGTCTCTCAGACCACAATGCAATCAAATTAGATCTCAGGATTAAGAAACTCACTCAAAAGTGCACAACTATTTGAAAAGTGAACAACCTGCTCCTGAATCATTACTTGGTAAATAATGAAATTAAGGCCCAATTAATGAAGTTTTTTGAAACCAATGAGAACAAAGAGACAACATACTAGTATCTCTGGAACACAGCTAAAGCAGTGTTTAGAGAGAAATTTATAGCACTAAATTGACACCCTAATATCCCAATTAAAATAACTAGAGAAGTAAGAGTAAATACATTCAAAAGCTAGCAGAAGACAAGAAATAACTAAGATCAGAGCAGAACTGAAGGAGATAGAGACAGGAAAAACCGTTTAAAATTCAATGGGTCCAGGAGCTGTGGTTTTGAAGACATTAACAAAATAGATAGACTGCTAGCCAGACTAATAAATAAGAAAAGGAGAAGAATCAAATAGACACAAGAAAAAATAATAAAGGGGATATCACCACTGATCCCACAGAAATAAAAACTACCATCATATAACACTATAAACACCTCTATGAAAATGAACTAGAAAATCTGGAAGAAATGGATAAATTCCTGGACATATACACCCTTCCAAGACTAAACCACCAAGAAGTCAAATCCCTGAATAATCTAATAAGAAGTTCTGAAATTGAGGCAGTAATTAATAGCCTACCAACCAAAAAAGTCCAAGACAAGATGGATTTACAGGACTGAATTCTACCAGAGGTACAAAGAGGAGCTGGTACCATTCCTTCTGAAGCTATTCCAAAAGATAGAAAAAGAGAGAATCCTCCCTAACTGATTTTATGAGGCTAGCAATTCCAAAACCTGGCAGAGGCACAAGAAAAGAAAATTCCAGGCAAATAGCTCTGATGAATATCGATGCAAAAATCCATAATAAAATACTGGCAAACTGAATCTAGCAACACATCAAAGAGCTTATCCACCACCATCAAGTCAGCTTCATCCCTGAGATGCAAGGCTGGTTCAGTATACACAAATCAATAAGTGCAATCCATCACATAAACAGAACCAAAGATAAAAACCATATGATTATCTCAATAGGCGCAGAAAAGGACTTTGACAAAATTCGACAGCTCTTCATTCAAAAACTGTCAATAAACTAAGTATTGATAGAATATATCTCAAAATAATAAGAGCTATTTGTGACAAACTCAAAGCCAATATCATAAGAATGGGCAAAAGCTGGAATCAAAAAGAGGCACAAGACAAGGATGCCCTCTCTCACCACTCTTATTCAACATAGTATTGGATGCTCTGGCCAGAGCAATCAGGCAAGATGAACAAATAAAGTGTATTCAAATAGGAAGAGAGGAAGTCAAATTGTCTCTGTTTGCAGATGACATGATTCTATATTTAGAAAACCCCATAGTCCCAGCCCCCAAACTGCTTAAGCTGATAAGCAACTTCAGCAGTCTCAAATACAAAATTAGTGTGCAAAATCACGAGCATTTCTATACGCTAATAATAGACAAGCAGAGAGTCAAATAGTAAGTAAACTGTAATTTACAATTGCCACAAAAGGGATAAAATACCTAGAAATACAACTTACAAGGGATGTGAAAAACCTCTTCAAGGATAACTACAAAGAACAAACTCAAGGAAATAAGAAAGGAAACAAACAACTGGAAAAAAAGTCCATGCTTATGGATAGGAAGAATCAATATCATCAAAATGGCCATACTGCCCAAAGTAATTTATAGATTCAATGCTATTCCTATCAAGGTATCATTGACATTCTTCACAGAACTAGAATAATCTACTTTAAATTTCATATGGAACCAAAAAGGAGCCTGTATAGCTAAGACAATCCTAAGCAAAAAGAACAAAACTGGAGGCATCATACTACCTGACTTCGAGCTATACTACAAGGCTACAGTAACCAAAACGTCATGATACTGGTACCAAAACAGATATACAGACCAATTGAACAGAACAGAGGCCTCAGAAGTAACACCACACATCTACAACCATGTGATCTTCAACAAACCTGAGAAAAATAAGCAAAGGGGAAAGGATTTCCTATTTAATAAATGGTGCTGGAAAAACTGGCTAGCCATATGCAGAAAACAGAAACTGGGCCCCTTCCTTACACTTTACACAGAAATTAACTCAAGATTAATTAAAGACTTAAATGTAAACCTAAAGCCATAAAATCCCTAGAAGAAAATCTAGGCAATAGGCATGGGCAAATATTTCGTGACTGAAACACCAAAAGCAATTGCAACAAAAGCCAAAATCAAGTAATGGGATCTAATTAAGCTGAAGAGCTTCTTATCAGCAAAAGAAAGTATCGTCGGAGTGAACAGGCAACCTAGAGAATGGGAGAAAATTTTTGCAATCTATTCATCTGAGAAAGGTCTAATATCCAGAATCTAAAATGAACTTTAACAAAATTTATAAGAAAATAAACAACTTCATCAAAAAGTGGGCAAAGGAATATGAACAGATCCTTCTCAAAAGAAGACATTTATGCCACCAACAAACATATGAAAAAAAGTCGTCAATACTGCCATTAGAGAAATGCAAATCAAAACCACAATGAGATACCATCTTGTGCCAGTTAGAATGGTGATCATTAAAAAGCGTGGAAACAACAGATGGTGGAGAGGATGTGGAGAAATACAAATGCTTTTACACTGTTGGTGGGAGTGTAAATTAGTTCAACCATTGTAGAAAACAGTATGGTGATTCCTGAAGGATGGAGAACCAGAAATACCATTTGACCCTGCAATCTCATTATAGGGTACATACCCAAAGGATTATAAATCATTCCTCTATAAAGAAACATGCATACATATGTTTATTGCAACACTATTTACAATGGCATAGACTTGGAACCAACCCAAATGCCCATCAATGATAGACTGGATAAAGAAAATGTGGCATATACACAACCATAGAATACTAGGCAGTCATAAAAAAGAATGAGTTCATGTCCGTTGCAGGGACATGGATGATGATGGAAACCATCATCCTCAGCAAACCCACAGGAACAGAAAACCAAACACCGCATGCTCTTACTCATAAGTGGGAGTTGAACAATGAGAACGCATGCACACAGGGAGGGGAATATCACACACTGGGACCTGTTGGAGGGTGGAGGGAAAGAGGAGGGAGAGCATTATGACAAATACTTAAGGCATGTCAGGCTTAAAACCTAGATGACAGGTTGATAGGTGCAGCAAACCACCATGGCACCTGTATACCTATGTAACAAACTGGCACATTAAGCACATGTATTCCAGAATTTAAAGTAAAATAAAATGAAATAAAACAAAACTCACACTTGTCTTCCTTGTTAAAAATTAACTACAATTCCAGAAAGTGGGTTCCCACTCTCTATAGTCATGGAAGCAGGAAAACTTTCCTTCCTTCTTGGAAATAAGTAAAACTCCAGAAAAGGAGTTGTACAGGAAAATGAATTTCAGATCTTGACCAAATTTTGTGAGATCAGGGATTCTCCAGAGGTGAGGGGTTTTCAGGCCTCAGAAAATTGCCCTACTCATTTGTGCCGTAAGGATAGCTCAAGGTAGTACCAAACAGCCATAGAAGGCTTGTCAAATATCAGGGGAGCCTCCACTCGGACAGAATCCCTTTGTGGTTACCAATTGTGAAAACAAAGTATCTGAGACAGATCTCTATCAGTTTAGAAAGTTTATTTTGCCCAAGTTAATGACACACCTGTGACATGGCCTTACAACATCCTGATGATATGTGCCCAAGGTGGTTGGGGTAAAGCTTGCTTTTATGTTTTAGGGAGATATGAGATATCAATCAATATGTGTGGGATATACAGTAGTTTGATCTTGAAAGGTGGGCCAAATTGAAGCAGGGACTTCCAGTTCCTAGGTAGATTTTAAAATTTCTCTCTCTCCCTTTTTTTCCCTTCCTTCCTTCCTCCCTTCCTTCCTTCCTCCCTTCCTTCCTTCCTTCCTTCCTTCCTTCCTTCCTTCCTTCCTTCCTTCCTTCCTTTTCTTTCTCTTTCTTTCTTTCTTTCTTTCTTTCTTTCTTTCTTTCTTTCTTTCTTTCTTTCTCTCTTTCTTTCTTTCTTTTTTTCTTTCCTTCTTTCTTTCTCTTTCTTTCTCTCTCTTTCTCTTCTCTTTCTCTTCTCTCTCTCTTCTCTCTCCTCTCTTTTCTCTGCTCTCTTTTCTCTCTTCTCTCTCTCTCTCTCTCTCTCTCTCTCTCTGTCCTAGCAACTCGGATTTGCCATGTTGTCCATGCTGGTCTCAAGAAATTCATCTACCTCACCCTCTCATGAGCCACTGTGCCCAGCTGTTTTCAACATTTTCTGATTGGCAATTGACTCAGAGAGTTACTCTTTAAAGACATCAAATCAATAGAAAGAAAATATTTGTACTACAATAAGGGATTGTGGAGACCAACATTTTTTCATTCAGATGAGTCCCTAGATAGCAGGCTTCAGAGAGAATAGATTGTAAATGTTTCCTATCAGACTTAAGGTCCATGTTGATGATAAATGCTGGTCGGCTTTTCCTGAGTTTCAAAAGGAAGGGGAGGGGTGTATAATGAGGCATGTTTCTCCCTTCCTTCTCATCATGGCCTGAATTAGAGGTTAGTTTTGGAATGCCCTTGACTGAGAGGAGGAGTCCATTCAGATGACTGGGGGGCTTGGAGTTTTAATTTTGAGTTACACAGTTTTAATAAAAGAGAGTACTTTTTCCCACATTTTCATTCTGCAATCTACCCAGAGTTAAGCTAAACTTTATAATTTACTATCAGTCCTCCAGAAGACTGTGATCACTTCAGATACCAGTCCTTAGTTCAAAGATCCCAAGGGTTGTCTCTGTCTTCTAACCAACTGGCTAAAAATTGGAATGTTCCCATAACTATGGTGGAGTTCATCAATTTGCTAAAATGACACAGGAACTCAAGACAGTGCAATGCTTACATTTACAGTTTTATTATAGTAAAAGGATAAAGAGCAGAATTAGCCCAAAGAAGTAATTCACAAGGTGAAGTCTGATAGGGTTCCAGGTGCAACACTTCTGTCATCCTTAGGGATGTGCTATCCTCCCAACATGAAAGTGTGCCAATACTCAAGGAGTAATGTCAACCAAGAAGGCTCACCTGAGCTTGGGAGTACCAAGATTTTATTGAGGCCTCACATAGGCATGATTGATGAAATCACTGGCCATAGGTTTAAATCTGCAGCTCCCCTTCTCCCCTCCAGAGATTGGGCTTATATCTCACAGCTCAAAGCCCTAACCCTCTAATCAGCCAGTCCCTATCCTGAGTCATCTCATTAGCATAAACTGTCCAGTGTAAGCCATCTCAGTATTATAAACAATCAGGCCTGGTTCAGGGGGCCCACTAGGAATAACAAAGACCCTCCAATCACCTAGGAAATTCCAAGGGTTTAGAAACTACTTCTCAGGAGCTAGAGACAAAGGTCAGCCAAATTCTTCATTACACAAAACCAAACACAGTGTTCTATCTACAAAAGTAAGGAATTCATGCAAACATAATCATAGAGTGTAAAATATAAAATTCAGACACTAAAATGTCTCATCCTGACTTAAACTAATATTGTATCCCTGTCTAGATTAAAAAATAGAAAGATTGATGTCCAATTGTATGTCTAGTCTTTGCAACAAATAATATAAGTAGTAAAAAAAGATACACATACACATGCTGGAAAAGCTACTTTCACAAATGAGTAAATTTACATGTTTGTAAGTCAAGCAAATCTGAGAAATCAATTCTTGGATGACAAAAACTAACAAAATACACCACCATCACCATCGCTGCAACTACTACAGCAAAAGCAGGTGTGTTATTGTTGGCTTAGCATTAAGAACAATTCCAGTACCAATATATCATGTTTTATGGTAAAGGGGCCATGGCACAGAAAGAGTTAAGATCACCTGAATCTCACTGCACCCCTACCCTTCTCCTATCTCCTCATAATCAAACTCTGGGTAATGAGAAAATGTTTTTTTTTTTTTTTAAATTTTTATTTTCATTTTCCTTCGATTCTTCATTGAAAAGAAATTCATGTAAAATAAAGTTCCACCATTTCAAAATGGACACTTTAGTGCATTCACAGTATTGTGTAACTACCATTTCTATCTAGTTCAGTTTTTATCACCACCAAAAGGAACTCCAACCTATCAAGCAATCACTCTCCTTTCCTCGCTCCTCCAACCCCCTGACAACCACTAATCTAATTTCTGTCTCTCTAGGTTTAATTATTCTTGTAATTTTATGAAAACCGAGTCACACAATATGTGGTCTTTTATGTCTGCCTACTTTCACTAGTATAACATGTGTGAGAGTCATACGTGTCATAGGATGTGTTAGAAATTCTTTTTTTTGATATGGAGTCTAGCTCTGTCACCCAGCTGGAGTGCAGTGGTGCAATATCTCGGCTCATGGCAACCTCCACCTCTCAGGTTCCAATTGTCCGCCTCAGCCTCCCTAGTAGTGTTCACATGGGATTACAGGCACCCACCACAATGCCCAGCTAATTTTTGTAATTTTACTAGAAACAGGGTTTCACCATGTTGGCCAGGCTGGTCTTGAACTCCTGAGTGACCTCAGGTAATCCACCCACCTCAAGCCTCCCAAAGTGTTGGGATTACAGATGTGAGCCATCACAACCAGCCAGAACATCATTCCTTTTCGTGGCTGAATAATATTCCATAATATAGATATGTTACAACCTATTTGTCCATTCATACATTAATGGACATTTGGGTTATTTCCAGTTTTTGGCTGTTGTCAATAATGCCACCATGATGAAGTGAACAAGTATATTTGAATAATTGCTTTCAATTATTTTGGGTATGTACTTAAGGGTGAAATCACTGGCATTTTATCCTTATTCTTTGCAATATTGGTAGAATTGGTGGAAATTGTGCCTATTATTTCTATGTTAGGTGTAAAGTAAATACAAGGATGAAGTACTATGATGTGACCTTCTTCCCCTGGCAAGCGTTCTGCAAGTGCAAGCATCAGAGAGAACTAAAAAAGCCATTGGAGATGCTGACACAGGCTCGCTCTGTCACTGGCCTTGGTACATATCAGTAAATTCTGATAAGCAAGTAAGCTAAGCTGTAGACATCCCTCCGACAGGAAAAACTAACCTGAAAGGAAGGAAAAGAAGAGAACTGGTGTATGCTCCTCTCATAGTCCCTAGAAAAATGCAGTGACTGCTCCAGGATACCAGCTCTGGGGCAACTAGGCTGAGATCCAAGTTTTGTAGAAGGTGAATGGTCTGGATCATCCTATGCAAACACTCAGACTGATTCACTAGCACTAGCAAGGGGTTAATGTCAAGGAGCCTTGAAAAATTCCAAGAGAGCTGGCCAACTTAGCTGCAAAATTAGGACAAGACAGTATAAGAACTCCAACAAGGAACCACTGGAGGTGATGTTGAAGAGTTCCTCTCTCGAGGTCAAAGATTTCCTGGGGTTGTTTGCTATGCACAACTGTGGCCCAGCACCAGGTCAAAAAGATTGGCCCTCAAATAGAAAATCAAAGGAGGAATGAAGAATTCCCCCAATGCTAGCATTAATGCCACTGCCTCTACTTGGAAACCTTGATGTGAGAACTTTGGTCCAGTATCCCTATCTCCTGCAAGGTAGGCTGGAGTTGGGTAAGAGAACCAAGACCCTATGGCCTCTTCATTGTGCCAGCCAAATGAAATTGTGTTTAGGCTCCATTGTGACTAAGAAGCCCATTGTTTTGTGCTTTAAAGTTTGGTTTCCTCTGGTTTCCTAATGAAATTTTTTTTTCTACATTGCCCTCCCTTTCTCAAGTGAAACAAGAGTAACAGGAAGTGCCCTCATCTGGAAAGTATTGGTGGACATGACCTAAGAGGTCATTATAGGCAAAGGAGGGGACATGTGAGTACTGGCCCATTTTTGGGTCCAGGAAAAAAATAGTAGCATGGAGGCACTCACAGAATGAGAATCTAAAAGCGGGAGGGCTGGCTTCAGAATTTAGGAGACACAGTGCAAAATGGGGACCATTGTTCAAAATTATTAAGAATTTCGAGGGAGGAGCCAAGATGGCCGAATAGGAACAGCTCCGGTCTACAGCTCCCAGCATGAGAGATGCAGAAGATGGGTGATATCTGCATTTCCATCTGAGGTACCGGGTTCATCTCACTAGGGAGTGCCAGACAGTGTGCACAGGTCAGTGGGTGCGTGCACCATGCGTGAGCCAAAGCAGGGTGAGGCATTGCCTCATTCAGGAAGCACAAGGGGTCAGGGAGTTCCCTTTCCTAGTCAAAGAAAGAGGTGACAGACTGCACCTGGAAAATCGGGTCAATCCCATCCAAATACTGTGCTTTTCCGATGAGCTTAAAAAACGGCACACCAGGAGATTATATCCCTCACCTGGCTTGGGGGGTCCTATTCCCATGGAGTCTCGCTGATTGCTAGCACAGCAGTCTGAGATCAAACTGCAAGGCGGCAGTGAGGCTGGGGGAGGGGCGCCCGCCATTGCCCGGGCTTGCTTAAGTAAACAAAGCAGCCTGGAAACTCAAAATGGGTGGAGCCCACCACAGCTCAAGGAGGCCTGACTGCCTCTGTAGGCTCCACCTCTGGGGGCAGCGCACAGACAAAAAGACAGCAGTAACCTCTGCAGACTTAAATGTCCCTGTCTGACAGCTTTGAAGGGAGCAGTGGTTCTCCCAGCACGCAGCTGGAGATCTGAGAACAGGCAGACTGCCTCCTCAAGTGGGTCGCTGACCCCTGACCCCTGACCAGCCTAACTGGGAGGTAGCCCCCAGCAGAGGCAGACTGACAACTCACATGGCCAGGTACTCCAACAGACCTGCAGCTGAGGGTCTTGTCGGTTAGAAGGAAAACTAACAAACAGAAAGGACATCCACACCAAAAACCCATCTGCACATTACCATCATCAAAGATGAAAAGTACATAAAACCACAAAGATGGGGAAAAAACAGAACAGAAAAACTGGAAACTCTAAAAAGCAGAGCGTCTCTCCTCCTCCAAAGGAACGCAGCTCCTCACCAGCAACGGAACAAAGCTGGAGGGAGAATGACTTTGACGAGTTGAGAGAAGAAGGCTTCAGATGATCAAATTACTCTGAGCTATGGGAGGACATTCAAACCAAAGGCAAAGAAGTTGAAAACTTTGAAAAAAATTTAGAAGAATATATAACTAGAACAACCAATACAGAGAAGTGCTTAAAGGAGCTGATGGAGCTGAAAACCAAGGCTCGAGAACTATGTGAAGAATGCAGAAGCCTCAGGAGCCGATGTGATCAACTGGAAGAAAGGGTATCAGCGATGGAAGGTGAAATGAATGAAATGAAGAGAGAAGGGAAGTTTAGAGAAAAAAGAATAAAAAGAAATGAGCAAAGCCTCCAAGCAATATGGGACTCTGTGAAAAGACCAAATCTACGTCTGATTGGTGTACCTGAAAGTGATGGGGAGAATGGAACCAAGTTGGAAAACACTCTGCAGGATATTATCCAGGAGAACTTCCCCAATCTAGCAAGGCAGGCCAATGTTCAGATTCAGGAAATACAGAGAACGCCGCAAAGATACTCCTCGAGAAGAGCAACTCCAAGACACATAATTGTCAGATTCACCAAAGTTGAAATGAAGGAAAAAATGTTAAGGGCAGCCAGAGAGAAAGGTCAGGTTACCTCAAAGGGAAGCCCATCAGACTAACAGTGGATATCTCGGCAGAAACTCTACAAGCCAGAAGAGAGTGGGGGCCAATACTCAACATTCTTAAAGAAAAGAATTGACAACCCAGAACTTCATATCCAGCCAAACTAAGCTTCATAAGTGAAGGAGAAATAAAATACTTTACAGACAAGCAAATGCTGAGAGATGTTGTCACCACCAGGCCTGCCCTAAGAGAGCTCCTGAAGGAAGCGCTAAACATGGAAAGGAACAACCAGTACCAGCCACTGCAAAATCATGCCAAAATGTAAAGACCATCAAGACTAGGAAGAAACTGCATCAACTAATGAGCAAAATAACCAGCTAACATCATAATAACAGGATCAAATTCACACACAACAATATTAATTTTAAATGTAAATGGACTAAATGCTCCAATTAATAGACACAGGGTGACAAATTGGATAAAGAGTCAAGACCCATCAGTGTGCTGTATTCAGGAAATCCATCCGACGTGCAGAGAGAAACATAGGCTCAAAATAAAAGGACGGAGGAAGATCTACCAAGCAAATAGAAAACAAAAAAGGCAGGGGTTGTAATCCTAGTCTCTGATAAAACAGACTTTAAAACCAACAAAGATCAAAAGAGATAAAGACGGCCATTACATAATGGTAAAGGGATCAATTCAACAAGAAGAGCTAACTATCCTAAATGTATATGCACCCAATACAGGAGCACCCAGATTCATAAAGCAGGTCCTGAGTGACCTACAAAGAGACTTAGACTCCCACACATTAATAATGGGAGATTTTAACACCCCACTGTCAATATTACACAGATCAATGAGACCGAAAGTCAACAAGAATACCCAGGAATTGAACTCAGCTCTGCAACAAGCGGACCTAATAGACATCTACAGAACTCTCCACCCCAAATCAACAGAATATACATTCTTTTCAGCACCACACCACACCTAATCCAAAATTGACCACATACTTGGAAGTAAAGCTCTCCTCAGCAAATGTAAAAGAACACAAATTATAACAAACTATCTCTCAGACCACAGTGCAATCAAACTAGAACTCAGGATTAAGAATCTCACCCAAAACTGCTCAACTACATGGAAACTGAACAACCTGCTCCTGAATGACTACTGGGTACGTAATGAAATGAAGGCAGAAATAAAGATGTTCGTTGAAACCAGTGAGAACAAAGACACAACATACCAGAATCTCTGGGACGCATTCAAAGCAGTGTGTAGAGGGAAATTTATAGCACTAAATGCCCACAAGAGGAAGCAGGAAAGATCCAAAATTGACACCCTAACATCACAATTAAAAGAACTAGAAAAGCAAGAGCAAACACATTCAAAAGCTAGCAGAAGGCAAGAAATAACTAACATCAGAACAGAACTGAAGGAAATAGAGACACAAAAAACCCTTCAAAAAATTAATGAATCCAGGAGCTGGTTTTTTGAAAGGATCAACAAAATTGATAAACCGCTAGCAAGACTAATAAAGAAAAAAAGAAGAATCAAATAGATGCAATAAAAAATGATAAAGGGGATATCACCACCGATCCCACAGAAATACAAACTACCATCAGAGAATACTACAAACACCTCTACGCAAATAAACTAGAAAATCTAGAAGAAATGGATAAATTCCTTGACACATACACTCTCCCAAGACTAAACCAGCAAGAAGTTGAATCTCTGAATAAACCAATAACAGGAGCTGAAATTATGGCAATAATCAATAGCTTACCAACAGAAAAGAGTCCAGGACTAGATGGATTCACAGCGGAATTCTACCAGAGGTACAAGGAGGAACTGGTTCAATAGAAAAAGAGGGAATCCTCCCTAACTCATTTTATGAGGCCAGCATCATCCTGATACCAAAGCCGGGCAGAGACACAACCAAAAAAGAGAATTTTAGACCAATATCCTTGATGAACATTGATGCAAAAATCCTCAATAAAATACTGGCAAACCAAATCCAGCAGCACATCAAAAAGCTTATCCACCATGATCAAGTGGGCTTCATCCCTGGGATGCAAGGCTGGTTCAATATACACAAATCAATAAATGTAATCCAGCATATAAACACAACCAAAGACAAAAACCACAGGACTATCTCAATAGATGCAGAAAAGGCCTTTGACAAAATTCAACAACCCTTTATGCTAAAAATTCTCAATAAATTAGGTATTGATGGGACATATTTCAAAATAATAAGAGCTATCTATGACAAACCCACAGCCAATATACTGAATGGGCAAAAACTGGAAGCATTCCCTTTGACAACTGGCACAAGACAGGGATGCCCTCTCTCAGCACTCTTATTCAGCATAGTGTTGGAAGTTCTGGCCAGGGCAATTAGGCAGGAGAAGGAAACAAAGGGTATTCAATTAGGAAAGGAGGAAGTCAAATTGTCCCTGTTTGCAGATGACATGATTGTATATCTAGAAAACCCCATTGTCTCAGCCCCAAATCTCCTTAAGCTGATAAGCAACTTCAAAGTCTCAGGATACAAAATTAATGTACAAAAATCACAAGCATTCTTATACACCAACAACAGACAGAGAGCCAAATCATGAGTGAACTCCCATTCACAATTGCTTCAAAGAGAATAATATACCTAGGTATCCAACTTAGAAGGGATGTGAAGGACCTCTTCAAGGAGAACTATAAACCACTGCTCAAGGAAATAAAAGAGGATACAAACAAATGGAAGAACATTCCCTGCTCATGGGTAGGAAGAATCAATATCATGAAAATGGCCATACTGCCCAAGGTAATTTACAGATTCAATGCCAACCCCATCAAGCTACCAATGCCTTTCTTCACGGAATTGGAAAAAACTACTTTAAAGTTCATGTGGAACCAAAAAAGAGCCCGCATTGCCAAGTCAATCCTAAGCCAAAAGAACAAAGCTGGAGGCATCACACTACCTGACTTCAAACTATACTACAATGCTACAGGAACCAAAACAGCATGGTACTGGTACCAAAACAGAGATACAGATCAATGGTACAGAACAGAGCCCTCAGAAATAACGCTGCGTATCTACAACTATCTGATCTTTGACAAACCTGAGAAAAACAAGCAATGGGGAAAGGATTCCCTATTTAATAAATGGTGCTGGGAAACTTGGCTAGCCATATGTAGAAAGCTGAAACTGGATCCCTTCCTTACACCTTATACAAAAATCAATTCAAGATGGATTAAAGACTTAAACATTAGACCTAAAACCATAAAAACCCTAGAAGAAAACCTACGCTTTACCATTCAGGACATAGGCCTGGGCAAGGACTTCATGTCTAAAACACCAAAAGCAATGGCAACAAAAGCCAAAATTGACAAATGGGATCTAATTAAACTAAAGAGCTTCTGCACAGCAAAAGCAACTACCATCAGAGTGAACAGGCAACCTACAAAATGGGAGTAAATTTTCGCAACCTACTCATCTGACAAAGGGCTAATATCCAGAATCTACAATGAACTCAAACAAAATTTACAAGAAAAAAACAAACAACCCCATCAGAAAGTGGGTGAAGGACATGAACAGACACTTCTCAAAAGAAGACATTTATGAAGCCAAAAAACACATGAAAAAATGTTCATCATCACTGGCCATCAGAGAAATGCAAATCAAAACCAAATGAGATACCATCTCACACCAGTTAGAATGGCAATCATTACAAAGTCAGGAAACAACAGGTGCTGGAGAGGATGTGGAGAAATAGGAACACTTTTACCCTGTTGGTGGGACTGTAAAGTAGTTCAACCACTGTGGAAGTCAGTGTGGCTATTCCTCAGGGATCTAGAACTAGAAATACCATTTGACCCAGTCATCCCATTACTGGGTATATACCCAAAGGACTATAAATCATGCTGCTATAAAGACACATGCACACATATGTTTATTGTGGCATTATTCACAATAGCAAAGACTTGGAACCAACCCAAATGTCCAACAGTGATAGAGTGGATTAAGAAAATGTGGCACATATACACCATGGAATACTATGCAGCCATAAAAAATGATGAGTTCATGTCTTTGGAGGGACACGGATGAAATTGGAAATCATCATTCTCAGTAAACTATCACAAGAACAAAAAACCAAACACCGCATGTTTTCACTTATAGGTGGGAATTGAACCATGAGAACACATGGACACAGGAAGGGGAACATCACACTCTGGGGACTGTTGTTGGGTGGGGGGAGGGGGGAGGGATAGCATTGGGAGATATACCTAATGGTAGATGACGAGTTAGTGGGTGCAACGCACCAGCATGGCACATGTATACATATGTAACTAACCTGCACATTGTGCACATGTACCCTAAAACTTAAAGTATAATAATAATAAAATTATTAAGAATTTCAAAATGATGGCAGCAGAATTTAAGGCAAGTACCGGGTGCTTCTGAGCATGTGGCCCAGTGCTGCTCCTTGGCTGTGTAACTGTGAAGCCAGTCCAGGATAGGCCAAATCATGAGGGTCAGCCAAGGAGGCTGATCTTGGCCTATCTGGCTTTTCCCTTCAGATATGAGCCAGTGATCCATTACCTACACTTTGTTTTCCTTACCATAGAGCCATTAACCACCTCCTGCTGATGATCTTAATACTGTATTTTATATAAAAGCTTTGACACCCACGGAAGAGGCACATTAAAATATGAAAACACTTATTACTTGCTAATGATAATTCTGCTTCACAATAGAGCAAAAGGTTTGTCATTGGGAGTATGTAATGGCTCCCCTTTAAATATGATATTGAACCTAGTAATTTTTTAAACCACTGTAACATGGATGATTTCTTAAAAAAAGACTGAAGGAGTGAGAAGCTCAGGAAAATTACCAGTGTTCCAGATACGCAATTCCC
This sequence comes from Homo sapiens, assembly GCF_000001405.40. Lineage (NCBI taxonomy): Eukaryota > Metazoa > Chordata > Mammalia > Primates > Hominidae > Homo > Homo sapiens. The sequence goes on from NC_000024.10 coordinate 13,697,834, forward strand.
TTTATTTCTTGTGCACTGGCCATGTAGGAGGAGGCAAAATGAGCAGATTGATTTTCTGTAGTGAAATAATTTGAAAATTGGGGTAGGCAAAATTTTAACGTAGATGAAATAGCCAGACAGCTTATTGAGACAGAATATAACTTTACCCTTATCTGGTCTATGGATCAAAGTTTTTCAAAAACATTAGGATTCTAGAGAAGTTTAGTGTTTAAATAAGGCAGCTGCTGAGCCACCCAGTCTGAGTCCAAATGCTGCTTTTGGCTTTTGTGATGTGTTCTTGGGAAATTTATAATCACTCTAGGATTCCCTCATCTCCAAAATGAAGAAACTAATGGTGCCACTGTCATAGGACTGTGTGAGGATTTGGGAAATACTATATGGTAAGCTCCCCAGTATATGGAAAACACTGAGAAAGTGCTTGCCGTTATTACTTCTATGGTTACGACCATGATTTTTATTATCATTATTCTATAACCTGGCCCCTGACAGGTTCCCAGAATTATTTCCTGTCATTATCTCTCATTTTAGGTAAATGCCTGACAAGCTAAGGTATTCATTGCTCCCTGCATAACTCAAAGATTCTCTGCTCCCATATTGTTCCCTGACTATGTGGAGGCTGAATAACCATTTGGAGGGGATGTTATAGAGGAAAATTCAAGCCACAGAAGGAAAACTGGGTTGAAGGAGATCCCCTTCTACATTTCTTTTGGTTCTAACATTTCCACTGGATTAATAAAGCAACAGGACAATTAGCAGCATGGCACTCTGCACTCAGCACTGAGTACTCTAGAAGGTATTCTTTCACTCCTCTTTGTTGTTATCCTCTGCTCGCTTTTCTCACATTTGCATGGGTTGCCTTCTGTACCATCACACTTTGTAAAATTTGGGTCCACTAAAAGTGAGAATCTTGGAGAAAGATGTATTTCAGTTAAAAGTAAGGCAGATTATGGGTCTCATGAAAGTGCTTGGCAGGTAGATCCGAGAGTTTGGTTTCTAGCAAATTGCTTAACATTTTCCCACCCTCAGTTTCTTTTAGCAGTAAAAATGAAGATATTGTACCCACTACTATAGGTACTAATTTTAATATAGGCACTAATGTAGGTGGGTACTAATAGAGTGAGAATTGAATAAGATATTATATAAAAGGGCTTAACTGAGAGTACAAGATATAGCTAATCCACTAAGTATCATTTCTCTTCTTTCTTCTTTTCCCTCTCTATCATTAATAGGGGAAACTGGGCTGTGGGGGGTGTGTGTGTGTGTGTGTGTGTGTGTGTGTGTGTGTGTGCGTCTTTTCCTTGAGACAGGGTCTTCCTCTGTAGCCTAGGCTGGAGTGCAGCAGCCTGACCACAGCTCACTGTAGCCTCCACCCCTCAAGCTCAAGTGACCAGCCCCTCTCAGCGACCTGAGTGGATGGGACTACAGGTCAATGCATCGAGCTCCTGGACTCAAGGACTCCTCTCTCTTCAACCTCCCAAAGTGCTGAGATTACAGGTGTGAGCCAGTACGTCCAGCCTGGGCTGTGTCTTTTTGTTTTGTCTTGTTTTTTGAGACAGACTCTCATTGTGTCACCCAGGCTGGTGTATAGTGGCATGATCTTGGCTCACTTCAACCTCTGCCTCCCAGGTTCAAGCCAATTCTCCTACCTCAGCCTCCCGAGTAGCTGGGATTACACTCATGTGCCACCATGCCTGGCTGATTTTTGTATTTTTAGGAGAGACAGGGTTTCACATGTTGGCCAGGCTGGTCTCGAACTTCTGACCTCAGGTCATCCATTCACCTTGGCCCCCCAAAATGCTGGGATTACAGGCATGAGCCACCGTGTGCCTGTCCTTGGGCTATGTCTTTAAGAGGATTTAGATTCCCATCAGTGGAAGGAGGATTCCACTGTGAGGGAGACCAGGATGAGCAGATGGGTACTGCAGGGGCCACAGGGGAGTCTTGGGTGCAGGCAGGTAGGGCAGATGGTAGGAGCCTTTGAAATCCAGTGAAATCCAGACAAAGAACTCTGGGCTTGACCAAGCAAGGTTGTTGTTGTTGTTCTTCTGTTTCTCCTCCTCTTTCTTCTCCTTTTCTTCTGGTAAGTTCTCTACAGCAAATTAAATAGGTTAATTTTTAACCTATTTAATTTTCATGAACTTAGATTTCAGTAGGCACTGTGGCCAATGAGATGAGGAAGAAGTTCAGGCTAAAGTGTTTTTTATTCAGCTTACATTGGAGAGCCCTCAGTCCGGAGTGCACCACGCAACCTGGAGTTACTAAGGGCCTTTTGCACTATCTCTGCCTGTCTTCCAAATTGGGATTGAAAACTCCTCTCTTAATGGTGATTGTGCTCAGCATATTCTAACTGACTTATACGTGTTATTTTCCTTGGGACAAGAATTTTCTCTAAAATCTAGAATAGTAATACTAAATGGATTTAATTATCTGCAGAAGAAAATAAGCTGATTAGAGTCTAAAGTAGCTCCGTCACTTAAGAAAGTCAATTTAATGAAGTGTGAGAACTGTTCATTGAGCAACTACTATCCTCCAGACATTGTGGAAAGCAAAACAGCCTCCTCTTCTTACAGTGTTCCTGGTGATTCTCAGGCACAGAATAGGGAAATAAACGTGAGAACTTTTATGTGCCCTTTAGTATATATAACGGGGTTATCTCAGTACTTTGTTATAGAAAGCCATAACTCATAACTCTGTTACCTACATAAGGGTTCTTTAGGCCTCAGTTTTGTCATCTATAAACCTCTCTTTATGGAGAGGCAGTAGAAATGAAATGAAAAAAATTGTAAAACTCACAAAACTTGACTTTTAGAAGGTGTCAACCAATAGGAACTCGTATATTTTATTCACTGTAAAACTAACAAAAGACCTGATTTTTACTGGTACTTTATAAGACAAATCATAATATCAAGACATCTAAAATGTTTAATTTATTCTAAACAGTAAAACAGTTACTTTATTATTTTGTCCCCAACCTTCCATCCTAATAATACTAACAGTGCAATGAGCTTACTAATTGTCATGCACTCCAGAGCATTTAATCCTCCCAATCTGTGAGGTCGGTACTGCAATGAACCCATTTTATAGATGAGAAAACTCTAGCACAAAAAGATTCATTCACATGGCCAGTCATGTAACTTTTAAAAATATTCCTTTGGTTTGCACTTCCTTGTATCTGAACAACCCTTCCCTTTCCATTCTCTGTAGGTTTCCTGACCAGTTGGCAGGTCAAGCCCAATCAAGGGAACTCTTTTCTTTTAAGCAGGTCACCTCTCTCTCTTCTCTTTGTTCCCACCTGCCTATCGGTGTCTCCGCACAGTGGAAAGCTGCTTGCTACCGCACTGGAAAACTTCTCCAGACGTTTCCAAGTTTGCATTCGACCGTCTCCTTTAGGGAATTGATTCAGTGAGGCCTAACCCTTTCTGAGAAAAGCCTTTGGGAGAAGAGGCCACAAGAAGGTAGTGGCACTCCTTTGTCATCAGGAGACATGGGGAGGAAATAAATGACTTTCTACAGCAGCTGGGTGAGGGGAAATGGAATCGCAGAATCTGCGGGAACGGTGTAGGTACAACGGCAGCTGCAGGCTGAACGGGCGAAAAGCCACCCTGCAAGATCTTTTCTGTTTCAACGATGAAGTGGACTCCCAACATGGAACAGGGAAGGGGGACTGTTACCAGACAGGTGACATTCGGTGCACGCACGAACAGGTCCTGTGCCCCATTCGGAGGGCAAGAAGGCAGCCACCCAGCAGAACATTACCTAGGGAACCAGATGGCACCTGCCTCTGCTCATCCCCACCTTCTTCCTCCCTAGGAAAAAGGAAGTCAAGCAATTGAAGAAACGGGGAAGTCTGTGACTCTAATCCCCAGCGACACAAAAACCTGTGCCATCAAAATAATTAGCAACGGATTTCTAAAAAACATTTGCTCAGGTTACAGAAAAAAAGAAATATTTTACACACTGCCTTGTCTCAGAAATAATCACAGTTAGGCCTCTTTGTAACCGGCGGGTCTTCCTTTCACACGCCATTTGCAGGCGCAGGACATGGTATTTGTAACTAATTTCCATTAGCAAGTGGGTCACTGGAATTCACAGTCAGGTGTCATTTTGAAAAGTGCTTCCCTCTACCCAAATCTTTTATATTTCCAGATGCAGTTGCACTTCGGAGATGTCCTAGTGCTGGAAGCACTCCCTTAAAAATATAGTTTGATTTTTGAATTTTATCTTATGATGTTAGAGGTAATGGGACTATAGTCTTTGGAATTCAACACAGTCCTTCTTAGCAATCACTCTGACAATTTATGAATATAAAAAACAAGAAGGAAAAGAATTTCCTCATTGTCAGGCAGTAAGTCAATGGCAGAGCTTCAAATTGACTTATTTTGCTAAGAGGGAGCTATAAACTCCAGACAAATTACTCTACACCCAGAGTGTAGAGTACAATATTACCCTACACTCAATATTACTGTTGAGTGCCTACAAAAATTATGCTAATGAAACAATATGGATGTTACAAGGCTGAAAGTTTCTCTTTTAAAATCACTGAGGGTTGCTTTACCTTCTGCCAAAGGCAAGAGGAACGCCAGTGAGGAAGAGGTCCGGGGTGGGGCGCATAGGCCTCCACTGGTCTGAAAGCTGAGTCACAGGAATGATATCCCTGTAGCTGACCAGGCACTCCAGGGAGGGACACCGCGCCTTTGCGTGCGTATGTCCTCAGTAGGTAAAGCCAGTTTCTCAGTAAAACAATGCCTGTTACCCTAGGTATTACTCCGACCCTTAAATAATATGCACCAGTCCGCAAGAGCAATTTTTACGCTCCTGTTGTAAAAGGGGAAAATGCGTTTTGAAGGAAGTGTTGGAAGGTGCTTTGCTCATTTTATCTTTCGCCATCGTTGTGGTTAGGGGGCAATGGTGCACCTAGGGTGGCGTTGGGGCTCCCCAACCGCCCGGCAGCTTTCAGACGCCCTTCCGAGACGTGGAGCGAAAGACTTAAGCGGGCCTGTGGGTGACATCAACTCATTTACATAGGAGGGCTATAAAGTAGCGCCTGCCCATCCCGTCCTGGCAACTCCGCGGTGGACACTGTGTAGACTAGATTTCACTCCCTTACGCGCCTGGCTTAGGTAAGCCCCAGGGCCCCTGCATCCTTACTCCTTCTACCCTCCCCTTCATGCCGCGCTTGCCCCTTCATTATTCGCGTCCCTGTGAAGACATCCCCTAAAGCCAAGCCGAGTGATTATCCCCGGGAAAGCTGCCTTGGGGAGGTGGGGATGCGAAACACCCTAGATGCTGGGTAATGCGGTGGGGAAATCGATGATTTAAGAACAAAGCAAATAAACCGGCGTTTATGTACTGCCGCTCGGAGGGTTCGTGTTAAAATTTCTTAGTGTGCCGAGGCGGGCGGATCACGAGGTCAGGAGATGAAGACCATCCCGGCTAAAACGGTGAAACCCCGTCTCTACTAAAAATACAAAAAATTAGCCGGGCGTAGTGGCGGGCGCCTGTAGTCCCAGCTACTTGGGAGGCTGAGGCAGGAGAATGGCGTGAACCCGGGAGGCGGAGCTTGCAGTGAGCCGAAATCCCGCCACTGCACTCCAGCCTGGGCGACAGAGCGAGTCTCCGTCTCAAAAAAAAAAAAAAAAAAAAAAAAAAAAAAAAAAAAAAAAAAAAAAAAAAAAAAAAATTTCTTAGTGTTTGCTCTCAAAGGTATTGTGCGTTGTCTTGGAGGCTGAGATGTGGGAACAGACAGATCCTTTGTTCTGAGGCTCACTCATCTCCCGAGCCCCGAGCCGTCTCCCAGCCTCAGACGGCTCTGCGGGCTGCATCTGTGCAGCCTGGCAGCGGCGGCGCTGCGCTGTGACATTTTCACAGCCCTTCTTGCAGAGGCATGTGTGCTAGGGATGCCGAAATGCCGAGAGCGCCGGCAGGACTAGCTTCCGGGCCGCGCTTTGTGTGCTGGGCTGCAGTGTGGCGCGGGCGAGGAAGCTGGTAGGGCGGTTGTCGCAAGCTCCAGCTGCAGCCTCCGCCTACGTGAGAAGACTAGAAAGCGGGCGCAGGACCAGGCCTGCGTTGTTTGCAGAGAGGCCGTGGCTACAAAATGGAAGTGCTTTTGCGACCTGGGCTCCATTTTAGGAATTCTTGCCCGATTTTAACCACTTGAACGCGGAAGTGGCTTTCCTATTCTCTTCCAAGCCAGCCTTTAATTTTAAACGCTGTAATTAACAGTTCACAGGGGTCAAATTCCTTTATTCCGGAACATTCCACTTTGAGAGGGATCTGTCCTCTTTGGTCCCCTGCGTTTTCAAATATTTGAGGAAAGGTGTCGCCTCTTTTTCTGTGGAAAGAGGAAGCTCATGAGCGCGAAACAGCAGGGGACGGAGGGCGAGAAGGGCTTTCTCAGGTTGCGGGTCGGAGGGCAGAAGCACAGTTCCCAGTACAGAGACCCGGACAGGTGGCTGTTTCTCACGCTCACTTTGGATTGCTCCCTACGGCTTCCTCCGCAGCCATGTCTGACAAACCTGGTATGGCTGAGATCGAGAAATTCGATAAGTCGAAACTGAAGAAGACAGAAACGCAAGAGAAGAATCCATTGTCTTCCAAAGAAAGTAAGCTCCGATCCTCCCCCATCTTTAGAAAGGCTGGAATGCGAGCGGGCGGTGGGAGGGCGGGAGACTGGGAGCTGCCACGGGAAGAATTCGGGAGGCAGGGGAGGGCGCTCAAGGAGCAGATAGTTGGTGAATGTGGCTTGCAAAGGTTAATTAAAAATCAGATAACTTTTAGTGCAGTAATCCCAACACTTCGGAAGACCAAGGCGGGGATCACCTGAGGTCAGGAGTTCGAAACCAGCCTGAGGAAACCTCGTCTCTACAAAAAATACAAAATTAACTTGGTTTGCTGGAGGGCGCCTGTAATCCCAGTTACTTGGGAGGCTGAGGCAGAAGCATTGCTTGAACCTGGGAGGGGAAGTTGCAGTGAGCCCAGATCCTGCCACTGCACTCTAGTATGGGTGACAGAGGGAGACTTCATCTCAACCAAAACAAAAACAAACAAAACAATAGGGCGATCCTTAAGGGGGAAGGTTGCATGAACACAGGGTTCATTAATTTAATAATGCAATATTTAATGCGCTATAATAATATACAAACACATTTATCACTGAAAATGTACGGCTATTTAATATACTCAATATACATTTTTTATTTGATTATGACATGCCTAGCTAGGTACACTTGCAGAACGTTTAGGATATGACAAGATGTTGCAAATGAAAGCCCCTTAATTCCATATTAGGCTGTACTGAAACCCCTTAATCATCCCATCCATATTAGGCTGTACTGAAACCCCTTAATCATCCCACTCCATCTTTTTCCTTTTCTGTTTTTTTCTGGTCGCAGCTATCGAACAGGAGAGGCAAGCAGGCGAATCTTAAACAGGCATGTGCCACCAATATCTACTGTACATTCTACAAGCATTGCTTTCTTATTTTACTTCTTTTACTTGTTTAACTTGGTTAGATGCAAACACGTTGGATGAGTTTGAAAGGACTATGCTGCCCTTTTGACATCAAAGACCTGCTGACAATGGAGGCCACGCCTGCTTCTCCCATCGCCTGTCTGGCTGGCAGGGAAGGAAAATAGCTTGAATGTTGGTGAAAGACTTAGCGGAGTGGGAGGGCAGTGAAATCTAGAGTAAAACCAAGTTGGGCCAAGTGTCCTGCAGAATCTAAAATGAAGTTTAATCAGCGTGCCATTTTTGTTGTTGTTTGAAAGATTTTAATTTTTGGAATGCACAGTTTTTATTTAAAAAAGACATTTTTAAACCACTGCTTGTGAGATTGCTTGTTGATTGGAAAGAGTGTTTTATTCACCATTTAAACGTTTGCAAAGTGGCGTGCCCCTTGGCCTCACAGGCAAAGAATAACTTAAAAGCTGACGATTTGAATAAATTATGTTACAGTATGAAATATGTTTTACCTGGATATGTAAAATACCTTCTTTATTCTAGCTAATTGGGAGATGATTTTTTTTGGCTAATTGAGATTACCTTTAGATTATGTTTTCAAAACTGGCTTATACTGTAATCTACAACTAATAAGCACTAATTTAGAGTTCAGCTATATTGTTGCATGTAGTGAGAAGGGACTTAATTACAAACTTAAGACGTAAGTGTGCAATAAAGTAAGCTAAGAAGAAAATATGCTTCTAAGACCTGTATTTACTTGGTTTATATTTTCCTTAGCTTTTTATGTAACGTTTTATCTGTGGTCACATTGACATGCTTGGGCTATCCCTACTCCTGGCTTCTGAGACCGGTGGGCAGGGTTCATGCATGCACTGTGCGCGTGCACTCTTCATTGTGGGCATGCACTGTGTACTCTTCCTTCTATTTCCCAAAGTGCCTCACATAGTAATGGACATACATGATGGCTTTAATATACACTTTGCCCCCGTAGTTGTTGGAGAGTTATTAAACATGCTTCTTTTGAGGTCCCTTTGAACACATGCATATCATGTGAAATAGTACAATATTAAATATATTTTTAAAATGTATTTACACAGGAATTTGCCACTGTTTTTGATTGTGCTGATTTGAATCAATACGTATAGTCAATTATATACTATTATATATTATTAGTCCAGAGCATTAGATCATTAGTTCATTCAGCCAGTATTTATTGAGTGCCTCCAACATGACAGGTGTCTTTTTTTTGAGACGGAGTTTTGCTCTGTCGCTTGGGCTAGAGTCTAGTGATGCGATCTCGGCTCACTGCAACCTCCGCCTCCCGGTTCAAGCAATTCTCCTGCTTCAGCCTCCTGAGTAACTGGGATTACAGGCTGCACCACCATGCTGGGCTAATTTTTGTATTTTTAGTAGAGAGAGGGTTTCACCACCTTGGCTAGACTGGTCTTGAACTCCTGACCTCAGGTGATCCACCTGCCTTGGCCACCCAAAGTGCTGGGATTACAGGCCTGAGCCACTTTGCCTGGCCCATGCCAGCTATTTTTATATGCCATAAGAAATACAGCCTTAACTAAAAAGATAGTATCTTACATTGTGTTTCCTTCATCAGCTAGAAGATGTCCTTTTCCTCTAAATCTGATTATGAACGTTTTTATATTTATTTTAGTTATTTATTTTTGTGAGATGGAGTCTTGCTCTGTCACCCAGGCTGGAGTGCAGTGGTGCGATCTTGGCTCATTCCAAGCTCCGTCTACCTGTTCAAACTATTCTCTTGCTTCAGCCTCCTGCATAGCTGGGACTACAGGCGCTCAACCACGAAGCACAGCTAATTTTTGTATTTTTAGTAGAGATGGTATTTCTCCATGTTGGCCAGGCTGGTCTCGAACTCTTGACCTCAGGTGATCCACCCGCCTTGGCCTCCCAAAGTGCTGGGATTACAGGCTTGAGTCACTGCACCCAGCTGAATGTTTTTATAAAGGTATCTAAAATTATTATATCCAGATTTCTCCAAAGCTCAATGGTCAATGAATTCTGATGGAAACCAACTGATGACTTGCATTGCAGTAAAATATTTTATGAGCATACACAAATTGGACATTATAACTGTTGTCTGATATCTTCCAAGAATTCTGAGGAATGCTCCAGATCTAGAAGTGAGTGGAATGGATGGATGCCATTTTAAAATCTTTTACTAAGACTTTGTTATGTAGATGTTGTATTTTTTGAAGAACACTTTCCTGGTAAATTCTTGCCATTCTTGTGTTAGTCTTGTGGGATTGTTGTGGGCAAAAACAGTAGCTCACATGTTAAAGTCCTTCAAAGAACTTAGAAAAATAATAAAACCACGTGGATAATTTGGTCACTTTTTTGTAGGATTTTACAATTTTGAACCTTGGCTAGAGGAGCAAGTTATGGTTGTGATCCACTGAAGGCATTAGAGCTATTCCTGTCACATTATTATCAAACAGGAAATTATGTCTTTCTTCATTACCATATTGAGCTTTTAAGTTGCTGATATCCTTTAGCTACATGAACACCTCATGATAATGTCCCAATTTAGAAATAAAAATATTTCATGAAAATATAATATTTATAATAGTTAATATAATATACAGTATGTAATATATATTATAGTTCTTATAATGTTTACATATATAATATTAAGTTATTAGTATATCATGTAATTCATTATTAATTAATATTATACTTAATTATTCCAATATACTATGCATATAGCACTATCTGGTGATTTTAACCTAAAATAATGACTTCGTTAGAGGATGGAAAAAGTCACTATTTACTCAAGAAACATTAAGCACATACTGTGTGCCTTGCTGTTTTCCAGTTGCCATGAATAGAAAGATGAACAAGACTTGAGCCTAGTCTTGGTCTAGTCAGAAAGACAGACCTGTGTATGTGAATAACTATGCACAGCATGAATCATGTATCTGCTCATTACCCAACAACTATACATTGAGTTTCTGTTTTGTAAGATGTTGGGCAGGGAGATAAATGAGAACTATACTGTGAAGGGTATGTCCCTGGCTAAGAAATTTGAAAGTTATTCTTAGGTAATTGGAAGATAACAAAAGTAAAATCCTTTCATCCACATGAGGCAGCTGGTATACTATTTCTGTTTAAAAATGAGTTTACAAGAAAGGAGGGCAAGGAAGAAACTATCCATATTTGTCATTAAACAAGCAGATTAGTACCCTCTGTTATAATAACAATATGAGGTGGTAATACATCCTTTATTAGTATTTCTTAGTTCACATTTCAATAAGACAGGCTGTAACACATACACAGTATACTTTTCATGGCCATTGCTATCAGTTTTAATAGAGATGTGGAAATAACACCTATAAACACCTCAGAAATAACATCAGTGGTTTGAAACCAGTTGTATGTTTGCTATCATTATGGAGATAAATAACAGAAGAGTAAATAGATTTCAAATTACTAAATTATATATATTTTTGGCAGAATCATTGACGTATACAGTTTCTTAGACTATATCTGTACATTAAAAACTTAACAGCAACTGTATTGTCAATTTGAAATCAATATATCTTCTAGATGAGGCAAAATTTTCTGGTGGTTGAAGTCGTAAATTGGTGGGCAGGAACATTTTACTAAAAAGGTAGATTTGTAAAAGGAAGGGAAAATTAAAGTTTTGCATATTAATCAGAAAGTTGCTCCATGATATAAGAGGTGATACGGAAAATCTTATAGGATCCCTAAGTGAGTACACACAAAAGGTCAGGGATTGGAGATAACATCGAAGGTTTGGACTCAGTTGTATGTTTGCTATGATTATGGAGATAAATAACATGGGTAACCATATAATAAAACACTTCTGGTAAAATAAATGTATACTCTAATAAAGGGAAGATATACTGTGAGGGCAAGTCCGAAAAGTTAGAAAAAATATTAATGGGTTAAAGAAGAATATAAACTGGATTATTTGAAGAAAGCATTGTAATGCAACCCTGAACTCATCATTTTAAGAATTATTGATAATTTAAACTAGGAATCCAAATTCTTACATGCAAACATAAATTCTTAAAGCATCATATAAGCCTAAGGTAATTCTCTAAAGTTCCATTAAGGTTCCTCTTTAGAAGTTCAGTGTTACAAAAGAGATGCATGAATACATTCAGGCATTAAGAACAAACATATTTTCTGGGCATGGTGGCTCATGCCTATAATCCCAGCACTTCAGGAGGCTGAGTCGGACACATCACGAGATCTTGCCCATCCTGACCAACATGGTGAAACCCTGTCTCTACTAAAAATACAAGAACTAGCTGGTAGTGGTGGCACATGCCTGTAGTCCCAGCTACTCAGGAGGCTGAGGCAGGAGAGTCGCTTGAACCCAAGAGGTGGAGGTTGAAGTGAGCCGAGATTGCACTATTGCACACTCCAGCCTGGTAATGGAGCAAGACTCTGTCTCAAAAAAGAAAAGAAAAGAAAAGAAAAAAGAACAATCATATTGGCGTGTAGTGTATGGGCCTTCATCCTATTAGGACTTTTTTTCTGATATAGGTCATGAAGTTTCCTAACAGGAGGGTGGGATACCAGAGTGAATTCATTTAAGTCTTCAACCAGGTTTCAAAGAATTAATTCTTCAAATGAAAGAAAGAGGTAAATCCAAAGTTGAATCTAATTCACACATTTAGAACCATCTCCATAAAAAGTAACTCCACACTTTTGGCCATATTTCTTTGAAATAACTGTGGTTTATTTTGTTCCTGTTCCTCTCCTAGATACTGACATCTAGTAATGAGCAGAATCTAAGCATTTAGCTGTACCAATTTTGGTTCATTATCATCTTCTTTGCAGGCTAAGTATTTCCATTGAAGTTTGATTAGGGTGTGAGGGTGATTTTGGGCTTTGCATCATAGGACCAGCTGAATGATAACTGTGGAGGCCTGCACTTACCTAAGGAAAGAAGGATGAGGTAGACAAGGCAGCGTGGTAGCCAAATTAGACAAAGGGCTATCATTATAAAACTTACTGCCCCATCCCATTGTTATGACAATTTCAGCCATATCCAAAGCATAGGTTTCAAACAACAGGTCATGCTTCTTTACAATGTCAGGAAATCAGTTGGTTCTTGTCAGCATTAAAAACAAAAATACAATTAGTGCATGACAAGTAAAATAGAGGGTAAAAAACCCACAGAGAAAATAAATTTAATGAAATGTTTCTTCAAAAAGTTTTTAAAAATTGAAAAATCATTATCTGGATTGTCTAAGAAAAAATGGAAAACTAAAAAGAAAGCAGGACATTACTACCAATTTTACAGAAAGCAAAGATTATAAAACAATACTGTGAACAATTATAGCCATACAAATTGGATGACCCAGAAGAAATAGACAAATTCCTAGAAACATACAAGTTACCAAGAATAATTCATAAAGAAATAGAAACTCTGAATATACCTATAATTAGTAAGGAAATAAGAGTCAATAAACAAAAGCACATGCATGTGTGCATACATGGACACAAGTTTGGGAACAAAGGGATTCACTGACAAATTCTACCAAGTATTTAAAGTAATATTAACATCAATCCTTTTGAAATGCTTCCAAAAATTAAAAATTAAAAAAGGAACACTTTCAAATTCACATTATGAGGCTGTGACCCTTATACTAAGGCCAGACCAAGATACTATGAGAAAACTACAAGCCAATATTTTTGGTGAGGATTGTTGCAGAAACCCTCAACAAAATATTGGCAAATCAAATTTACTATCACATTAAATCCCAGCACAAACAAGTAGGTTTTATTCTTGGACCAGAAGGATGGTTCAATATACCAAAAATTAATAGAGTGAAAAGAAAAAATTGTTCTTTTATGATTGTTTCAATTGATGCAGGAAAATGATTTTAAAGAATTTAGCACCCTTTCAGGACTAAAAAACAAACTAACTATAAATTTGGAACAAAAGAAAACTACCTCAACATAATGAATGTCATATTTACAAATCCTGTAGCTAACATTATTCTCAATAATGCAAGACTGAAACCTTTTCTTTTAAGATAAACAACGAGACAAGGAATTCTGCTTTTGTCACTTCTATTCAACAAAATATGAGTACTAGAATTTCTAGCTGGAGCAATTAGTCAAGAAAAGGAAATAAAAGTCATTCAAGTAAGAAATGAAGAAATGAGTAAAACTCTTTTTTCACAAACAACATAATCTTAAGGTAGAAATCCCTTTATAAAGATTCCACTCCCTAAAATGTCAGTAGTAAACAATTCATCAAAGTCACAGAATACAAAGTCAGTATACACAATTAGTTTCTTCTGGGTGTGTGGTTCACACCTGTAATCTCAGCACTTTGGGAGGCAAGGGTGGGTGGATGGCTTGAGCTCAGCAGTTCAAGACCATTTTGCATGATATGGCTTGGCTCTGTGTCTCCACCCAAATTTCATCTCAATTTGTAATCCCCGTGTATCAAGAGAGGAAGGCGATTGGATCATTGGGGTGGTTTCTCTCATGCTGCTTTTGTGATAGTGATGAGTTCTCAAAAGATCTGATTTTTTTTTATAAGTGTCTGACATTTCCCCTGTTTGCATACTTCCTCCTGCCACCATATGAAAAAGGTCCTTGCTTCCCCTTTGCCTTCTGCCATGATTGTAAGTTTACTGAGGTCTCCCTAGCCATGTGGAACTATGAGTCAATTAAACCTTTTTGCTTAATAAATTACCCTGTCTCGGGTGTTCTTTATAGCAGTATGAAAATGGACTAATACGCTGGACCAAATGACAAAATGCCATCTCTACAAATAATACAAAAAATTAGTTGGATGTGGTGATATGTGCCTGTGGTCCCAACTACCTGGAAGTCTGAGGTGAGAGGATCACTTGAGCCCAGGAGGCAGAGGCTGCAATGAGCCAAGGTAGAGCCACTGCACTCCAGCATGGGTGACACAGCAAGACTCTGTCTCCAAAAATATAATAATAATTATAATAAAAGATAATAATGTTTTTGTATACTAACAATGAACAATCTTAGTAAGAAATTTTTAAAAAACAATGCCAGTTTAGCCAATAAGTAAATGAAAACTTGCTAAGCATCACTAATCATCAGAGAAATACAAATGAAAACCAACCACGATGATATATTAACTCATACCTGTTAGAATGCCTATCATTAAAAGAAAAATTGATAATGCTAACTAGAATGTGAAGAAAAGACAATCCTTGCACACTGTTGGTGTGAATGGAAGTTAGTAGAGCAATTATGGAAGACAGCTTGGGAGTTCCTCAAAAACCGAAAATTGAACTATCACGTAGTCCAGCAATCCCACTACTAGGTATATGCCACACAGAAACAAATCCAGTACATCACAGAGATATCTTCACTCTTAATATTCATTGCAGCATTATTCATAATAACCAAGATATAGAAACAACCTAGGTAACACTAGATAAATGTATAAAGAAAATGTGATTTACATATACAATGGAATACAGTATGACAGTTCCTCAGAATAGTAAACATTAAGTTATGATATGGTCCAAGAATTTCACTTCTAAGCATACACACAAAATCATTGAAATCAGGGGCTTAAGCAGATATTTGTGCATGTATGTTCATAGCACCATTAACAGCAGCCAAAAGATGGAAGCCTAAATGTCCATCAATAGAGGAGTCGAAGAATTATGGCCTTTCCATTCAATGGAATATTGTTAGCCTTTAAAAAAATGCTGAAACATGGACAAACCTTCAGATATTATGCACTGTAAAATAGGCCAGTATGCAAAGACACACATTATGTGATTCTATTTATACACATACACCAAGTTTCTTGCCTTGGTGTATTGGAAGAATTGGGTCACATGGGGGCTTGGAGAATGAGTGCAAGGTTTTATTGCGTGGAGGTACCTCTCAGCAGATGGGGGAGCCAGAAAGGAAATGGTTTTCTCCTGTAGTCAGGCAGGTAGGGGTCCTGCGCTCTCCTCCCACTGCCCCAGCCAAATTGTGCATTGTTTTGCTTGTCCGTGGCTGCTAGCCCTGCCAGTGCCTGTTGGCGTGCTCTTCTGCAGTGTGGTGTGGGCGATAGCCGCTGGTGTCTTTTTCTGCTGCTGTTTTTCTCTTGAGGTACAGCTCCTTCTGCCTCTTCCTTGCTAGTTTCTCCGGTATTTATAGGTCCAGGATGGGGGCGTGGCAGGCCAGGGTGGTCTTGCAAAATGCAACATTTGGGCGGGAAGGCAGAAATGCCTGTACTCACCTAGTTCCATGGGGATGGAGCCTTATCCAGGGCCCATACACTCCTCTGTCCAGCACTTCCCTTCCCCTCTTCTGCATCATTTAAAGGAACCATGCTCTTATCAATCAATTCTATTGATAAACTAATATTGAAGAAGGCGTTGTTCATGTAGACAACATGGTACAAAACTGAGGACACAAAAAGCTTGTTTCTCAGAAACTCAAAGAAGAACATTGCTTGCTGAGGGCTACAATGAAGAAAAGTGAGCACAAAATGAGGCTTGGCAAGTAAATTAGGACAGATAACATAATTTTTAGTTTACTATTTTTAATGGGAACATATGAAGCAATTGCAAGGGCTTGTTAAGAAAAAAGTTTGATGGGATTTATGTGTTTTTGCAGGACTCTGTGGTCAGCTAGGAGGACCAGAGATGAAAGCTAAAGGGGTCAGTTTGGTGGGGGGATAATGAAATAGGTTCTTAAATTGATGGTGGTGATGGAGGCACAACTCTGAAAATACTTAGAACCATTAAATTGTGCACTTGAATGGTCAAATTGTATAGTATGTAAATTATATCTTGCTAACTGCTTTTTTAAAATAAAAAACCCAAACAAAATAAATCACTTAAAAGAAATATAATAAAAATTGTTAGATTTTTCTTTATGGTACATGTTGGTTAATCACACTTGTATTCAGTTCTGTACATGTGTGTTTGTGTGTGTGTGTGTCAGAGAGAGAGATACCTGGAGGAGAAGAAAAGGAAAGAGAGAGAAAGATAAACTGTCTGTGATGTAAAATGTATCTTTGACTGTGAGTCGGAGTCACACTTGTCAAAACTTCATTCCCCAACTTCTTCCTTATTACATTTTATATACTGCTCTCATTACATTTTCTTTTCCTGCCCAGCTTTATTAACTTCTAATCATTCACTTCAGTTAATTTTTAAGTTCTCCCTTTCCTGTTCCCTGAAGACGTCATCCTTCACATACAATCCTGAATCTGCTGTAAGAGCCTGTTTATAATGTTTTCATTTGGCTCCCAAGTAGCAACAAATAAATGATATACTTTTTACCACTCAACTTATTAACTGTTTTTCATAAGCCCCTACTAGTTGTGCAATATAATCTTCGTAACTTCTATGGGCTACACTTTTGTCACCTGCATAGTGGGAGAATTGATGGCCCTAACATAGGGGTTTACTGTGACAGTTAAAACAAATATGTACAACCTGTAAATTAAAAATTTTCCATTTATCATAGCTTTTATTTAAGCAACAACATCTTATTTCTCAAATAAGTCCTCATCACAATTTCTTCCTTTACTTGACCTCTTTGTAGCTTTTGACAACACTAACCACAGTCTACCTTCTAAACTCTTCTCTCCCATCACATTTTTGGCTTTTCTCTGATTTCTCTGATTATTATTATTCTGTTGATTTCTCTAAGTGGATTTTCTCCTGGTTCACCTAATTCATTCATTCTCTCCATATCTTCAGCCACCAACTCAAGTTGCTGATTCTTCAGCATCTATCTGCAGCCCAGACATCTAAATGATTCTGAACTTCTATATTCTGTAACGCATCAGATATTTCTCCTTGGCCTTCCATGAGAACCTTGAAAATAGCATCCTGCCATGAATGTTTTCCTCTTCTCTTGCCTCATTTCCAATCTTAATTAAGACAGCACAGCTGAGAGAGTTACCCAAAGATCAAAAATTTATCATTGATTCTTCTCTTTCACTGGTCATATTCAATTGGTTAGCCACTCCTTTTCTCGGTACCACTACTTGGTACACATTCTTACTTACTTTCTCCGGACTGTAGCAATCACACTTAGCTCCCTGACTTCAATCTCTGCCTTCTCCAATTCATCCTCTAACTAATTTAGAAAACGTTTGTAAAACAAATATCATTATTTCATATCCCAGATTGAAATTCTTCACTATCTCTTCATCTTCTGTAAAATTATCTCTAAACATATCATGGCCTATGAATTCCTTCACAATTAAACTCTAGTAGTTTCCTATACCTCCTCCCACTACTTCTCCAGTGAAAATGTATTCTGTATTTGACCATGAAGTGAGTTGTAGGATGCAATGAGCAGAAGAAACATAGGCACCCAGACAACTGCTGCTGCCTGCAATACTTCCTAACGTCAAGCCCGATTAGGAAGATTGACCAAATTGTAGAGAACCTAAAACATCCCTGTAAGTAGAGAGAAAATATATTAAGCAATTAACCAGATTATTTAACATGCCATTAGTTACTTTATTTTCTTCCTTTCTTGTTTAATGGTACAAAATACTAGGCAGGTGTGTACCACCAGCATTGGGTGCACCTCTTCTAGCTGCTACTCAAGTTTGCATTTCATGTAAAATCCCTGTGAATAAATATTTTAATACCTACCCCTATAATTCTCTGCCTCCTTCTTTGGTCTGAGCTTGCACTCCATTAATGGCAATTGATAACACCACAGCTCAAGGAGTTACCCAAAGTAGACATCAGAAATTTATCATTGATTCTTCTCTCTCACTGGTCATGTTCAGTGTTCAGCTAAGTGAAATATTTATGGAGGGCAATTCTTGGTTCCAGCATGGAGTTTTGTTGGGAAAACTGGTGATCCAGTCAGTAGTCAACTAATGAAATGGGCTTGGGGAATGAGGGATCCCTGGGGAAAATCTTGGGTTAGCTGACCTAGTCAATAGAGTGACCAGTGACTCCCATGTTTGAGGCACATGGGCATCTACATGAGTATAGGATATTCTAAAAATGCCCCCAGATTCATGACTCTGTTGGAGGAACTAAAAATGGGTCATGGATGTAAGGAAGAGATAAAAATGAGGCATATGTCTAGAAGGCCCCTCTCATGGGAAGTGCCACAGGAAACAGATACTGTAGTTAGCTGCAGAGGCAAAAATAAGAAAACTGGAGTAGGAATTGAAATTAGAAAAGAATATGTAAATGTCCACTATCCTGCTGGCCACCAAGCTAGCCCATAAGTTTTGAGATCAGGATAAGAAATCAGACATTTTAGGCCTGGCATGTTGGCTCACGCTTGTAATCCCAGCGCTTTGGGAGGCCAAGGCAGGTGGATCACGAAGTCAGGAGTTCGAGACCAGCCTGACCAACATGGTTAAATCCCCTCTCTACTAAAAATTCAAAAATTAGCCAGGTGTGGTGGTGCACACCTGTAGTCCTAGCTACTCAGGAGGCTGAGGCAGGAGAATCGCTTGAACCTGGGAGGTGGAGGTTGCAGTGAGCTGAGATTGCACCACTGCACTCCAGCCTGGGCAACAGAGCAAGACTCCATCTCAAAAAAAAAAAAGGAAAGAAAAATCAGAAACTTTGATATGTATATACACCAAGATACAGGACAGAAAGCTCCCCAGGGTGAAAGTGTGTGCCATCGTGGAAAGACCTAGAACTCATTGGAAATTGAGAATGATAGTGAGACTGATGTGATGCTGGAAGATAAGAAGGAGAAAGAGAATGGAGGAGGCCCAAATGCTTATTCGGCATGCTGAATATTGAGCAGGGACAGGCTGGAGGCCAGTTGCCTCTGCTGGAGCATATGCCATCTGAACTGGTGGAGATTAATGCTGAGTTTCAGCAGGAACTTGATGAGAGTATTTCTGCATGGCTGCTGAAGTTATGGGATTTGGATGTACATAGTCTGTAACTTACTGGATAAGAAGCAGAAAAGGTTATAATAAAACTACCCATATTGTCTATGACAACACTTGGGACGGAGTAAGAAGCATCTTGGGTGTCCATGTCAGTGGATTAGGGTATTAGCTCCTGTTGGAAGGTGTAGCCTAATAAGGGGGACTTGCCAGAGGGATACCTCAGTGGAACTATATAGAGGAAGTACAGCAGATTCCAAGGGAACTGGGAATTTCCCTACAAAAGTGATCATAAAACTTATGAAGCCTTGCAGACTGGGAACCGCAACCAGGAAGCTGCTAACTTTCTCCCTTTGAAGGCTAGCAGGCGATACAGATTGCCAGATGGTCACAAAGAAATACAAGAGAGCATTCTGGAGTAGTAAAAGCTGGGGATAGCATGACTGGTTCAAAGTAACTTTAGTAACTGGATGGCCTGATACAGATGCCAGATGGCTTGTGGATAATGAAAATGGACTACAGAAAATTTTAAAAGTGATGCCTTTCATACATGTTCTTTGTCAGACATTTCTTTGCTACAGCACTTAGAGTATTACCTAAGAACTTAGAGTACTGGATTTTGCTGATTACTTTTTTCTAATATTTCCTAACCACAAGCTCAGAGGATCAGTTTGCTTTCACATGGGAAGGACAGCAGCAGACCTTTAAGGTGTTACTGCAGCAATGTACATACAGCCCTATAATCTCCTACAAGATGGTGGCCTGCAACTTGATTCTGTTTTCATCCCCCTAAACATATTTAGGAATGTTGATCAGATGGTAGGAGACCCCAAAATTTACTTTAACTAGTGAGTAATACAAGAAATCATCTAGATGGCTTAACACACTCTCAGTGATTTTTTTCCCTCTTTTTCCTTTTCCTTTTTTTTTTGATAGAAAAATTATTTAATCAAAATAAGTCTACACATTGAACTTATGGCTTAACTAGAATAAATCTAAGTTAAACTGTATAGAGACCAAACAGATAATGACTGGTGTATATGCAGGTTCTCTCAAAGCAGTGATTCCTAGTTCCACTGTAAGACCTCTTAAAAGTGAAAATTCAATTCTGTAGATGAAAACAGTTATCCCAGTGGGTCAACCATACAATGTCATATACAGACGCTGCTCTTAAGCCATTTTTTCCATATTCATATAGTTTCAAAACATGAGAAGTATTTTACTTATGGGAAAATGCCAAATTACCTAATATTCAAAGTATCTTAGAAATGCTATCCTTTAGTTAACATACCCTTAAATTTTGTAACATTGGCTTCACTCTGATTTACTCCATACACATCAATGTACAGACTATCAAAGTACTATGTTGGAACAACTGCTCTTTGCATTTTTGGAATCTAGAAATGAAAATAAAACTTCCAATATAGCCATGTTTTCAAATAGGTACGTTTCCTTATATAGCATTTGTTTATTGTATAAGCATTATGGATTTTTTCTTCCAATTAAGTACTATTTAGTGAATTCCTAAAGAAATTTTTAACAGCATAGAAACTTGAGGCATTTCTCAAAAATACATTTATTTAGTTTTCCGTTTTAGTTACTAGTGCCTGCCTGTGAAAAGGGCCTTAAATGATTTAACCCTAAAGCCAGATTCATTCCTGTATATACCCATTCTGTTATCTGCAGAGAAGTAATAAGACTTCATTCCTTTCTCATTCCTTTTCATACTATAAAATATTAGTCAGATGTGGATTGCAAGTGGAGAGATGTACCTTGTCTTGCCACTGCCCATGATTGCCTCATATATAAGTTCTCCTTAATGAGTCTTTGACTATGTATCAACCTGGAGTGGTCTGCTTTTTAGTCTGATTTTGCTTTCTATTTATGAAGATGTGTCACCTAGTAACTGACAAAGTAATAAACTTGAGAAATAAGGCATCCCTGGGGAGAAATTCCAGATTGCTTGGCCTAGGCTATGTGGTGACCAGTGACCCATATGCCTAATTTTGTGTTTTGACTTCTATGTGAGTAGAAGCATGTCCCAAGAGCTTGTCACCTTATCTGAATAACTAAAAATAGGGCATGACAGTAGTGAAGGAAATGAGTATGGTGGCTATGGTGCAGCCTGTTGTGTGCTATACAAGAGGCAATGGATGCAGTTAGTGGCAGAAGTGGAAGATATGGAACTCGTCAAATAAGACATGATTTTTTCTAGATCAAGCTATGAAATTTAAAAGATATGTTTTGTTGAGAAAAAAAGTATTTTGGTTCTAAAATAAAATTATTCGTTATTTAAAAATGAGAAGGAGAGGTCAGGTGTGGTGGCTGACACCGTTGTTCCAGCACTTTGAGAGTCTGAGGCAGGTGGATTACTTGAGGACAGGAGTTCGAGACCAGCCCGTACAACATTGTGAAACCCAGTCTATACTGAAAATACAAAAATTAGCTGAGTGTGGTGGTGGGTGCCTATAATCTCAGCTGCTCAATAGGCTGTGGCAGAAGAATTGCTTGAATCTGGGAGGCTGAGGTTGCAGTGAGCCAAGATCACACCACTGCACTCCAGCCTGGGTGACACAGTGAGACCCTGTCTAAATAAATAAATAAATAAAAATTAAAAGGAGAAAAAATTTGGGGGCAAAAAAACCTGATAGGTATGTAAGAGTTGTAGAAATTTATGTAGAAGATGAATCTTGTGGAGGAATTTTATGTGTAATCAAGCTGGATAAGAAAATTATTTATGTTTTTCTAAAAATTAAATTTAATGCCAAAAATACATTGGTACAAAATTATAATTTGATCTCTGTGAAAAACAATATAATTCTTTGGAACATTGGTCTGCTCTTAATGAGATATTATAAAAGATTTTATCTTGATCTTTTGGGTAACTGGCCTAGAAAAATTTTTGCTTGTTTATTTTCACAATAAGATTCCCTGTGCTTTGTGTTGTCTTTGTTAGGCCTTTGATTCTGAAAGAAAAAAAAAACCCAAATGTTCACATAATTGGAGTTCCCATAATTTGGGTAAATTTTCATAAATAATATCGTTCGTTTAATGAAAAAGACCTATTTCAGAGTTGTCAACATTAAATATAATGCAGACATACAATTTTGACCTCTAGTAGTTGTTTATGATAATAAAATTATGAGTTCAATCTAAAACAAATGTGCAAATGGAAGTGCAGTATTATTTTTTTTCTTTTCTTCTTTTTTTTTTTTTTTTTTTTTTGAGATGGAGTCTTGCTCTGTCACCCAGGCTGGAGTGCAGTGGCGCAGTCTCGGCTCACTGCAAACTTTGCCTCCTGGGTTCACGCCATTCTCCTGCCTCAGCCTCCCGAGTAGCTGGGACTACAGGTGCCCACCACCACACCCAGCTAATTTTTTGTATTTTTAGTAGAGATGGGGTTTCACCGTGTTAGCCAGGATGGTCTCGATCTCCTGACCTCGTGATTTGCCTGCCTCGGCCTCCCAAAATGCTGGGATCACAGGTGTGAGCCACTGAGGCTGGCCAGAAGTGCAGTATTCTTTATGTGTATCAAATACTGCAGTGAAACAAAGAAAAAACTACCACAAAAAAAGTTATGTATTTAACTCTTTAAGGTTTTGCTTTCATGTTGACTGTACTAGCATGTACATGCTATAAAAAATAGTTAATAGGAAAGACATGTTAGAAGAACCACCAACATCCTGTCCCCACAAAAATACAACTGGAAACAATTCAAATCCAAGAAAATTATCTTACTTTTATCAAAATTTTGGAAAGAAGCAAAGATACTTCCTAGGCTTACAAAATTGGAAGAAGCTGTGACTGCTAACAGAAAGAGTTATTTCATACTACATCACCCCTACCCCAGGGTCATAATACCATGCACAGAGATTTCCCTAGACCCAAAATTGCCAGTGTTGGGGAGGGAAGTAGAGGTGAAAATTCAGTCTCTCCACTGATCTGGGAGTCTTCATAAAAAGGGCAGTTTGAGTTCATTCCAGGGGAACCACTGGGAATGAACTCAGGGGGCTAAATCACCTGGGATAAACTGAGGACAAAGAGTAGGACACTGATCACAGTAACTGGCAAGTAAATCTTAGTGGCTTCTCTGTTCTCAGAGCAGAAATGCCACATATTAAAGAGGAGGCTGCAGGTGGGATCCATGGAGAGCTGCATGGTCAAAGGTGAATGGCTGATGCTTAAAACCACCTAAGGCCTATGGACTCATGTTGGCTGCCTTTGTTGTACACTTTTCTCTTCTATGCTGCTAGGCATAGTTTCATCTACTGGATTCAAAGGTTAGAATGGGCATGGAACCACGGCAAGCAAAAAGACCTCAGTATTAATGCTTTACTGATTAAGCTCAATCATATGGTACTGGGGAGGAACACAGCCTTGCAGTCTGCCATGGGATGGTAGATCATGAGTTAATTCTCTTTTCTTTTTTACCTGGCATATATGGTCACCTTACATAGATGACATCATGTTAGTTCCTCCTAAAGACCTCTCTGGTTTTGGAGATCAAACATTTCTGGTCATGAGTATTATGAGAATTAGTGGTGAGTGTCTACAAAATGTGGGTACAAAGCACTTCTGTTAACTTCCTGGGAGTAGTCATTAAGTTAGGTAGGAATCAGATAATGCTTGAAGTGGTGGTAGATACGTCCATACAGTAAAGGAAGTATGAGCTTTTTTGGAACTGTTGAGGTACTAGAGAGCCTTTTTAATCAAATCTGGCCAATGACTTAGTGCACTATATAGGTTAATTAAAATGAGAGCACTCTGGTATTGGAAACAGTAACAACATGCTTCTGAAAAGGCAAAGTTTGGGAGGGAGGAGCCAAGATGGCTGAATAGGAACAGCTCCGGTCTACAACTCCCAGGGTGAGTGATGCAGAAGATGGGTGATTTCTGCATTTCCATCTGAGGTACCGGGTTCATCTCACTAGGGAGTGCCAGACAGTGGGTGCAGGACAGTGGGTGCAGTGCACCGTGCACGAGCCAAAGCAGGGTGAGGCATTGCCTCACTAGGGAAGTGCAAGGGGTCAGGGAGTTCCTTTTCCTAGTCAAAGAAAGGGGTGACAGACGGCACCTGGAAAATCAGGTCACTCCCACCCTAATACTGTGCTTTTCCGAGGGGTTTAAAAAAATGGCACACCAGGAGATTATATCCCGCACATGGCTCAGAGGGTCCTACGCTCACGGAGTCTCACTGATTGCTAGCACAGCAGTCTGAGATCAAACTGCAAGGTGGCAGTGAGGCTGGGGGAGGGGCGCCTGCCATTGCCCAGGCTTGCTTAGGTAAACAAAGCAGCTGGGAGGCTTGAACTCGGTGGAGCCCACCACAGCTCAAGGAGGCCTGCCTGCCTCTATAGGCTCCACCTCTGGGGGCAGGGCACAGACAGACAAAAAGACAGCAGTAACCTCTGCAGACTTAAATCTCCCTGTCTGAAAGCTTTGAAGACAGCAGTGGTTCTCCCAGCACGCAGCTGGAGATCGGAGAACGGGCAGACTGCTACTCAAGTGGGTCCCTGACCCCTGATCCCTGAGCAGCCTAACTGGGAGGCACCCCCGAGTAGCTGTGTGGACACCTCACATGGCCGGGTACTCCTCTGAGACAAAACTTCCAGAGGAACGATCAGACAGCAGCATTCATGGTTCACAAAAATCCGCTGTTCTGCCATCACCACTGCTGATACCCAGGCAAACGGGGTCTGGAGTGGACCTCTAGCAAACTCCAGCAGAACTGCAGCTGAGGGTCCTGTCTGTTGGAAGGAAAACTAACAAACAGAAAGGACATCCACACCAAAAACCCATCTGTACATCACCATCATCAAAGACCAAAAGTAGATAAAACCACAAAGATGGGGAAAAAACAGAGCAGAAAAACTGGAAACTCTAAAAAGCAGAGTGCCTCTCCTCCTCCAAAGGAACGCAGTTCCTCACCAGCAATGGAACAAAGGTGGATGGAGAATGACTTTGACGAGTTGAGAGAAGAAGGCTTCAGACGATCAAACTACTCCAGAGTACGGGAGGATATTGAAACCAAAGGCAAAGAAGTTAAAAGCTTTGAAAAAAATTTAGACGAATGTATAACTAGAATAACAAATACAGAGCAGTGCTTAAAGGAGCTGAAGGAGCTGAAAGCCAAGGCTTGAGAACTATGTGAAGCATGCAGAAGCCTCAGGAGCCAATGCAATCAACTGGAAGAAAGGGTATCAGTGATGGCAGATGAAATGAATGAAACGAAGCAAGAAAGGAAGTTTAGAGAAAAAAAAATAAAAAGAAATGAACAAAGCCTCCAAGAAATATGGGACTATATGAAAAGAACAAATCTACATCTGACTGGTGTACCTGAAAGTGACGGGGAGAATGGAATCAAGTTGGAAAACACTCTGCAGGATATTATCCTGGAGAACGTCCCCAATCTAGCAAGGCAGGCCAACATTCAGATTCAGGAAATACAGAGAACGCCACAAAGATACTCCTCGAGAAGAGCAACTCCAAGACACATAATTGCCAGATTCACCAAAGTTGAAATGAAGGAAAAAATGTTAAGGGCAGCCAGAGAGAAAGGTCGGGTTACCCACAAAGGGAAGCCCATCAAACTAACAGTGGATCTCTCGGCAGAAACTCTACAAGCCAGAAGAGAGTGGGGGCCAATATTCAACATTCTTAAAGAAAAGAATTGTCAACCCAGAATTTCATATCCAGCCAAACTAAGCTTCATAAGTGAAGGAGAAATAAAATACTTTACAGACAAGCAAATGCTGAGAGATTTTATCACCACCAGGCCTGCCCTAAAAGACCTCCTCACAGAAGCACTAAACATGGAAAGGAACAACTGGTACCAGCCACCGCAAAATCATGCCAAATTGTAAAGACCATCGAGGCTAGGAAGAAACTGCATCAACTAACAAACAAAATAACCAGCTAACATCATAATGACAGGCTCAAATTCACACATAACGATATTAACTTTAAATGTAAATGGACTAAATGCTCCAATTAATAGACACAGACTGGCAAATTGGATAAAGAGTCAGGGCCCATCAGTGTGCTGTATTCAGGAAATCCATCTCACGTGCAGAGACACACATAGGCTGAAAATAAAAGGATGGAGGAAGATCTACCAAGCAAATGGAAAAGAAAAAAAGGCAGGGGTTGCAATCCTAGTGTCTGATAAAACAGACCTTAAAAGAACAAAGATCAAAAGAGAGAAGGCCATTAAATAATGGTAAAGGGATCAATTCAACAAGCAGAGCTAACTATCCTAAATATATATGCACACAATATAGGAGAACCCAGATTCATAAAGCAAGTCCTGAGTGATCTACAAAGAGACCTAGACTCCCAAACAATAAGAATGGGAGACTTTAACACCCCACTGTCAACACTAGACAGATCAACGAGACAGAAAGTTAACAAGGATGCCCAGGAATTGAACTCAGCTCTGCACCAAGTGGACCTAATAGACATCTACAGAACTCTCCACCCCAAATCAACAGAATATACATTCTTTTCAGCACCACACCACACCTATTCCAAAATTGACCACATACTTGGAAGTAAAGCTCTCCTCAGCAAATGTAAAAGAAAAGAAATTATAACAAACTGTCTCTCAGACCACAGTGCAATCAAACTAGAACTCAGGATTAAGAAATTCACTCAAAACCGCTCAACTACATGGAAACTGAACAATCTGCTCCTGAATGAATACTGGGTACAAAACGAAATGAAGGCAGAAATAAAGATGTCTTTGAAACCAATGAGTACAAAGACACAACATACCAGAATCTCTGGGACACATTCAAAGCAGTGTGCAGAGGGAAATTTATAGCACTAAATGCCCACAAGAGAAAGCAGGAAAGATCCAAAATTGACACCCCAACATCACAATTAAAAGAACTAGAAAAGCAAGGGCAAACATTCAAAAGCGAGCAGAAGGCAAGAAATAACTAAAATCAGAGCAGAACTGAAGGAAATAGAGACACAAAAAACCCTTCAAAGAATCAATGAATCCAGGAGCTGGTTTTTTGAAAGCATCAACAAAATTGATAGACTGCTAGCAAGACTAATAAAGAGGAAAAGAGAGAAGAATCAAATAGATGCAGTAAAAAATGATAAAGGGGATATCACCACTGATCCCACAGAAATACAAACTACCATCAGAGAATACTACAAACACCTCTACGCAAATAAACTAGAAAATCTAGAAGAAATGGATAAATTTCTCGACACCTACCCCCTCCCAAGACTAAACCAGGAGGAAGTTGAATCTCTGAATAGACCAATAACAGGATCTGAAATTGAGGCAATAATCAATAGCTTACCAACCAAAAAGAGTCAAGGACCAGATGGATTCACAGCCGAATTCTACCAGAGGTACAAGGAGGAACTGGTACCATTCCTTCTGAAACTATTCCAATCAATAGAAAAAGAGGGAATCCTCCCTAACTCATTTTATGAGGCCAGCATCATCCTGATACCAAAGCTTGGCAGAGTCACAGCAAAAAAAGAGAATTTTAGACCAATATCCCTGGTAAACACTGACACAAAAATCCTCAATAAAATACTGGCAAACCGAATCCAGCAGCACATCAAAAAGCTTACCCACCATGATCAAGTGGGCTTTATCCCTGGGATGCAAGGCTGGTTCAACCTATGCTAATCAGTAAATGTAATCCAGCATATAAACAGAACCAAAGACAAATACCACATGATTATTTCAATAGATGCAGAAAAGGCCTTTGACAAAATTCAACAACGTTTCATGCTAAAAACTGTCAATAAATTAGGTATTGATGGGATGTATCTCAAAATAATAAGAGCTATCTATGACAAACCCACAGCCAATATCATACTGAATGGGCAAAAACTAGAAGCATTCCCTTTGAAAACTGGCACAAGACAGGGATGCCCTCTCTCACCACTCCTATTCCACATAATGTTGGAAGTTCTGGCCAGGGCAATTAGACAGGAGAAGGAAATAAAGGGTATTCAATTAGGAAAAGAGGAAGTCAAATTGTCCCTGTTTGCAGATGACATGATTGTATATCTAGAAAACTCCATTGTCTCAGCCCAAAATCTCCTTAAGCTGATAGGTAACTTCAGCAAAGTCTCAGGATACAAAATCAATGTTCAGAAATCACAAGCATTCTTATACAGCAATAACAGACAAACAGAGAGCCAAATCATGAGTGAACTCCCATTCACAATTGTTTCAAAGAGAATAGAATACCTAGGAATCCAACTTACAAGAGACGTGAAGGACCTCTTCAAGGAGAACTACAAACCACTGCTCAATGAAATAAAAGAGGATACAAAGAAATGGAAGAACATTCCATGCTCATGGATAAGAAGAATCAATATAGTGAAAATGGCCATACTGCCCACGGTAATTTATAGATTCAATGCCATCCTCATCAAGCTACCAATGACTTTCTTCACAGAATTGGAAAAAACTACTTTAAAGTTCATACGGAACCAAAAAAGAGCCCGCACCACGAAATCAATCCTAAGCCAAAAGAACAAAGCTGGAGGCAGCATACTACCTGACTTCAAACTATACTACAAGGCTACAGTAACGAAAACAGCATGGTACTGGTACCAAAGCAGAGATATAGATCAATGGAACAGAACAGAGCCCTCAGAAATAACGCCGCATATCTACAACTATCTGATATTTGAGAAACCTGAGAAAAACAAGCAATGGGGAAAGGATTCCCTATTTAATAAATGGTGCTGGGAAAACTGGCTAGCCATATGTAGAAAGCTGAAACTGGATCCCTTCCTTACACCTTATACAAAAATCAATTCAAGATGGATTAAAGACTTAAACGTTAGACCTAAAACCATAAAAACCCTAGAAGAAAACCTAAGCATTACCATTCAGGACATAGGCATGGGCAAGGACTTCATGTCTAAAACACCAAAAGCAATGGCAACAAAAGCCAAAATTGACAAATGGGATCTAATTAAACTAAAGAGCTTCTGCACAGCAAAAGAAGCTACCATCAGAGTGAACAGGCAACCTACAAAATGGGAGAAAATTTTCGCAACCTACTTATCTGACAAAGGGCTAATATCCAGAATCTACAATGAACTCAAACAAATTTACAAGAAAAAAACAAACAACCCCATCAAAAAGTGGGTGAAGGACATGAACAGACACTTCTCAAAAGAAGACATTTATGCAGCCAAAAGACAAATGAAAAAATGCTCACCATCACTGGCCATCAGAGAAATGCAAATCAAAACCACAATGAGATACCATCTCACACCAGTTAGAATGGCAATCATTAAAAAGTCAGGAAACAACAGGTGCTGGAGAGGATGTGGAGAAATAGGAACACTTTACACTGTTGGTGGGACTGTAAACTAGTTCAACCATTGTGGAAGTCAGTGTGGCGATTCTTCAGGGATCTAGAACTAGAAATACCATTTGACCCAGCCATCCCATTACTCGGTATATACCCAAAGGACTAAGTCATGCTGCTATAAAGACACATGCACACATATGTTTATTGTGGCACTATTCACAATAGCAAAGACGTGGAACCAACCCAAATGTTCAACAATGATAGACTGGATTAAGAAAATGTGGCATATATACACCATGGAATACTATACAGCCATAAAAAATGATGAGTTCATGTGCTTCGTAGGGACATGGATGAAGCTGGAAACCATCATTTTCAGCAAACTATCGCAAGGACAAAAAACCAAACACTGCATTTTCTCACTCATAGGTGGGAATTGAACAATGAGAACACTTGGACACAGTAAGGGGAACATCACACACTGGGGCCAGTCATGGGGTGGGGGGAGGGGGGAGGGTTACCATTAGGAGATATACGTAATGTAAATGAAGAGTTAATGGGTGCAACACACCAACATGCCACATGTATACATATGTAACAAACCTGCACGTTGTGCACATGTACCGTAGAAGTTGAAGTATTAAAAAAAAAAAAAAAAAGAAAGACTCGGTTGTCCAGTGGAAATTGTTTTTTCCAGAAGGCAGCTCACCTGCTCCAGGGCCTCTCAGCTTTGCATTTTGGCAGTTATTTCTTTTTGAGAAACTTTATTTGCTCCACTCCCACTGTTTGAATGGGGCCCTTTGTTCCCCAAGGTTCCCCTAAATGCCAGGGCCTAATTCACAGATGGTTTGCCTAGGATGAAACCCAATGGTATCCACTCTGTTGCCATGGATGTTCAGCTTCGGCAACGTCCATGCAGAACTTGGAGTGGGGAGAACTCAAGGCTATTCTCCCAGCTCTGCCCAAGACTCTGTTGAACCTTGTTTTATTTTATGGACTTATGTGTTTTTTCCACTTGGAAAATTCATACCTCACAGCAGCTGAGTGAGCCATGTGACATGCCACTGCAAATAGGCCCATTCAAAGGCTCTATTCTGGTGAGGCTACCTTGAATAAAGCTGCATCCCTCAGATTACCCGACTCCTAATGGGGCCAGTGATGACCTCAGACCTGAGGCCCCACTTTGGGGCTACTGAAGGTGCCCCCTCCTTGTTCAACATTAGTTACTTTTGAACTTATTCTACACAGTGCCAGTAATGTTTGTCAAATAACTCAAAATGGCATGCTGGTTACAATATGATCCCAGCAGTGCATGAAGAGGACAGCAAGTTCAATGCTGAAAAAAATCTTAGCATTCTTTTTGGTCACAAACTTTCACAAATTGAACATTTGTTAAAAACAGGAGCTCTTGCAATAGAAAATACAATCTGCCTAGTCAGAAATAAAGTGTGGAGTAATGGAGATAACTCTGGCTGTTAAAAAGTAACCTTCAAGAAGGTGGGGAGATGTTATGTGGCTTGCTATATCACCCTGTCTAGACCAGTGTTTGAAACATAGAAAGAGGCTCAGAGAGTTACTGAATGAATAAATCTTATTGAACTTGTTGCCAGAGAGGTGAAACACAAGATCACTGGGAGAGGGGAGATCAAATTAGAAACAAAGCTACTTAAGCTTTTCTTCCAGCATGAAGAGAAAAAGGAGAATAAGGGCTAACAAATGGAACAAAATAAACGCTTTTCATTGTTCTTTGTCCCCATGGATACTTCTGATAGCTGATGGAGGTTAAATTGTCAGTAAGTTGCAATTTTTTGGGTGGGAGCTCTCGCAGGTGCTATTTCCAACCTTCCTCTATAGAGAGAGGAAGAGTGCAAGGTGTTCGTCTCTATAAAAAGTTCCACTGAGACTATTTGAATAGGAACTGCATGAAGGCAGAGTTCGGGTGGGGCATGGTGTAGTGGAACAGTAGAAGAAATGGAAAACATCCATATTGGTTAATTTTTCATTCAAAACATCACCTGGAATGTCATTTAAAAAATATTGTGTTGTGTGTTATGTGTGTGGCTATATAATGCTGTTTTAATTAAAGGATGTGTTTATTTATATGGTAGGTTTTCCTAGAACTAATGAATTATTTGAAAAACGTGGGATTGTTTAAGTCAGTGGTTCTCAATTAGAGAGTGGGGCGATTTTGCCCCGCACCTTCCCCCTGCCCATCCCCCAGGGTCCCTTTGGCAATGTCTTGAGACATTGTTGGTGTAACTGGGAAGAGGTTCTGCTGCCATCTGGTGCTGAGAGGTCAGGGATGTTGCAAAAAATGCCACATACAAGACAGGCTCCAGGACAAAGAAAGATCCTGTCTAAAATGTCACTTTGGGAAGCTGAGGTGGGCGGATCACAAGGTCAGGAGTTCGAGACCAGGCTGGCCAACACGGTGAAACTCCATCTCTACCAAAAAAATACAAAAATTAGCCAGGCATGGTGGTGTATACCTGTAGTCCCAGCTACTCGGGAGTTTGAGGCAGGAGAATTGCTTGAACCCAGGAGGCGGAGGTTGCAGTAAGCCAAGATCAGGCGACTGCACTCCATCCTGGGCAACAGAGTGAGACTCCATCTCAAAAAAACAAAAGAAAACAAAAAAATGTCAGTGGAGTTGATGTTGAGAAACCATGAGTTTCCCATAATTTTAATCCAATTCTCAGGACTTTTCTGAAAATCTACTATTTGAATTTAGGGCAAAATATTCTTTTTGTTGATTCTCAAACCTGGAGGCATTCATATCACCAAGGTGCTTTAAACAATACTGATACCAAAGCCACCCCAGGCCAATTAAATGTAGATGTCCCAGAGTAGGGCCTAGGCCTCTACATTTTAAAATTCCTAATTATTATTAGCGTTGAACAGCACTCATTTAAATGATGTAATACAGGAACTGAAAACCATGCACAGTTGATTTATCTTATCCACACTAAAAGTATCCACAAATAAAATGATACAATTCTGCAACTTAAACAAGAAATTATCACCTGTCATTAGTCCGTGACTTCCTATGTGCTTGTTTATATTTTGTAAAAAAAAAATTTTCTTTTGCTTAAAGAAAAATCCATAATAAAAAAGTTCTTGGTTTCAGAAAGACAGTTTTGGAACACAGTAAAAAATATTTCCTTTTTTGCTTTGACATCTTTGTGGCAATCTGAAACTTCTAAGTCCATTTCTTTCTTTCTTTCTTTCTTT
Source organism: Homo sapiens (assembly GCF_000001405.40). Taxonomy (NCBI): domain Eukaryota; kingdom Metazoa; phylum Chordata; class Mammalia; order Primates; family Hominidae; genus Homo; species Homo sapiens. Next base: position 13,730,669 of record NC_000024.10, read on the forward strand.
CTTTCTTTCTTTTTTTTTTTTTGAGATAGAGTCTTGCACTCTCACCCAGGTTGGAGTGCAGTGGCATGATCTCGGCTCACTGCAACCTCCGCCTCCGAGGTTCAAGTGATTCTCCTGCCTCAGCCTTCTGTGTAGCTGGGATTACAGGTGAGCACCACCATGCCCAGCTAATTTTTTGTATTTTTAGTAGAGACAGGGTTTCACCATGTTGGTCAGGCTGGTCTGAAACTCCTGACCTCATGATTCACCTGCCTCAGCCTCCCAAAGTGTTGGGATTACAGGTGTGAGCCATAGCACCTGACCTAAGTTCATTTGTTTGTAGTAAATATTTCAGTGACTCATTAGAGAGGCAACCTAATAATAGTTGGCCTTGTGTTGTATTTCATGCTGTTAGTGTGTGAGATTGCAAATCTAAATAAAAACCATTATAATTTCTCTATAATTAAAAACCAGCACACATTGGGCCCAGTTGCTCTTGCCTGTAATCTCAACACTTTGGGAAGCTAAGGCAGGCCAATGACTTGAGGCCAGGAGTTTAAGACCAGCCTTGCCAACATGGCGAAACTCATCTCTACCAAAAAAATACAAAAATTAGCCTGGTTGGATGGCAGGCACCTGTAATCCCAGCTGCTTGGGAGGCTGAGGCAGGAGGATTGCTTGAACCCGGGAAGTGGCAGCTGCAGTGAGCCAAGATCACGCTACTACACTCCAGTCTGGATTGGATGATAGAGTGAGACTCCATCTCAAAAAGCAAACAAACAACCACCAACAACAAATCCAGCACATAAAAATACCTGTGGATTGATAATTTTAAAATAGTTTTTAGAATAAATAGCTGTGGTTTGAACTTAAACACTGTTTTTTTGTTTTGTTTTTGTTTTGTTTTTGAGACAGATCCTCCATCTCACCCAGGCTGGAGTGCAATAGCAGGCTCACTGCCACCTCCGCCTCCAGGGTTCAAGTGGTTCTCCTGTGTCAGCCTCCCGAGTAGCTGAGAGTACAGGCATGTGCCAGCCCACTGGGCTCATTTTATATTTTTAGTAGAGACGGGGTTCACCATGTTGGACAGGCTGGTCTGAAACTCCTGACCTCGGGTAATCCACCTGCCTCAGCCTTCCCAAGTGCTGAGAATACAAGTGTAAGCAACCACACTTAGCCTGCTTTTTACTTGGATTCTCATTCACTTCCTTTTACCTTAACTGTATTAGTTCAAGTATTTTCTCTCTTTCTCCCTCCCCACCCCATCTCTCTCTGTCCCATCTCCCCCACCGTCTGTCTGTCTCTCTCCATCTCTCCCTACCATCTGCCCAGAATTTTCCCAGAATTAGTTATGACGTTAGAGACAGAAACAGAAGTTGACTTATCGTATTACTGAATGGTACCTCAATAGCATAAAAAGGCACATTTAACAAAAGTCTTTCCTAAAACTCACCCAAGTAATTGAAAGTTAAATGAGTCTTAACAGAGGTAAGAGAATACAATTCAATAAAAGTAGCAGAAAAGCTCAAATGACTGACACAGATAGAGATTTCCCACATATTACTTCCCAATATTGAATTAAAATTTGCCCAAAAGACCCATCTGCATATTCCAGAGCTCACCAACACATTGATATAAGGAAGGCCATATTATTTTAGTAACTATTTTTCTAGCTTGGGGTGCCTTGTAAAATCCTTTACACCTCCTTGCAGCTCTTCTTTTATACCCATGCTTACTCCTGTGTGATTTCATTTGGCCCATTTGATTTTGAGCATTATGTATATAATGGTTTTCCTCAAATCTTTGTCTCCAGGAGAGTGAAAAGCTTTAAAAAAAGGTATTCCCTCCCTGCAGACAGGCACAGTGAGCTCCACAGAAGGCCAGCCTCATTCTTATGCCTTTGCATCCTTATAGCTTAGCTCCCACATATGAGTGAGAACACACAATGTCTGGTTTCCCATTCCTGAGTTACTTCACTTAGAATAATAGTCTCCAATCTCATCCACGGCACTGCAAATGCTGGTAATTCATTCCTTTTTATGGCTGCATAGTATTCCATTGTATAAATACACCACAGTTTCTTTATCCACTTGTTGATTAATGGGCATTTGGGTTAGTTCCATGATTTTGCAGTTGTGAATTGTGCTGCTATAAACATGCAAGTGCAAGTGTGTTTTTCGAACAATGACTTCTTTTTCTCTAGGTGGATACCTAGTAGTGGGACTGCTGGATCAAATGCTAATTCTACTTTAAGTTCTTTAAGGAATCTCCACACTGTTTTCCATAGTGGCTGTACTAGTTTACATTCCCACCAGCGGTGTAGAAGTGTTCCCTGTTCACTGCATCCATCCCAAAGACTTTGGGGTCTTGGGGAAAAGAGTGGGACGGTGGTGAGGGATAAAAGACTGCAAATATGGTGCAGTGTATACTGCTTGGGTGGTGGGTGCACCAAAATCTCACAAATCACCACTAAAGAACTTACTCATCTAACCAAATACCATGTACTTACTCATGTACCCCAATAACTTATGGAAAAATAAAAATAAAAAAAGGAGGCCAGTGTCATTGCAAGCATGGGTTGTTTAAACCACGAAGTTCTCATCTTCTCCCCATGTGTTAGTTCCCTCTCTTGGACTCTTTACCTTCTCAGTTTTTTCTGACAATGACATATTGTTTTACTAGGGACTTAAGACAGCTCTACAAAAGTCTAGGGCTACTTCATCCCCAAAGTCAACAGTTTTCAGTCATCTGAAAGCTACCTTTTAGTTCCTTATGATTCCCAAGCATAACACTTGATAACTCAGCCTTGTTCTCCTCTAACTTTGCATCTAGAAAGAAAACAAAACAAACAAACCACTGCTTTCTGACCCATTCTTTGTACAAATCATGCATTTCATATTGCAACAGAAGCTTAGGACCCTGTGTTGCTGTGTACGTGAACATGCCGTGTCTGGCATTGGTATTTTGACTTCATTATATTTTTAAATTTCAGTAATACTGAGTGAGATAAATCATAATTCCTGGTTCATGACATTTTCATCATTGTTCCAGGTATAGCCCATTTTACCTATTTAGCTAGCTATTTAATTAGGTATTGTTAATAGTATAATGGACACCCGAAAATCTCACTGCCACGAACAAAAGAGGCCTTATACAATCAATAAATCTTCCTGTTTTGTCCACTATTATCTTATAATCTATGCCTATTATCTCTTCCTTTTTATATGGATTTTTTGCATTTATTTGTTTGTTTGTTTTGAGACAGAATCTCCATCTGTCACCCAGGCTGGAGTGCAGTGACATGATCTCAGTTCACTGCAACCTCCACCTCCTAGGTTTAAGTAATTTTCCTGCCACAGTCTCCTGAGTAGCTGGTGCTACAGGCGCATGACAACATGTCTGGCTAATTTTTCTACTTTTGTAGAGACAGGGTTTCTCCATGTGGGCCAGGCTGGTCTCAAACTGCTGACCTCAAGTGATCCACCCACCTTGGCCTCCCAAAGTGCTGGGATTACAAGTGTGAGTCAGCGTGCTTGGCCTATTGCACACATTTGTTTCTACAAGTGTCTCTTTTTTTCTAGTTACCTTTAACTTTATAAAGAAAGAGTATATCCTGCCATGTATAGTCTGTTTGCATTTTCTTTCACATACTATTATATTGAGGCATTTGTTTAACGTATCCATCTCTGTCATTAATTTATTTTGACAGCTGTACAATATTTCAGTATGTGAATACCTAAGAGTTTATGCATCTGCTGTTCTATCATCGTACATTTTATTGGTTAAGGTTCTTGCTAACATGAGCTGTGCTGCTGTAAAGTTGGTTTGTCAAGACTTTGATAATACATATGCAGTAGCTTTAGCTGCGTTCCACCAGGAGTGAAAATGAGGAATCATCATCTATGTGGGTGGTCGTTTTTTTGAAGGTGGCATCTGACTCTCTTCCAGAGTCATTGCATTAATTGATACTTGCACCAGCAAAGTATCAAAGATGCTTTGAAGCCAGGTGCAGCAGTTCATGCCTGTAGTACCAGCTCATTGGAAGGCTAAGAGGGGAGGATTGCCTGAATCCAGGAGTTTGAAATCAGCTTGGGGAATAGTGATACCCCATCTCTAATTTTTTTTTTAATAAAAGATATTATGGAGCCATAAGAAGTTAACATGACCATGTAAGAATAAAAGAGGCTGCATACCGAAGAGTGTTGAGTATTTCCAGTCCCAGGCAATGAATCTGTTGAGCACCTATCAGAAAAAGCCATTGTCCATAAGAAGTAGAAATGGAGATGGACATGTGAACAAAGACTTGATAAGGTGTGACGAACATAATAAAAATGAACACCATGAAGAAAACACTCAGCAGTGTTAGAATGTTAACACTCACGAGAGAGAACAACATCCACCGCTGGAACACTCATGGGGTGACAATGTGAAAGCACCAGCTGTTTAGTTCTGCTGAAGCATGGTTGACACTGGTGGGTCTGGAAAGAGATGAACTTCGCTGGGGGAAAACATAAAGAGAATCTTACTGCATGATAAACAACTGTCACATCAGCAGGGGGGCTCTAGCCATGATTTTTAAAGTAGGCAACAATAATAGTAGATTCTAATTTTAGAAAGAAGGTTGTGAAGGCATCTGGATGATTGAGAAGGCAGGTTTCAGACCAGAGGCAAAGACATAAGAGCTAATACTTTCGTTGGTGTTCACCGATATTAACTCAGTGATTACTTATGACAACACCATGAAGTTGGTATGTTTTTCCCATTTTGCAGTTGAGAACAATGAGCTAACATAAATAATATCCCCAAATCCACACTTCTAAAACCTTCCACAGGGTCTACCTGGTGTTCAGATCCAGGCAGTCTTTTTCAGGCTCTACATTTTCAGCAGCTTTTATTTAACTGATTGTCTTGGGTACTTGCAATATTCCAGGCATGATTCCTGCACTGGGTGATGGGGGCAGGATTGTGCATGTGTCTCGCCCTATGGAAAAGCCCAACAGGGAGATGGTCTTACGTAGCAAAAGCTCAGGGCAGAGGTGGTTGAGACACATGCAAATCTTAGAGCTCTGCAGAGCAACTAGGGAAAGGCCCCAAGAACCACTTGTAGACACCGCCTCTTTGTATAGCTGCTGCCCCCATCACCCAGTGCAGGAATCATGCCTGGCATATTGCAAAGTACCCAAGACAATCAGTTAAATAAAAGCTGCTGAAAACATAGAGCCTGCAAAAGACTGCCTGGATCTGAACCAAATAGACCCTGTGGAAGCTTTTAGAAGTGTGGATTTGGGGATATTATTTATGTTAGCTCATTGTATAGCTGCTTGACACAAAGCAGTCTTCATCTCTGGGAAGGAAACTGAGGATCTGTGGTGGGCCCTGGTCAAAAATAAATGACCCACACCTGGCCAGAGCTCCTCACCCAAGTGGACACCAGGCCAGGGCTGGGCAAATGAGATTCTGGTTTTTACAGCATAGAGAGGAGAAGTCAGAGCCCCAGTACTGACTGGGCTCTGTAAAGTAGAGCAAGAGCATCCCCAATTCCTGCTGCATGGGCTTCTTTCCCATGCAAAGCCTCCTTGTCCAACTTGCCCTTTGATTCTATCACCTGGAACAGAATTATTTCAAGAACGGTGACGAATCCAGAAGGATGCAAAAAGAGGCTCCAGGGAAAAAAACTGGCGAAGAGACATGGGAAATCTAGGCATATGTGCTGTTTAGGAACAGGAGTTTCAAAGGAAGGGGTCTTGGGAATAAGTCAGTCCCATAAGCTCAACAAGGTAAGAGCAAAACAGTTGGGGAGATTTTGTATCCTCAGCAAGAAGTAATTCCCTGGTCTGCTGAGTGGCTTGAAGTACAATTAGTGGGAAAATTTCTGGTTCAAGATGATGGAAAATACCCCTGTTCTACTTTGAAAAAATGAACTACAATAACGAGGAAAGGAAATAACTGTCCGTCTAGAATTCTCTTCTAAAAAGAGTATTCTCCAAAAATAAAAATGAAAAAAAAGACATTCCAATATATCCCCTCAAGAAATCTGAGAAAATACATTTCCTATAGAACCATATTAATATATCTATTATCTATCTGTCTATGTATCTATCTAATCTATCTGTAATTACATATAATTACAGATAGATTATATTAAATATATGTAATTATATATGTAAGTTCTTCCTTAAAATTAATCTTAAATATAATTACATATATTTAAGTTCTTCCAGAAGGAATGATCCCAGATGGAAACATGGAAATGTAAGAAAGAAGAAGCAATGGAAGGGATAAATAAATATAAAAACAAATCATAATGAATATTGATTATAATGTTTGTGAAAACATAATTTTTGTGAAATTTGAATTACATAATGAGAATCAAAATGTACAAATTAACAAAGAAAAAATAGAGTTTACAAACAGTCCCTGTAATTATGGAAATTTTATATATATATATATATATATATATACACAAAAAAATTATATACACATATCTAAATATCTCTCTCTCTATCTATCTATTTATCTAGTATCTTATAATCCTTAATCTCTGTGTAGGTAGTTATGACAGTCATAATTTTAAAGTTTTGCAGACCAGAGTAAAAAGTCCTTTGATATTAAATAAAAAATGAACAAGTGCACCTAATTCTCTGAAAATACAAAAAGGCTTAGATTGCTTTTCATTTCTTTTTTTGTGCATAATGGCAAGAAGCAGTAATTCACTTGGCAATATTCTACTAATATGAGTGAGCTGACAGTTCTCCAATCATGCCACTGGTCTTCACTGGGTTCCTCTGTATAATAACTCAGGAACATCACTGCCTGTATGAACGCTCTCAGCTGAACCAACTGAACCTCCCCTATGTGTGAAAAGCATTACAAACATTGAGACGTTGGAAATAAGTTTCTCAGGAAAAAATACCACCTGACTGCTCGACAATTCAGAATGATAATTATTTGCAGGAGGAGAAAAAGAAGCTTGTTTAATACATATCCATACCTCTCCTTCAGTCTCTTTTTGAGCACAGAAGTTGTTACCATATTGCTAGGTAACTGAGCTATCTCAGGCAATGTCCAGAAAGACCAGGGAGAAACACTCCCACTAGGAATCCCCACTTAAACGTTAGGCAAATCCCATTAACCATTTTTTTTCTTTTCTGTTTTCTCATTTTTCAGAAAACAGGGTCTCGCTGTGTCACACAGCATGGAGTGCAGTGGTGCGATCATAGCTCACTGCAGCCTCTATCTCCAGGCTCAGGTGATCTTGCTTCAGGCTCTCTGGGACTAGAGGCGTGTACCGCTTTGCCTTACTTTTTCTTTTCTGGAGCGGGTAGGGGGAGATACGAGGTCTTGTTATGTTGCCCAGGCTCCATTTACCATGTTTGATATCCAAATGTTGTCCATCTGTGTCCCAGCGAAACACAGATTACTAAGAAAAAAGGCAAACTGAACTCCTGGCTTTGGCACTCCCTGGAACTCAAAGTCAACTTTGATGTGCTACATAGTGCCTGAGGAGGGCTGGGCATTCAGAGGCCCAGAAACAATGAGAAGAGGCCGGAAGGGAGTCAGCTTTGCTTTCAGACTCTCAAACACCCAAAATTCAATCTTAGAATAGAATATTCTTCAGCTGGTTCACACTAGCCACTATAGAAAATCCTGGAAGTAGGGCTCACACCTGTAATCCCAGCACTCTGGGCGGCCAGGGAGGGCAGATAAACTGAGATCAGGAGTTCAAGACCAGCCGGGCCAACATAGTGAAACCCCTGTCTCTACAAAAATTATCCGGGGTATGGTGGCACAGGCATATAATCCCAGCTGCAAAAAAAAGTGGTTCCAAACAGAGGCTTCCATAGACGTAACTCACAGACAGTCTACCTTTGTCAGTTAATTTTGCAGGGAATAGTTGGAAAGTTTTTAAAAGCTAGGGAAACAATTATTCGAAACTGCTATACTAATTTCCCTAATTTAGGTCAGTGTGACTGTAGAGATGCAGGAATGGCTTGCAATATTTAAATCCACACTAGATGTAATCTAGTAGGTGCTAAGTGCGATTGTGGCATGACTACCCCAGTGAGAAATATGCCGTAGAGTGGGCAGCTTTGTCCTAAAATTAGGTTATTGTCACACACGGAGGGTTCTGTGCTTTCCTTCCCGTTTCATTTAAATGGCCAGCGTGTGGCGCTGTCTCCCGTTAAAAATCTGCTTTTGTAATTTCCAGAGGCTTCTCCCCAAACACCTTGGTATTTATATGCCTCCGTGTAAATTTTGATAGGCTTGAAAACATCAGAGAAACTGAAGACTTTTTTTGTTTTGTTTTGTTTTGTTTTGTTTTTTGAGACGGAGTCTCAGTCTGTTGCCCAGGCTGGAGTGCAGTGGCGCGATCTCCCACTGCAACCTCCGCCTTCCGGGTTTAAGCAATTCCCCTGCTTCAGCCTCCGGAGTAGCTGAGACTATAGGCCCCCCACCACCATGCCAGCTAATTTCTGTACTTTAAGTAGAGACGGGGCTTTACCATGTTGGCCAGGCTGGTCTCCAACTCCTGACCTCGTGATTCGCCCGCCTCCCAAAGCGTTGGGATTACAGGTATGAGCCACTGCGACTGGCTGACTTTTAACAGAATAGAGTTTCAGTAACTCTGAAGAGCACCTGTAGATTTATCTTCATATTTAAACATGAAATTCAGAATAAATGCGATTACTTATTTGAACTTTGTTTAAAAAACTGCCTCAAAAAAGTCTCACTTTACAAAATGATAAGTACAAATTTTACTGAAAAGTATATTACGCATGTCACATGAAAAGTAGGACACTCAAAAGTTAGAAATGTCATTTTTAATTAAAAGTTACATTATTTAAGACTTCATTAAACTTTTGCTTCTATTAATTGTTTTATGCTTCTCCAAATATTTGTTTAGGGACAAGCCAGTAACATTTTTGTCATGTCAAGAGCCAGAAGTACAATGGTTACTGTTTATATTTTTAAGTGGCCTCTCATATTTGACTTTAAGTGTTCCCACCTATTTGTATGTTTTTCACTGTCTATGGCTTATATGTAGAATTTGACATGAGAGCCCTAAGTATTTATGGTTGCTTATAGTAGCATTGGTAACATTAGAAGTAGGGTAAAATTAGTTAACTGTCTTGTCACTGGGGCAAGTATTCAGTTTTACTGGCATCAGGCAGCCTGTGAAACCACTGGGTTTCAAAAACCCACCCTCCTTGCTGGGTGCAGCATCTGTTCTGCTGTGTAAGACACCAGAATCAACAGAGGCCATCATATGTGCTGGAGAGACAGATTCACGGTAGGGTTTTGAGAGGGAAATCACACCCACAGCCAAACATCACCATAGCCATCACCAGATAATTGCCTTTGACATGTGAAAATGCACCCTCTGACACACTTTATTATTTGTAATTATTTTAACTTTGGTAACCATTGCATCCAGGAAAAAAACTTCAGCCATGACCTAGTCTAGATTCTCAGCACAAGTGTAGAGCAGGCAGCAAACAAATTTAACACTGATTGATGGTGACATGACATGAGAGGGCAAAGAGAAATTCTTGAGAAGTAGTGGTAGTTAGAAGTCATAGTATTAGGCAATTCTTTGTATATTTTGTAAAATAAGTTTAAAATGTCATTAAAATAGTCTTCAGTGCAGAAAAGTAATAGGAAACACAATTCTGAAACTTTGTAAAATCTTAGGAAACATCACGGTGACTAACAAAAGTGATCTCTTTAAACTGTGTGGACTGCAACTACATTTTTATAATCTTGTTGAAAGGGAAAATGTGTTACATGCTAAAATTATACCCAAATAGGGTATCTAGCCTTGCAAGATAATAAAAGAAAGCAGAGGACTATAAATGGATGTGGTGGTCTTTTGTGCAAACAGCAGTGTATATTCAAAGACCCTATGCCGAAAGTAATAATTATTATTTGTAAAATCATTAAATTGGCCATCAGAGACCACATGGGTACAGTACCATGAATGTGAACCTCATTCTTGCCTGAAGCCAAATTGCAAAAGATGCAAATTTGACATTTATCCATTTGGTTCTTTTATTTATTTATTTTTATTTTTATTTTTTAATTATTATTGTACTTTAAGTTTTAGGGTACATGTGCACAATGTGCAGGTTAGTTACATATGTATACATGTGCCATGCTGGTGTGCTGCACCCACTAACTCCTCATCTAGCATTAGGTATATCTCCCAGTGCTATCCCTCCCCCCTCCCCCACCTCACAACAGTCCCCAGAGTGTGATGTTCCCCTTCCTGTGTCCATGTGTTCTCATGGTTCAATTCGCACCTATGACCGAGAATATGCGGTGTTTGATTTTTTGTTCTTGTGATAGTTTACTGAGAATGATGATTTCCAATTTTATGCATGTCCCTACAAAGGACATGAACTCATCATTTTTTATGGCTGCATAGTATTCCATGGTGTATATGTGCCACATTTTCTTAATCCAGTTTATCACTTTTGGACATTTAGGTTGGTTCCAAGTCTTTGCTATTGTGAATAATGCCGCAATAAACATACGTGTGCATGTGTCTTTATAGCAGCATGATTTATAGTCCTTTGGGTATATACCCAGTAATGGGATGACTGGGTCAAATGGCATTTCTAGTTCTAGATCCCTGAGGAATCGCCACACTGACTTCCACAATGGTTGAACTAGTTTGCAGTCCCACCAACAGTGTAAAAGCGTTCCTATTTCTCCACATCCTCTCCAGCACATGTTGTTTCCTGAGTTTTTAATGATTGCCATTCTAACTGGTGTGAGATGATATCTCACTGTGGTTTTGATTTGCATTTCTCTGATGGCCAGTGATGGTGAGCATTTTTTCATGTCTCTTGGCTGCGTAACAGTCTTCTCTTGAGAAGTGTCTGTTCATATCCTTCGCCCACTTTTTGATGGGGTTGTTTTTTTCCTGTAAATTTGTTTGAGTTCATTGTAGATTCTGGATATTAGCCCTTTGTCAGATGAGTAGGTTGCGAAAATTTTCTCCCATTTTGTAGGTTGCCTGTTCACTCTGATGGTGGTTTCTTTTGCTGTGCAGAAGCTCTTTAGTTTAATTAGATCCCATTTGTCAATTTTGGCTTTTGTTGCCATTGCTTTTGGTGTTTTAGACATGAAGTCCTTGCCCGTGCCTATGTCCTGAATGATAATGCCTAGGTTTTCTTCTATGGTTTTTATGGTTTTAGGTCTAACGTTTAAGTCTTTAATCCATCTTGAATTGATTTTTGTATAAGGTGTAAGGAAGGGATCCAGTTTCAGCTTTCTACATATGGCTAGCCAGTTTTCCCAGCACCATATATTAAATAGGGAATCCTTTCCCCATTGCTTGTTTTTCTCAGGTTTGTCAAAGATCAGATAGTTGTAGATATGTGGCGTTATTTCTGAGGGCTATGTTCTGTTCCATTGAACTATATGTCTGTTTTGGGACCAGTACCATGCTGTTTTGGTTACTGTAGCCTTGTAGTATAGTTTGAAGTCAGGTAGTGTGATGCCTCCAGCTTTGTTCTTTTGGTTTAGGATTGACTTGGTGATGTGGGCTCCTTTTTGGTTCCATATGAACTTTAAAGTAGTTTTTTCCAATTCTGTGAAGAAAGTCATTGGTAGCTTGATGGGGTTGGCATTGAATCTGTAAATTACCTTGGGCAGTATGGCCATTTTCACGATATTGATTCTTCCTACCCATGAGCATGGAATGTTCTTCCATTTGTTTGTATCCTCTTTTATTTCCTTGAGCAGTGGTTTGTAGCTCTCCTTGAAGAGGTCCTTCACATCCCTTGTAAGTTGGATTCCTAGGTATTTTATTATCTTTGAAGCAATTGCGAATGGGAGTTCACTCATGATTTGGCTCTCCGTTTGTCTGTTGTTGGTGTATAAGAATGCTTGTGATTTCTGAACATTGATTTTGTATCCTGAGACTTTGCTGAAGTTGCTTATCAGCTTAAGGAGATTTTGGGCTGAGACAATGGGGTTTTCTAGATATACAATCATGTCATCTGCAAACAGGGACAATTTGACTTCCTTTTTTCCTAATTGAATACCCTTTATTTCCTTCTCCTGCCTAATTGCCCTGGTGAGAACTTCCAACACTATGTTGAATAGGAGTGGTGAGAGAGGGCATCCCTGTCTTGTGCCAGTTTTCAAAGGGAATGCTTCTAGTTTTTGCCCATTCAATATGATATTGGCTGTGGGTTTGTCATAGATACCTCTTATTATTTTGTAGTACATCCCATCAATATCTAATTTATTGAGAGGTTTTAGCATGAATGGTTGTTGAATTTTGTGAAAGGTCTTTTCTTCATCTATTGAGATAATCATGTGTTTTTAGTCTTTGGTTCTGTTTATATGCTGAATTACATTTATTGATTTGCTTATATTGAACCAGCCTTGCATCCCAGGGATGAAGCCCACTTGATCATGGTGGATAAGCTTTTTGATGTGCTGCTGGATTCGGTTTGCCAGCATTTTATTGAAGATTTTTGCTTCAATGTTCATCAGGGATATTGGTCTAATATTCTCTTTTTTGGTTGTGTCTCTGCCCGGCTTTGGTATCAGGATGATGCTGGCCTCCTAAAATGAGTTAGGGAGGATTCCCTCTTTTTCTATTGATTGGAATAGTTTCAGAAGGAATGGTACCAGTTCCTCCTTGTACCTCTGGTAGAATTTGGCTGTGAATGCATCTAGTCCTGGACTCTTTTTTGTTGGTAAGCTATTGATTATTGCCATAATTTCAGCTCCTGTTATTGGTCTATTCAGAGATTCAGCTTCTTCCTGGTTTAGTCTTGGGAGAGTGTATGTGTCGAGGAATTTATCTGTTTCTTCTAGATTTTCTAGTTTATTTGCATAGTGGTGTTTGTAGTATTCTCTGATGGTAGTTTGTATTTCTGTGGGATCGGTGGTGATATCCCCTTTATCATTTTTTATTGCGTCTATTTGATTCAGGTCTCTTTTTTTCTTTATTAGTCTTGCTAGCGGTTTATCAATTTTGTTGATCATTTCAAAAAACCAGCTCCTGGATTCATTAACTTTTTGAAGGGTTTTTTGTGTCTCTATTTCCTTCAGTTCTGCTCGGATTTTAGTTATTTCTTGCCTTCTGCTCGCTTTTGAATGTGTTTGCTCTTGATTTTCTAGTTCATTTCATTGTGATGTTAGGGTGTCAATTTTGGATGTTTTCTGCTTTCTCTTGTAGGCATTTAGTGCTATAAATTTCCCTCTACACACTGCTTTGAATGCGTCCCAGAGATTCTGGTATGTTGTGTCTTTCTTCTGGTTGGTTTCAAAGAACATCTTTATTTCTGCCTTCATTTCGTTATGTACCCAGTAGTCATTCAGGAGCAGGTTGTTCAGTTTCCATGTAGTTGAGCCGTTTTGAGTGAGATTCTTAATCCTGAGTTCTAGTTTGATTGCACTGTGGTCTGAGAGACAGTTTGTTATAATTTCTTTTCTTTTACATTTGCTGAGGAGAGCTTTACTTCCAGGTATGTGGTCAATTTTGGAATAGGTGTGGTGTAGTGCTGAAAAAAATGTATATTCTGTTGATTTGGGGTGGAGAGTTCTGTAGATGTCTACTAGGTCTGCTTGGTGCATAGCTGAGTTCAATTTCTGGGTATCCTTGTTGACTTTCTGTCTCGTTGATCTTTCTAATGTTGACAGTGGAGTGTTAAAGTCTCCCATTATTAATGCGTGGGAGTCTAAGTCTCTTTGTAGGTCACTCAGGACTTGCTTAATGAATCTGGTGCTCCTGTATTGAGTGCATATATATTTAGGATAGTTAGCTCTTCTTGTTGAATTGATCCCTTTACCATTATGTAATGGCCTTCTTTGTCTCTTTTGATCTTTGTTGGCTTAAAGTCTGTTTTATCACAGACTATGATTGCAACCCCTGCCTTTTTTTCTTTTCCATTTGCTTGGTAGATCTTCCTCCATCCTTTTATTTTGAGCCTATGTGTGTCTCTGCATGTGAGATGGGTTTCCTGAATACAGCACACTGATGGGTCTTGACTCTTTATCCAATTTGCCAGTCTGTGTCTATTAGTTGGAGCATTTAGTCCATTTACATTTAAAGTTAATATTGTTATGTGTGAATTTGATCCTGTCATTATGATGTTAGCTGGTTCTTTTGCTCGTTAGTTGATGCAGTTTCCTCCTAGTCTCGATGGTCTTTACATTTTGGCATGATTTTGCTGCGGCTGGTACCGGTTGTTCCTTTCCATGTTTAGCGCTTCCTTAAGGAGCTCTTTTAGGGCATGCCTGGTGGTGACAAAATCTCTTAGCATTTGCTTGTCTGTAAAGTATTTTATTTCTCCTTCACTTATGAAGCTTAGTTTGGCTGGATATGAAATTCTGGGTTGAAATTTCTTTTCTTTAAGAATGTTGAATATTGGCCCCCACTCTCTTCTGGCTTGTAGAGTTTCTGCCGAGAGATCTGCTGTTAGTCTGATGGGCTTCTCTTTGAGGGTAACCCGACCTTTCTCTCTGGCTGCCCTTAACATTTTTTCCTTCATTTCAACTTTGGTGAATCTGACAATTATGTGTCTTGGAGTTGCTGTTCTCGAGGAGTATCTTTGTGGCGTTCTCTGTATTTCCTGAATCTGAATGTTGGCCTGCCTTGCTAGATTGGGGAAGTTCTCCTGGATAATATCCTGCAGAGTGTTTTCCAACTTGATTCCATTCTCCCCGTCACTTTCAGGTACACCAATCAGACGTAGATTTGGCCTTTTCACATAGTCCCATATTTCTTGGAGGCTTTGCTCATTTCTTTTTATTCTTTTTTCTCTAAACTTCCCTTCTTGCTTCATTTCATTCGTTTCATCTTCCATCGCTGATACCCTTTCTTCCATTTGATCACATTGGCTCCTGAGGCTTCTGCATTCTTCACGTAGTTCTCGAGCCTCGGTTTTCAGCTTCATCAGCTCCTTTAAGTACTTCTCTGTATTGGTTATTCTAGTTATACATTCTTCTAAATTTTTTTCAGTTTTCAACTTCTTTGCCTTTGGTTTGAATGTCCTCCCGTAGCTCGGAGTAATTTGATCGTCTGAAGCCTTCTTCTCTCAGCTCATCAAAGTCATTCTCCGTCCAGCTTTGTTCCATTGCTGGTGAGGAACTGCATTCCTTTGGAGGAGGAGAGGCACTCTGTTTTTTAGAGTTTCCAGTTTTTCTGCTCTCTGTTTTCCCCATCTTTGTGGCTTTATCTACTTTTGGTCTTTGATGATAGTGATGTACAGATGGGTTTTTGGTGTGGATGTCCTTTCTGTTTGTTAGTTTTCCTTCTAACAGACAGGACCCTCAGCTGCAGGTCTGTTGGAGTACCTGGCCTTGTGAGGTGTCAGTCTGCCCCTGCTGGGGGGTGCCTCCCAGTTAGGCTGCTCGGGGGTCAGGGGTCAGTGACCCACTTGAGGAGGCAGTCTGCCCATTCTCAGATCTCCAGCTGCGTGTTGGGAGAACCACTACTCTCTGCAAAGCTGTCAGACAGGGACATTTAAGTCTGCAGAGGTTACTGCTGTCTTTTTGTTTGTCCGTGCCCTGCCCCCAGAGGTGGAGCCTACAGAGGCATGCAGGCCTCCTTGAGCTGTGGTGGGCTCCACCCAGTTCGAGCTTCCTGGCTACTTTGTTTACCTAAGCAAGCTTGGGCAATGGTGGGCGCCCCTCCCCCAGCCTCGCTGCCGCTTTGCAGTTTGATCTCAGACTGCTGTGCTAGCAATCAGCGAGACTCCATGGGCATAGGACCCTCTGAGCCATGTGCGGGATATAATCTCCTGGTGTGCTGTTTTTTAAGCCTGTCGGAAAAGCACAGTATTCGGGTGGGAGTGACCTGATTTTCCACGTGCCGTCTGTCACCCCTTTCTTTGACTAGGAAAGGGAACTCCCTGACCCCTTGCGCTTTCCAAGTGAGGCAATGCCTCGCCCTGCTTCCGCTCACCCACGGTGCATGTACCCACTGACCTGCACCCGCCATCTGGCACTCCCTAGTGAGATGAACCCGGTACCTCAGATGGAAATGCAGAAATCACCCGTCTTTTGCCCCGCTCATGCTGGTCACTGTAGACTGGAGCTTTTCCTTTTCAGCCATCTTGGCTCCTCCCCATTTGGTTCTTAATTGTACCCTGTGCTGTACATTTCACCATTTATTTTTCTTGTGTGTGTGTGTGTGTGTGTGTCTGTGTATGTGCGTGTGTGTTTTACTCTTGGCATTGGTTTGGTGATGCAATTTAAAGCTGAGCAGAAGAGAACCAAGTCTGGAGGAGAAGGAAAACAGTTAAAGAACAGTGTTAGCAGAGCTGAGCTAGCAAAGCCTGAGAACTGCACCTGAGAGTGTGGAAGTATGGGTAAATACAAGCGTACTTCCACACTCCTTGATCTTGCCACTTTTACTTTTCCTGAAGTGAACTGCAATCTCTATGAGAAGATGCACACTCTTGCATCATCAAATGGGGGCAATTAGAAAGGAAGCTAGACCTCATCTGTGACTTTCCTCCCTTTACTTCACTTTCCCCTGATAACCAAAACCAGGATGACACTGTTCTGTTCATGACTCTTAAATGCTGTCATATTTAACTATTTGTTCTCCAAGTTTTTCATGAGTTCTCATTTTGCTTTTCCAAGAGAGATATGTCAGATAAAGATTATACTTGCTACCTTCACACTTTATCCTTATCCAACACAGCTGGAAAACCTTTAAAAAGGCAAATTGCTAGCCCAAAAAAACAAGGAGTCTAAGAGAGTCTTGGATAAATGTATTGGAAAAATATGTCCATTTGATTGTTAAGAAATAGATTGGTATGTCCAATCCATATCAACACACATCTAAAAAATATACTTTCAATAAAATTAAATCATAGATTCTATTTAAATTATAATATCTGTACAATTTTTAACAGATATTTTTGTTGTTGTTGTCCTTTTTTTTTTTTTTTTTGAGAGAGGGTCTGGCTCTGTCACTGAGGCTGAACAAAATGTTGTGATCTGGGCTCACTGCAGCCTCAACCTCCTGGGCTTACGCAATCCTCCCACCTCAGTCTCCTGAGTTGCTGGGGACCACAGGTGTTCACCATCATGCCTGGCTAATTTTTGTACTTTTTGTATAAACGGGGTTTTACCATGTTGCTCAGGCTGGTCTCAGACCCCTGAGCTCAAGTGATCCTTCTGCCCCAGGCTCCAAAGTGCTCCTCAGATGTACTTCTGAAATCAAATATCCCTCAAAGCATAGTCCCTGGTTGAATTTATATGGAATCGCCTGGGGTATGATTTAAAAACTGACATTTCAACTCCTCACCTTAGATGTACTGACTCAGAATCGCTGAATTTAGGGTCCTGGAGTCTATCTTAAGTAAAGATTACAGAGGTTTCTCATTTTTTGCAGATAAACAGAAACAAACAAAGAAACAAACAAAGAAAAAGAAACCAATAACTGGCCGGGCAGGGTGGCTGCTCACTCCTGTAATCCCAGCACTTTGGGAGGCTGAGGCAGGCAACCCATTTGTGGTCAAGAGTTCGAGACCAGCCTTGCCAACACAGCTAAACCCTGTCTCTACCAAAAATACAAAAATTAGCCGGACATGGTGGTAGGTGCCTGTAATACCAGATACTCAGGAGGCTGAGGCATGAGAACTGCTTGAACCTGGGAGGCAGAGAACGCAGTGAGCCGAGATGGTGCTACTGTACTCCAGTATGGGCAACAGAGTAAGACTCAGTCTTAAAAAAAAAAAAGGAAACCAATAACTAAAGAAAATGCAGGGAAGAGAATAACTTTTGCAAACTGTGAAAGAGGGCTTTATTTTGTGTGATTCCTCTAGAACCTGACCAAGACAACCACACATTTTGGTCTATCTTTGTTCATGTAGATATAAATAAGAGACAATTGTTCATGTAGATATAAATAAGAGACAATTAAGATGCTCTTCTACTCTCTTTAAATGTGTGTTTGTCTATTTAAGTAAAACCAATGTCAGCGTAAGGTTTAATTCTTCACTAGACAAATTCCGATCATGGGGGTCAAGGAGACTTGGAGAAAGACATACTAAGCACCTTCTTACTAGCTGCACCTGAGGGTCCTACCCCTTTATCCATCATTTCCTCAGCATACTCTTAGTGTTTTCCTCCCCTGTGGCTGGCTTTCATGAACTTAGGTTGTGGCTTACCTGGTTATGTCAAAAGTCAGAGAACTTCCATGTTTCAACTTGGAAGGTGAGCTGGATAATAAATTAGGTATACATGGGCAGAGTGAAAAAAAAAAAACTGGAATTTGACTGTTATTCTGACTTTACTAGAATGTTTTCCTTTTAAAAGTTACTTTAAGCTGCAATTAAAATAAATAATATGAGAAAGACCTGCGTAATCACAGAGAAAGTATGTGATTATTCTAAAGGAAGAAAGCAATATAACTGCAAGTATTATTTTAACATATGCATAATAAGGTAGCCCTATATGTTTATGCCCAAGTTTCCTTTTAATAACTGACTGTTCTCCTTTATGGTTTAGTATAAAATGCATTTATTCATAGAAATGAATATGCTATGGAACCCATAGAAGTAGCACACACATTGCTTTTTTAAAAAAATACAGCGACCCTTGTGAACATCCAAAGGCTGTTTTTAAAAGCTCAGCATGCTTGTCCTTGTGATTTCACTTTCTAGAATATGCATTTCATGATATGACAGGCAAAATTATAAATCAAATTAAGATACCTAAGAAAATGTCAGTGTACATAATATCTTTGCCTTCACCAAGACCGCGTATTTGCTTTACTTTAAAACTCCAAAGAAACACTAGGAAACAATCCCCTACAGCTTTTGGAAATGTTTTTAGTAATTCACAAATGAAAGTGACAACATTTAGAAGACAATCTGTGTATTCAGACATCATTATGTATTGACACATGCCTACTTGGGGTCACTATAGTTAGCTTCTTTACTCTTCATTAATATTAATTAACATATGTAAAAAAGATTTCCATTTGCAATTCTGAGCAATTTTAAAACAAATAACTGAACTCATGTAAGCTTAGCCCAAAATTACTAGGTTTCCAGCCCAAGTAAAGCAGTGGTCCCCAACCTTTTTGGCACCATGGACCGGTTTCATGGAAGACAATTTTTCCGTGGACCTGGAGGTAGCAGGTGATGGTATAAGGATAAAATTGTTACACTCAGATCAGCATTTGATTCTTATAAGGAGTATGCTACCTAGATATCTTGCATGCATAGTTCACTGTAAGGTTGGAGCTGCTATAGAATTTAATGCCGCCACTGATCTGACCTGAGGAAGAGCAGTAATGTTCCCTGGACTGCCACTTACTTCCTGCTGTGTCTCGGTTCCTAACAGGCCACTGACATGTACTGGTCTGAGGCTTGGGGACTGGGGACCCCTGAAGTAAAGGATTGTCATGGCTAAAACCTACAGATAGGGCTAGCTACATAATTTGTGAGACTTCATGCAAAATGAAAATTCAGGGAAACTTGTTCAAACATTATAAAGAATTTCAGCCGGTGATGGCAGAACAGCCCTTCTAAGAGTGTGACTGTACCACTGTACAGCTTGCATGCCCCTGAAACTGGCTCTGCCTGTAGAACCTTGTGAACAAGATGACCCTGATTTTCTAATTCGCTAAGAAACACATCAATGCCAGTTGATTCGATTGGCCTTGCTGGTTTAAGCTATGTGAAGAAATACACATGTAAAATGATGTACTTGAAAAACACTCATAATAGGATAGCTGCAGATGGCTGTCATTCCAATTTGTTAACAGGCAGATATCAAAATTGCAGAGTGGAACCTGTGTATAAGAATAGGGGAAAGGGTGGAAAATTGCAAAACAACTGTACAGCCTTTGAGCAAAGAGGATTCGAGCCTTCTGATGTAGCTTTGAGTAGAGGGAGTGCATCTAGATAGCCTGACTGTGCTTAGCTGGGTGCTTATGGAGATCCTCTTTTCGAAGGTGAAAGTGCAATTGGGTAGGAGACGGTGGAGATGTCAGAGCAAAGGAACAGCAGTCAGTTGTCCTTTCGAATTGCAGTGTGCCTGGGTCTTTTTTCTCTGGGTTTTCCTACCTGCAAGGGGACTGTCACTTCCTGATGCGGCTGAGGAGAGTGTAGAGCTTTGTTACAGGTTGTGTGTTATCAATGCCTCCTGTCTTTCTGTGGCAGGATCCTGGCTGGGGAGGGAGAACTCGTGTGCTAAAAGAGCACTGGAAAAGACAAGAGAGGCCGGAGCAGCCATTCCAAAGCTAAAAAGGCTGAGTCAAGAGGCTCGGGGCAAATCATGGGGAAAGAAAGAGGTTAAGACGCAAGTCTATTTTGAATAAATCACTCACTGTGGGCGTGCAAAGCTTATTAGAAAAACAAACGCCTGGCTGGGCGTGGTGGCTCATGCTTGTAGTCCCAGCACTTTGGGAGGCCCAGGCGGGCAAATCACGAGGTTAGGAGATCGAGACAATCCTGGCCAACATGGTGAAACCCGTCTCTACTAAAAATACAAAAATACAGGAGTGGTGGCGGGCACCTGTAGTCCCAGCTACTCGGGAGTCTGAGGCAGGAGAATCGCTTGAATCCGGGAGGCGGAGGTTGCAGTGAGCCGAGGTCGCCGCACTAAACTGCAGCCTGGCGATAGAGCGAGACACAGTGTAAAAAAAAAAAAAAAAAGAAAAGAAAAGAAAAACAGACGCCTTAGGAAACAAAGCGTGTGGAACTAAAGGAAGGTAGGACGCCCCTGGCGGTCCTGAGGCCTCTTTGGTCCTGCTAAAGAGAGCACCCCTGCTGGCAGGCGTGGGCCTGCTCACACCTGGACGGAGAGGGGAGGTAGGAGGGGCAGGAAGCGGTTGGTGCGGACGGGGAGGCGACTGCGTGGGGTCTTCCGACATCACCCTTCAGCTGAGTGTCCGGGGTCTCATTCCCAGAGACCCGCCCACGGGCCCTGCGTCCGCCCCTCCTGTCACACGCCTTCCAGCCAATGGCGCGGCCGCCTGTCCTTCTCATGCCACCCCTGGAGGGCAAGCAAGGAGGGAGGTTGGCTGGGAAGGCCTGGCTGGATTTGAAGTATCAAACTTTCCGGCGTGGTCGTTGCGGCTGCTGGGTCCCCAGAGTGCGGCCCCGGCGAGGAGCATGGAGCATCGGCCAGCGCCCGGCGCCCTCGCATCCGATCGGCAGCCATGGTGCCCGAGGTGCCCGGCGCGGTCCTGACCCTCTGCCTCTGGCTGGAGGCCTCGGAGGGCTGCCTGGCGGCCGGCCCCGGAGCAGCTGCTGCTCAGCTGCTGGACGAGTCGCTGTCTGCCGGGAGCGTCCTGCGCGCCCGCTGCGCCTCCAGGTGCCTAAGCTTGCCAATCATACGCATCTCTGCCTTCTTCCAGCACTTCCAGGTTAGTGGAGACTCCCGCCCGCCCCGGGTTCTTTCTGGTGCTGCGGCCGCGGCGGGAGTGCACCCGGGCGCGAGAGTGCACCCGGGCGCGCGCCGACCAGCCTAGGCGCGAAAAGTTTTCGGCCAGCGCAGCGAGCTGACCTGGCTTCTCCTGGGCGTGGATCTTACAGTCGGGGTGCTTAAATCGTGTTTTCCAGCCTCCTCCCGGCTCCCGATACGAAAAAGAAGCCCGAGGCGTCCTGCCCCAGTCTTGTCCTTCCCAGCAGGAAACCAAAGGCGATTTTCCTGGGGAGGGAGAGTCGTGAATGCCGAGGGTGGGTGTGTGGATGTAGCTGTTTCCCGGGAATTGAGTGCCCGAGATTCCAGGCGGGTGTCGACTCCCGCAAAGTCCCAGGTGCTCAGGAGCACTGGGAGAGAGTCCGGGAGGCGCACCCCGCTGCGCCCAGCTGCGCCCGGGGACCTTGCCACGAGCCCCAGCTCCGCAGGTGCCCGCAGGCCGACACTTTTTCTCTTTTGAACGATGATTTTTCACCATCCGCGGGCCGAGAGCTCGCTACCCACCCGTGGATTCCCCAGCCACGGCACTTGTGCCAAGTCGTGTTCCAGGGTGCGTGTATGCGCGTGTTGGAGGGTGCAGGTGGCTCCGCGCGCCTCATTTCGGAGTCCCTAAAGATTCAAGGTCTTGTACACTAGCGTAGAGCGTCAGAGAAGTGCCGGGGACAGGGGATTTGGCAGGACGGTGTTTGGATACGCCAGAGACAGGCTCCAAGGTCACTGTCCCCCAAACCCCATACTTAGGTTCTTTTAGCCGGCGAGTAGAGGAGTGTGTGTGTGCGCTTGGTCGCGTGTGTGGGAGTCTACGGGAACCGCGCGCTTGGCTCCTGAGGGTTGCCCGGACCCTGCCCCGTGGCATGGACCCCCGCGGGGCCTGCGCGGAGGCTCTGGGTGCGGGTGGGCACACTATGGCAGGTTTCGGACTCAGGGGGTGCAGAGTACAGCTGCTGCCTCTCCCAGCCCTGTCGAGCACGCGAGTTCTGAAACCCTGCGTATATTTTTCACCTCTCCTGTCATTCTTACCTCTGTCTGTAGGTGCCCACCTGTTCCAAGTTTCCACCGTCTCGCCTCAGGGAAATTCTGGGGGGACCAAAAGGAGAGGTAGGTGCTTGTTAGGAAGGCTGGCTTCCTGGCTGGGCGGGAACTGGAAAGCAAACCCTTGGCTCTTAATCTCGGGGCCTCTCCTGCCGGGGAGGGGAGGGGGTCAAGTGAGGGCCCTGGAAATTAAGCTGCCAGAGGAGGCGATATTATAAGGGTGGAGTGTGGAAGTGGTTCCCCGTAGCCCTTGGGGACGATCTTAAACCTGCTGGCAAAGCTGGCGCGTGCTCGAGTGTGCCCGTTGTGTTTGTTCTAAATAATAGAAGGAGCGTCTCCGGGGAGTCAGAGAAATGGGCACACTCTGCACTCCTCCTGAGTCTTCAGGGAATGGAAGACCCAGTGCTCACTTCTGTGGTGAAATTACCCAGACATCCTGGATAGAGCCAGGAGAGAGCCCGTCCCCAGTCACCTTGTTTCCAACCCTCTGTGCCCTACCATGAAAGTCGCTCTCCTGAGAAGATGCCACACTATTGCAGAAAACAAAACAGAGCAGCCTATTCCCGGGGAATAGGCTTTTTTTTTTTTTTTTTTTTTTCAATTAAATTGTCAGTGCTGTTATTTATTTGTTTTACAGTTTCAGTGGCTAAAGCAGCAGCTTAGATGAAGCCATTTCCCCGAGAAAGGCATGATTTCTCTTCGGAAGAAAAACTGCTGACAGAATGCACATTGCTGGAGAATCCCAATTACATTTTAATTAGCTGGGGGTGACATAAGCTGCAAATTAGTTAGGACTTAATAAGTGCTGTGTTTGTCATCAATTGCAAGGCCATTCTTCAAGCTTTAACCCTAACCTGGTAATGCTTAAATTGATTTATCTAAATGGCAGGGATTAAGCTTTCTTAAGATCTGAAAAGACAGCAACACACTCTCTTTACAAAACCCCAAGCTTCCCTGTTCCCCATCGCTTGGCTTTTTTTTTTTTTTTTTTTTTTTTTTTTTTTTTTTTTGTAATAATTAGAAGGAAGATGGGCCAGGCACGCTGGCTCATGCCTGTAATCCTAGCACTTTGGGAGGCCGAGGTAGGTGGATCACCAGAGGTCAGGAGTTCAAGTCCAGCATGGCCAACATGGTGAAACTTTGTCTCTACTAAAAATACAAAAAAATTTGCTGGGTGTGGTGGCAGGCACCTATAATTCTAGCTACTCCAGAAGCTGAGGAAGTGGAGGTTGCAGTAAGCTGAGATTGCGCCACTTCTCTACTCCAGCCTGGGTGAAAGAGCGAAACTCTGTCTCAAAAAAAAAAAAAAAAAAAAAAAAAAAAAAAAAAAAAAAAAAAGAAGGAAGATGGGCCGGATGCAGTGGCTCAAGGACTGTAATCCCTGTACTTGAGGCAGGCGGATCATTTGAGGTCAGGAGTTGGAGACCAGTGTGGCCAACATAGTGGAACCCCATGTCCACCAACTCATGACACCGCATGTGGTGTTTATTAATCTACTTGTAAAGGCTGGGCTACAAGAAGTCTTAGGAAGACTCTTTTTCTACAGGGTCACCCCACACCTCCAACTCCTGCAAATGAGCCCATCCAGAAAGCTGTCTCTGGAGCACATGCCTGTTTCCATCTTCTCTTGCACAGTTTCAGGCCATGTTTAAGGATGGGAGAAGATTGCCTGGCCTCCAGCCTGGATGCCAGCCAGGTATGTGGACTTTCAAGTATGAAAGCTGTCAGGCTTTGCCTCAGGAGAGCACAACTTATGCACTTGTGGTATAGGCAGTGACTCAGATTCCCTGGGGCTGTGACCTGCTGTTGTCAGCCTGCTGTGACTTTCCTCTTCAGCAGAGGAATCTAGACTCTAATAGTCTCCGCCCTAGTTGTCCCCACTTTTCTCCACTGCCCAGCACTTCAGCAACAAGACAGAAAAGCAGTGGGTAGATGTGCATACCTAGTACCTCCAGGTCTGCAGGCTGCTTCTGCCACACCTGCATGCAGTGGCTGTCAACCACTCCTGAAAACACAAGGGACTCAGTACTGAGGCATGAAGGTGGGAATGCAAACCAAGAGTACCTGAGTAATCCAGCACTGCTCTGACCTGGAATTCTTTAGAATGTCATACAGAAAGGAAGATGGGATGGAAACCCAATTATTTCACAACTGAATGCTTCCCTTCATTCATGAAAAGGAACAGTGAATGTTACCACCTCCTGAAATGTCGGTATCTGGCTCCAGGATGCTTTGTCCAGGGCATTCAGCATGGAGCTAATTCAGGCTCAAAAATATAATACATGTAGGAGGTTAGCAGAGTGAAGAGGAGCTATGAGTCTGTGAGCTATGGAACAGGGAAGTGGGCTTTGGGGCTGGGCAGATCTGCTCTGCACCCAGGCTCTGCTGCTTTGTATATGGGTAGGTAGGGTGGATTACACCATCTTCCTGAATATCAACCCCTCATGCATCCAGTGGGGGACAGAAGCACCTGCCCTGCAAGATGCAATCAGGACACGAAACGTGTTGGAATAATATACGCAATGGTAATACAGCAGCTCGCTCTGCCTGGAAGATTACTAAGAAGCAGCCACTCTGCTGGGTGTTTTACAAGTTTTACATCACATTTTATGTTCTAACCTGGCTGGTATGTTTCAGTGAATGGTATAAAATGTTAGGACTACGGTAGAGAGACTTATGAAAGTGTTATGGGGCACTGCTTGTATTAAATCTATGGATAAGTTTGTACTGCTTTCCAGAACCCTGACTCTTACACCATTTTTGGGGGAGGGGAGGTTTTGGACAGCAGTTAATGAAGCATATCCATATTATCCAAAGGCATTTTATCTATGAAATATGACCAGAAAAAACTGAAAGTGCATCATGCAATGCCTTGTGTAAACCATAGAATTTCTGTGCATGGTCTAAGCTTACAGAGCCTTAGGATTCTGGTCAGCTACTTTTCAACATTTCTATTTAACTTACCCTGGGCTCCATATTTTGAAAGCAGGTTGTGTATCAACATGTGACATTTGTTAAGTATGACCTAGTTTTTCCTCTTTTCATTAATCAAATATATCCATAACTCTTTCAAGCTTTAGATTATCTTTAGGTCTCCTCCATGACCAGAGGCAATTAATAAAATGAATACTTTGCACCATCATCTTAGGAAAATGGGTTATTTTGGGGAGTTTTCTGAAATATTTTAAAAGAGGTGATAAATGCCAATTCCTTTTCCAGTAGAAGGAAATTGGGTGGGTACGTGTACCACCAGTCAGGATGTTGTTGGTGGAATGATATTTTTTAAGCCGTCTTCCATAACACCAGCAACCTTTTCAGTTGTCCTCACCTGTGCAACTGTGGTGCAAAACTGCCTCCAGAAGCCAATAAGTGAGTGAGAAATGCCATCCTGGTTCCCTGACAACTGACTGCTTCTGGATCATAACAGAGTGCTGTTTCCACTCTGTCTTCTCTCACTGTTAACATTCTAAGAAGTGGGTTCATTGAGTTCAAACATCTAGGAATGCAACAATAAAGACTTGAGTTTCTGCTATGGAGCCTTTGCAATCTCACTCTCAGGCCTTCAGTTTTCTTATCTGTAAAAGAAAATAACATTCCTGACCTCACAGAGTAGTTGGAACAGTCAAATATGTAGTTTATGTGAAACAACTTTGTCAACCCCAAAACTCTGCAAAACACAATGCTAAACACCTTCAATCCTGTGGCTCAGAAATTCCAGAAAGCTTCTGAGTCAGACCCCACTGATTCAGAAGTTGTGTCCAACTGTAAGCCAAGAGACGAACAGCCTCCTTTTCCCCCTTCTTACTCACTTATTGGCTTCTGGAGGCAGTTTTGCACCACAGTTGCACAGGTGAGGACAACTGAAAATGTTGCTGGTGTTATGGAAGAAGGCTTGAAAAATATCAGTCCATCAACAACATCCTGGTGTTATTGATGGACTGGTGCATGTACCCACCCAATTCTTCTTCTAACCCATAAGAATCTGCAAAATACAACCATCTTTCAGGTATCTTAGATTGTGAGACCCCAGCATATGTGAGATGTGCTTCTTGGCTCCACAACAATTAATTTCTTTAAAAAGTTTTTTTTTTTATTTTTATTTTTTAGACAAGATCTCCCTTTGTCACTTAGGCTGAAGTGGCATGATTATATCTCACTGTAGCTTTGCACTCATAGGCTCAAGAAATCCTCTCACCTCAGCCTCCTGACTAAATAGGACTATAGGTATATAAAGTCCATACCTGGCTAATAGTTTTTTCTAAGTTTTTTTTTTTTTCCTAGAGATGAGATCTTTCTATGTTGATCAGGCTAGTTTCAAACTCCTGGCCTCCAGTGATCCTCTTGCCTCAGCCTCCCAAAGTACTGAGATTACAGGTGTGAGGCACCGTGACTGGTTAAGATAATTATTTTCTACTGGAGAGGCATTTAATAAAATTGCTGCAAGTTGTTGACATGAAGAAAGAAACTATTTTGAACATGAATCGACTTTTAAATCCTTAAATATAGTAATTTAACATGATCAAAGGTATTGATATTTTTCAGATGAAGAAAGTCTTTTTTCCTTTTGTCAATTGTTTTTGTTTAGGCCCATCCAATTTTCCATGCCTGTAATGAAATGGCAGAGTTTTATCGAGATTCTTGGGTAAATGTTCCAAGAAACTGGAGTCCTGCATATCACAGGGGATGTTTGCTGTCTGTGAATAATAAGTCACAATGTCTGCCTTCTCAGCTGTGTTGCTGTTGTGTACGGTGGTGGGACATGTGTGGTAATTGTAGCTTATATGTATGTGACAGCCATTTCCACAAGCTGAGAGTGCCTGACAGGCTTGCTTCACTGTCTTTTGTTTGGGGTTTGGGTGTGTGTGTGTGCGTTTACATTTTATAATTTTTTCTGGCATCTCTGCAAAATATAAAGTTAGGCAATGAGGAAATCTTTCAAAAAAAGAATTTTGAAACTTGTCAAGCCTGCTCCTGAGACCAAGATGGTAAAGATGTGAAGTTTGGGGGTTCTTTAATCCCCAAAGCTGTAAAACCTTTCCACAGGGGAGTCTGAGAAACAATACCCCATCAAAAGGCTTAGAAAGAATCCAGCAACTAATTGAAAGTCTTAATTCACATTCTGTTTACCCTTTTTTTTTAAATTGTAACTTTTTTATTTCATAGGGTTTTATTGCTCTTCAGGAAAATAATATTGCGTTAGTGAGCTCAAAAATATATAATTATGTGTTTCATATTAATTACCCTCCTTCTTGTAAAGATAAGGCAGATATGTTATCACTACTTAAAAGGTCATATAATGGGCCAGGCCTGGTGTCTCACACCTGTGATCCTAGCACCTAGGGAGTCCGAGGTGGGCGGATCATTTGACACCAGGAGTTTGAGACCAGCCTGGCCAACATGGTGAAATCCTGTCTCTATTAAAAATACAAAAATTAGCTGGGCATGGTCATGGGAACCTGACCTGTAATCCCAGCTATTTGGGAGGCTGAGGCAGGAGAATCACTTGAACTCAGGAGGCAGAGGTTGCAGTCAGCCAAGATTTTGCCACTGCACTCCAGCCTGGGTGACACAGCCAGACTCTGTCTCAATTTGAAAAAGTCACAGCCAGGCGCAGTGGCTCACGCCTGTAATCCTAGCACTTTGGGGTGCCGAGGCAGGCAGATCATGAGGTCAGGAGATCTAGACCATCCTGGCCAACATGGTGAAACCCTGTCTCTACGAAAATACAAAAAATTAGCTGGGCATCATCATGCAGGCCTGTAGTCCCAGGTACTCTGGAGGCTAAGGCAGGGAATCGTTTAAACCCAGGCAGGAGGCAGGGGTTGCAGTGAGCCTCTCGTGCCACCGCATTCGAGCCTCTTGAGAGAGCAAGACTGTCTCAAAACAAACAAACAAAAAAAACCTAATGTATGGTGATATTAATTTGTATTTAAGGGGGATGTTTTTTCCTAATTCCAATGAACATGATTTCAATCACCTTAAGGGAACAATATGTCTTTCTCGTACTTCTATTTATTATCCAATGATCATGGATTACATTTTGACTTTCATAGCTAATTTTTGGTTACATCTGGAGATGTGGCAATTTCATAAAGTTCAGAAGAGAAGGCAAAACAGAAAGCCTATTTGATGGAATTAGAAACATTAATTTTGCAAAGTAATCCAAGGGATTCTTTTCCCTTGGATTAGATGGGAATTCATTTCTTATGAAATGTATGAATGTTTTCTCCTCATTTTTGTTCTCAGTTCACAACTTTTTTTTTTCTTAATTCACTATAGGATTCTGGTACATTAATAATTCATATGTTTCGTACACAC
This sequence comes from Homo sapiens, assembly GCF_000001405.40. Taxonomy (NCBI): domain Eukaryota; kingdom Metazoa; phylum Chordata; class Mammalia; order Primates; family Hominidae; genus Homo; species Homo sapiens. The sequence continues at coordinate 13,759,412 of NC_000024.10, forward strand.
AACATTAATTTTGGTATTCTTTCTTCTCTCCAGTGCAAACAAGGTGTCTATCTAACAATAAACCCCATGAGTTACATTCTTTTTATTTTGGAGACAGAGTCTTGCTCTGTTGTCCAGACTGGAGAGTGCAGTGGCACAACCTTGGCTCGCTGTAACCTCTGCCTCTCACATTCAAGCAGTTCTCATGCCTCAGCCTTATGAGTGGCTGGGATTACAGGTGCGCGCTACTATGCGCATTTCACCTGCCTCCACCTCCTAAAGAGCTGGGATTATAGGTGTAAGCCACTGTGCCAGGCCCATGAGTTACATTGTTTTTTTCTTTGTTTTTTTGAAGGCAGAGTCTCGCTCTATCACCCAGGCTTGAGTGCAGTGGCACAATCTCAGCTCATTGTAACCTCAGCCTCCCAGGTTCAAGCGATTCTCCTGCCTCAGCCTCCCAAGTAGCTGGGATTACAGGCAATGCCACCATGCCTGGCTAATTTTTTTTGTATTTTTAGTAGGTACTGGGTTTCACCATGTTGCCCAAACTGGTCTTGAACTCCTGAACTCAGGCAATCCACCTGCCTTGGCCTTCCAAAGTGCTGGGATTACAGGCATGAGCCACCAAGTTACATTTTTAATTGACCTTTTCTCTGAAAGAAAGATGGAAACAATTGAGGAAGTCTACGTGTAAAAATAAAAATAAATCTCTCAGGTTAAAAGCAATTTCACCTATTCACTGTGTAACTGTTGAGTTCTTTGAATAGTTCATTCAAAGAAAGTTTATTTACTCTTGTTTAATTCTGTAATAGGGCATAATTTCAAGAGACAGTCTTATCTAGACTTACACAAATGTCCCAGCCTCTGTCTTTAAATGCCTATGCTATTGGAAGTAACAAGATTCTTCTGAAATGTGGATGCCTTGTTATACCACGTAGACCAGAAAGTAAGTTGACCAAAACCTGTAAACCAAAAATACAGAGAGAGATTTTGAACAGGATACACAGCTTATATTGATACCTGTCACCCCATCAGGTAACTCAGGTCCTCAGTGCTGTTATAACAAGCCCAGTATAACAAAGAGGGTCATTAGCTTGCTTTCCAACTGATAAGACTCATGCAGACTGCAAATTGAAAGATGCTTTACAGTCATAGGAAATAGTGATAATAGAATCATCCCCACAACTGGAAGTGTAGGAATACTTTCTGAAAACTCTGCAGACAACTTCTGATGTGGTGCTTAGATTTCCACCTTTTATTCTTCATGGCTGGATACTTACTTTTGTCTCTGCCTGCTGTGTTTTATTTCTTGCTTGGTGGTCATTTCTCCCCAGTGGACAGAGTTTTGCTCATTGTAGAAGCGTAAGTGTACCTAAAACTAGGAGCAGAGAACTACGCAGTTGTAAGGAGATGTGATGGCCACCAGACAACAGAGGTTACCCATTCCTGCCATATGAATGACCACATAAAGGCAGAATCACAAACCACATCACAGCATTGGCTCCTGTCCCCTAGAGTCAAAACCAATCCTGTAGAAGCCAATCCTGTTGATGCCAATAATGACAAGTTCATACAGAAGTTATTGACTCTTTTCAGAGAGAATGAAAAGAAAATGGGAGGCCAGTTGCCAACTGTGGTTCTTTAAATTTCATCTGTGGCAAAAAGGGACAGAGATGTCACCTAGGGTGGTGTCCACCATCAAAAACAGTCATTGAAGGTGGCTACTTTGTTTCCCATTTCCTTTTCCATGTTTTGGGCTATTAAAGCTATCTGGGGCCAGGCGTGGTAGCTCATGCCTGTACTCCCAGTGCTTTGAGAGGCTGAGGTAGGAAGATCGCCTGAGTCCAGGTGTTCGAGGCTGCATTGAGCTCCAGTGGTACCACTGCACTCCAGTTGGTTGACAAGAGTTAGGCCATATTCTCAACACAGAAAAGTCATTTCGAACTAGAACTTTGCCTTGAAAATCTAAAATTTGTGTCCCACATATCCTTGATGGATAGTGCCATCATATCTTTTGTTTAATCATTTATTTTTTAAATTTTAATTTTTATTTATTTAATTTATTTATTTATTGAGGTTGGGTCTCACTCTGTCACCCAGGCTGGAGTGCAGTGGTGGAATAATGGCTCACAGCAGCCTCAAACTCACTGGCTTAAGTGATCCCTCCACCTCAGCCTTCCAAGTAGCTGGGACTATAGGCATGCACCACCATGCTTGGCTAATTTTTTAACTTTTTGTAGAGACAGGTTCTTACTATATTGCCTAGGTTTGAGTTTTTCTTTTATTAAAATAGAGACAGGGCTTTGCTATGTTGCCCAGGGTGGTCTTGAACTTCTGGCCTCAAGAGATCTTCCCATCTGGGGCTTCCAAAAGTGCTGGGATTACAGCACTGTGCCCAGTCAGCCCGTCACATCTTTGAGTAGGAATGTATTCTATCTTCTTGCTCTCTTCTGCTCTCTCTTTTTTTTTCCCTTTTCCCTCTCCCTCTCTTTCTATTTTGACATTTGGCTCTACCATTTTGAAAGCAGTACAGCCAAACCTAGTAGTGGTCATCATTCCAGAAATGGCCTGCATCTGGGAAATACTTTTTTTCCCCATTGGGCCAGAATTTAAAAGAAAGTAGAGAACATCTTTTAGTTGTTTTTGTTGTTTCCACATTTTTATGTCCAGAGTAATGAGCTAATGTCCTCACAACTGCAAAGATATTTTCTAAAAAATCTGGGTAGAATATATTCTCTGCTTAAGTATCACAATCAACATTAGAAAAATATTTAGAGGCCGGGTGTGGTGAATTAAGCCTGTAATCCCAGCACTCTGGGAGGCTGGGGCTGGCGGATCACGAGGTCAGGAGATCGAGACCGTCCTGGCCAACTGGCAAAACCCTGTCTAAAAAAATTAGCCGGGTTTGGTGGTGTGCACCTGCAGTCCCAGCTAATTGGGAATGGCTTGCTGAGGCAGGGGAATGGCTTGAACCTGGGAGGCAGAGGTTGCGGTGAGCAGAGGTTATCCCACTGCACTCTAGCTTGGTGACACAGAGAGATCGCGTCTCAAAAAAAAAAAAAAAGAAAAAATATTTAGAGGTGAAACCATGTTAGACTAGTTGGCCATCAGTATTTTCATTTTTCTATTATCTAGGACCCATAGATTTTTGTAATATTTTAAACCTATTTTTAATAGGGCAAGATTTGCCTACTCTAGTTCCATTTATTACTCTACAATGTTGAAAAAATGATGGAGGTTCATTTTTTACATAACCACATGAAATTAGAGCTGGACTTCAATTTCCATATATTTTTCTGTGTGTATATTATACATGTGTGTCTAGTTTAGGGGTTTGTTAAACTTGGCACTTTGAACGTTTTGGAGCAGATTCTTCTTTTTTGAGTGGAGGGGCTGTCCTGTGCATTTCAATGGTTCTGCCCGGCCTCTCCCAACTCAATGCTGGTACCATCCTTCCCACCCCTAGTCATGAGATAACTGTTGTCTCCAAACATCACAATGTGTTCTAGGGGCACAGTCACCTTTGTTGAAAACCACTGCTCTAGTCCTGTCTCTTTCTACTGAATATCTCTCTGGATCTATGTAATGTGTGTCTGCTTCAATATCTGTATTGGGATCTCCATATCTATGTCTGTGTCACCTTCCATCTCTGTCTCTGGGTCTGTATTTCTGTGTCTATCTCTATTTATGTATATGTTTTGCTTGCACTCTATGGCAGATATTCTGGCAGGCATGACATGGTTTAGCTTCTGGTTCTCAGGAAACGTTAAGGATCTGTGCTGTGTCAGACTCTGCTAAGTGCTGGAGTTGGCAGATGACCAGGCATGCACCTCCATTCCTGAGGGATTTTAGCTGGTGTTGGGCTTCTGGGGTGCACAGACAAGGGAGGCATCAGGTGGCACTAGCTCAGAGATGGGAAGCCATGAGAGGTGATGGTGGGGTAATCCAGAGCACAGTGTGTATCTAGAGCGCTGGTGCCTTACTCTGATTCTGTCCCTTTCTACACTTAGATCTCTGCTGTATGTAACTCTGGAATTAAAACTGATGCTATGAACTCTCTTGCTTATGGGGAGATATGGACATCCTCATTCATACTCAGAGGAGAAGGTTGCCCTGAGATCACCACAAAAGGACAGGGTTAGCCTGACAAGTTTTCATCTTCTGAATAAATGAGACCTTTTAGAGTTCTGTTAAGTTTCTCTCTCTTAAACAGAAACCTCACTTTCCTTGTGTCTTTAGCAACCCTGATTGTGAAGGTGTGTTGTGGCATGTGAGCATGATTGTATAAGTAGATGGATGGTTTTACCTGTGAGCAGAGTTGTGCAAACTTAGTTATGCTGCATCTTCTTCTTTAAATTCACATTATCCTTATTTCTGTTGGTGAGCTGGTCCTAAGGTATCCTGTTTTGGGGACTTCTTTGCAAGTAAACTTCTTTTCCTTTCTGAAGACTGTTTCTCTGCCCTCTCTCTCAGACCTTTGCCTACATTTTGATGGTGGTGCTGCTTCAAAGAGTTTTCTGGGATGCCATGCAATTTACTCAGAACAGAGCCTCTTATTTGGCTCTACAGACATGCTGGCTGTCATCAGGTTGAGTGAGGCCCAGAGGGTGTGCCTGGTGGTCACGATCCTGGGATTCAAATATAGTGTGGTACATGCCTGTAGCCCCAGCCGCTTGAGAGGTTGAGGAGGGATGATCACAGCCCAGGAGTTCTCATCTAGCCTGGGCAACATGGTGAGACCCACATTGCTACAAAAGATAAAATAAAATGAACAGTGTGTAACCCTAGATCCCCAGAGCCCTACAGTCTGGTCTGAGAGACCCCTCCACCTCCAAAAAAAGAGATTTAAAAACTTAAACTTTTAATTTAATAGACTTATTCCAGTTTGTTTTGAAGTATCTAGTTCAGTAGAGCATGACATGTAGATCTCTCATGTGTGCTTTTGTTAGTTACTTACAGATTTCCTATTCTGGGTGGCCGTGGTGGCTCAAGCCTGTCATCCCAGTGCTTTGGGAGACTGAGATGGGAGGATCACTTGAGGTTGAAAGTTTGAGATCAGCCTGCATATCAAAGTGAGAGCCCATATCTACAAAAAAAAAAAAAAAAAAAAATAGGCATGGTGTTGCATGCCTCCTCTAATCCTTGCTACTTGGGAGGCTGAGGCGGAAGGATTGCTTGAGCCCAGAAGGTTGAGGCTACAGTGAGCTATGATTATGATTCAGCCTCTGAACTCCAGCTGAGGTGACAGAGAGATCTTGTCTCCTTAAAAAAAAAAAAAAAGATTTCTTATTTCCATATGATGCATATGATAAGATCAAGTAGAATTTTAAATTGAAATTTGAAATCCTGGATAAATATTGTGTAAGGTTAAAGAAAAAAGTAATTTAATTTCAGAGAATGTGTTCTATTGGGAAAACATACCTGACTTTTCAGACATGCTTCTAATTCTGCAATGAACCCATTTTTCTTGGGATGAATTTTATTTTTTTGCAAATTAAACTTTTTTTCTTGGGGTTATTGCTCTTTTGATTTGTATTACATTTAATCCTTGTGCTTCCCTACTGAACATTTTTCTCAAGTGGTTTTTCTCAAGTGGTCCTTCATTAAAACATGTGGTCTTTTGAAGTTTATATTAAAATAACCCAGAATCATGATGAATGGTTTAGAATGTAAATCAGGGCATAATAGACAAGAGGTGCTCTAGTTTAATGAATTATTCTGCACTCTTTAATGAATAATAAATTAGCATAATGAAAAAGTGTTTATCACAAGAAAACAGTGGGACAAAAATCTGACACTTAGTAAAGTCAATTAGAAGGGGAAAAACACATACTTTTAGTCATGTTTTTACCCACTTGGACATTCCCTACTACAAATGAAGCTCAACTAAGTCCTACATCTCCTAGTTTACAAGTGTATAGCAAGGTGGATGTTTTGCTTTACCATGAAAACAACAACTTCTAGGAATTACCAGGGATATTCCAAAATGTGTTGTTAAAATGTTCAGTAGGGAAGCACATGGAAATGACAGTTTTTATCTCTGGTGCCTAGTAAGTTTTTTTCCAATTAGTTTTTTTAAATGGTAATAGTGATAATAACAATAGTTCTCAACTCATGTTATCCAGTACTCTTAATATGTGTAAGTAGTTGATAACATTAATCCTTAGCTTTTGCTTGTCAACATGCCAGATACCAGACAGTTATGCACCTTGTGGGAATAACTAAATATACATAACATATTGCAGCTGTCAAGCCTTGCAGCTGTCAGGCCTCTATTTTGAAAAATAATTGGGTGATGGAGAGGGCCTTTAAAGTCTGCTTTGCACTCTTTTGCTAAAGTCTACTTTTGCCTCACTGTCATCCCCAGCAAGAAATTACATGTTTCTACAGTTGCTCTATATGAAAATGGCCAGACACTGAGATGAGGCCAGGACAGCAGAGGCCAGCAAGGTCTAGACCAGCCAAATGTTGTTACCTTGAGTGTCAGTCTTGCAGAAAAAGAAACCAGCCCATGCAAAGATCAACTTAGTACTTTACAGAGAGGATTGTTCTTTTTTAGTGACTAGAATCCTGTAAGAGACTTGTAAGAGCTGAATGATGGTCTCAGTCATTTACTAGGGATGCTTAGAGGACAGACAACAAAGGGAGTCATTTGGAGTGTATTTCACGAAGTCACGTGAAGCAAAGGAAGACACATTATCTGAAGGTTAGAGTAAGCATCTCAGGCTTGCGTGGGGATCAGCCATATTTGGACAACTTGTAAAACAGCTCACTGCTCTCCAGCCCAGGAGTTTTGATTCTACTAGTGTAAGGTGTATCACCAGAATTTGCAAAAGCTTCTAGGTGAGGCTGATGTCACTGGTTCCAGTACCACACTTTGAAAGCCACTGTTTCAGTTAGTCATGATGTCAGGCTTCTCTCTGGTGCCTTTCTCTGCTTGATAAGAGGTGCCAAGTTCTAGCTTTGGAATTGTCCATTCTCCATCCCCCAGCTTGGACATTCTTCGAGCAGTCTTTGTGTGTGCGTGCATGTGTGTGTGCGTGTGTGTGTTAGAGAGAGAGATAGAGTCTCACTCTGTCGCCCAGGCTGGAGTGCAGTGGTGCAATCTCACCTCACTGCAACCTCTGCTGCCTGAGTTCATGCCATTCTCCTGACTCAGCCTCCTGAGTAAATGGGACTACAGGCACCTGCCACTACGCCTGGCCAATTTTTTTTGTAATTTTTTGTATTTTTAGTAGAGACAGAGTTTCACCCTGTTAGCCAGGATGATCTTGATCTCCTGACCTCGTGATGCACCCTCCTCGGCCTCCCAAAGTGCTGGGATTACAGGTGTGAACCACCACTTCCAGCCCAAGCAGCCCTTTTTGATTCAGGTTACATACAGTTGATTAAGTGTGACCTTACTAAGTAGAAGTCAGTGGTGGTGTCATCAGCAGAAACATCATTGTAGGCTTGCTTACAATCAGTAGGCTCATTTGTCGAATGAGAGGGCTAGAGTTACTGTCTGGCTGCCATCTTTTGAAACATGAGTTTTGATTCCAACTTGTTGATGGATGAAAAAGCCTTTATCAATTCTTCTGAACATAAGTGTTCAGGGAATATAGGTTTAGGATGAAGAACCCTTCTCCTGGGAGAGAATGGGTCATTAGTAATCAAGGTCTAGGTATGAAGCAAAGGTCAGCAGCATAAAGCTGAGGGTCTCAGCAAAGGGTGCAACATTTTTAAGAGTAGACTGTTTACACCTAGAGAGAATTGTGTGCTTGGCCAAATTACCTCATCATGACTGTGTGGTTTTTCCATGCTTATTCAAACAATTGCTTTTAACCAAAACCAGACTACATGAGTCTAAACAGTTTACATTATGTATAACAAATACCTCCTTAGGATGCACCCACATGCTATAAGATTGAAGTACTTTATGAAAGCAAAAAACATTGTCAGTGAGATGGACATATGGGTTGCTACAAAACACCAAGTTCTCACATTTGGTGGGAGGTGGCAAGGAGGCCAAAGTGAAAAAATAAACAGTTAGTGACTTGAAGCAATCTGGAAAAAAACAAACATGAACATATTAAGGCAGAGGTTCTTAATTGGGTTGCAGGTTGAAGCGTGGTTGAAACGACATAGTATTTGTCCTGTGGCTTTAATTTATTTTAGCCACTTTTCTGGATTAATAGTGTACCCCTAAATCCATACATTGATGTCCTTACCCCTAGTACCTCAGAAAGTGGCCTTAATTGGACATACGGTCATTGAAAATGTGATTAGTTAAGATGAGTCATTCTGTAGGAGGGTGGGCCCCTAATCCAATATGACAGGTGTCCTTATAGAAAGAGGAAATTTTAACACAGACATCCAGAGAAGTGAGGACATGGATGTGAAGGTTGGAATGCTGCCACAAGGCAAAGAACTAGCAGAAGCTCAAAGAAAATCATGCAGCAGATCTTCCCCTAGGGCCTTTCAGAGAGAGCATGGTCTTGTGATACTTTTGTATCGTAATTCAGAGAAATTTATTGTCTCCAGAACTGAGAGACAATAAGTTTTTGCTGTTTCAGCCCCCTGGATTGTGGTACTTTGTCATGGCAGCCATAGGAAACTGAAACTGAAGTTTAAATTATACTAAAAATAGCATTTGACAGTATTGGATTTTCATTTTCTCCAGTGGGGTTTTGATATGTGAATCTAATTTAGTGTAACCCTGTATTAAACAACTGTATGCATTCTATGCTTTACATGGATATTATGCCTTTGCAAATACTTGAAACAACCGTATGTTGTAGAAATTAATTAGGCTGCTCTTATTTATAAGAAACTGGAAACCATTTTATTTATCGTTGCATCAAAACTTACTGCAAAATTTTAGAATTCTGACTTCTCCATGGCTAATCCCATGATTAATTGGGATTAATCAACCTCTAGGTGGACTCCAGATCTCTCTGAGACCTTCTTCTACGTTATTGAAAGTCACTCCTTGTGTTCAAAACATTCACATCAATGAACTTGGCATCTTGACAGTTAGACTACAGCCTTGACCTTAGATGGTCTTCTTCATAGACATCTCTGTGATTATCTTGTAAAGACTTTATTCTACTCATTTGAGAAAAGAAGATATTAATTTTTCTGAGAGCTTACCACCATGATGGATGAGTAGGAGCCTGGCATGTGAAATAAAACCTTTGACTTTAAGTAAGGTGTACTTACTATTGAAATATTATTTTGTTTGAACCAGTAATATTCTGTACATTTTTAGACTTCCTGAGCCCTAATTGACTCATCTACAAAGGGTGACTGCTGAATTTGAATTGCTATTAACTTGCAATTCTCAGGATATAGAATTTTCCTCTGACTCTTGTCTTGCCACTATTGCAGATGGCTTTCATATGTTATTCAAATACATGACCACTAAGTTGATGATCCCAGAGAGCTTCAGGTATGTTAATTTTGAGGTTTAGTGCCATTTTTGAACACTTAGATTTCTCCTCCAACCTCATTCTTTACTTTCGTTTCTCCCCATACATTAGTGGGAATTCTAAATTCCCCACTACATGGTCATTTCCATGATGTGGTTTGTGTCATCAACTTGGTCCTGCCCTTGAGTATTATGGAATTTAGCAATGTATGTGTGATCTTCCTTCTTCACACTCAGGCAGGATGGTCCCTGTGTTGTGTTTTTCTCTTCTGGTTTTGATATTTTCCTTTGGCATGGTAAATGTGTTGGAGAGAGTTGATAGAGGAATTAGTTAATTAGAGAATAATATACCAGCAGGCAGAAAATCTGAAAGTTGATCACATGCACCTCCTTACACCTTTACTCTTGAATGGCTTTGAGAGATTTCACTAGGAATTCAGAATGGAAAAGTCAGTGTGGCCAGGTAGCATGTTACAGGGACACTGTAGCCTCTTTCTCTTGGAAAGTTCTTAGTATTGAGACAATGACTTGTCATTAATGAGTTACATTTGTCTGGTTTTCAGCAAGAAGATGGATTGAATGGCCCTCAAAGACCTTCTCTGAGTTGTAATAATACGGTATCATCTGAGTCAGAATGCTACCGTTTACAAACATTTTGAGTGGGTATTTGGAATCACGTGTTGGGTCCCTTTTCTTATCCTGGTTTTGTTTAGAGAGCAGTCTTTGTGAGATTCAAATAGATCTTACACCTTGCCAGAGACTGAAATGCCCATTGATGAAAATACTTTGCACAGAAGGACTGCTGCTGAGGTGGAAGTTCTCAGAGAGCTCTGGAATCCTATTTGGCTCATGTGATTAACTGTAAAGTCAGAATTTCAAAAGCCCTCAATAAATATATAACACAAACAATGGTTTTCAATCATTTGTGCATAAGAGCAGCCATTAGGTACTACCTTTCCTAAGGTGAGTAAGGTTAAATCCTGAAGTAGCTAAGAAACGTTGCAAGTCATGGTTTTAACTGTCTGTGCAACTTCAGTTTCTGCTAAGATTTTTCTTGATGAATTTTCAGTTATATTTATTTATAAAAAATCCTATATTAAGAATCCAGGCCGGGCGCGGTGGCTCACGCCTGTAATCCCAGCACTTTGGGAGGCCGAGGCGGGTGGATCATGAGGTCAGGAGATCGAGACCATCCTGGCTAACAAGGTGAAACCCCGTCTCTACTAAAAATACAAAAAATTAGCCGGGCGCGGTGGCGGGCGCCTGTAGTCCCAGCTACTCGGGAGGCTGAGGCAGGAGAATGGCGTGAACCCGGGAAGCGGAGCTTGCAGTGAGCCGAGATTGCGCCACTGCAGTCCGCAGTCCGGCCTGGGCGACAGAGCGAGACTCCGTCTCAAAAAAAAAAAAAAAAAAAAAAAAAGAATCCAACAGCTACAACAGTTAAGGAAATAAAAGAACTAAGACTACAAAACTCTTCTAGTCATTACGTATCACCTAAAGTACACTATAGCCAGTTGTAAATTTCCATCATGTCATAGTCTTTGCAGATAACCATGGTGAAGAATGTCCCTGGAGGTGAAGGTGGCAAGTAAGCTGTAATCTCACCACTGCACTCCAGCCTCGGCGACAGAGTGAGACCCTGTCTAAAAAAATATTAATAATAATAGTAATGTCATTCAGAGTCATGTAAAATTGTTTTCTTTCTGTGTTGGTCTTGCATTTTTTTCTTCTTTGAAGATGATTTTCTTTGTTTTTTTTTTTTTCAGACTTTTTGTCTTTATTAGTGGTTGACAGGGGCTGGGGAGGGAGGAATGAAAAATGATTGCTAATAGATATAGGGTTTCTTTTAGGGGTGACAAAATGTTATAAAGTTAGATAGTGGTGATTATTATTTTTTTTCTTTTTTCCTTTTTTTTTATTATACTTCAAGTTTTAGGGTACATGTGCACATTGTGCAGGTTAGTTACATATGTATACATTTGCCATGCTGGTGCGCAGCACCCACTAACTCATAATCTAGCATTAGGTATATCTCCCAATGCTATCCCTCCCCCCTCCCCCCACCCCACCACAGTCCCCAGAGTGTGATATTCCCCTTCCTGTGTCCATGTGATCTCATTGTTCAATTCCCACCTATGAGTGAGAATATGTGGCGTTTGGTTTTTTGTTCTTGCGATAGTTTACTGAGAATGATGATTTCCAATTTCATCCATGTCCCTGCAAAGGACATGAACTCATCATTTTTTATGGCTGCATAGTATTCCATGGTGTATATGTGCCACATTTTCTTAATCCAGCCTATCATTGTTGGACATTTGGGTTGGTTCCAAGTCTTTGCTATTGTGAATAATGCTGCAATAAACATACGTGTGCATGTGTCTTTATAGCAGCATGATTTATAGTCCTTTGGGTATATACACAGTAATGGGATGGCTGGGTCAAATGGTATTTCTAGTTCTAGATCCCTGAGGAATCGCCACACTGACTTCCACAATGTTTGAACTAGTTTACAGTCCCACCAACAGTGTAAAAATGTTCCTATTTCTCCACATCCTCTCCAGCACCTGTTGTTTCCTGACTTTTTAATGATTGCCATTCTAACTGGTGTGAGATGGTATCTCATTTGGTTTTGATTTGCATTTCTCTGATGGCCAGTGATGATGAACATTTTTTCATGTGTTTTTTGGCTGCATAAATGTCTTCTTTTGAGAAGTGTCTGTTCATGTCCTTTGCCCACTTTTTCATGGGGTTGTTTGTTTTTTTTCTTGTAAATTTGTTTGAGTTCATTATAGATTCTGGATATTAGCCCTTTGTCAGATGAGTAGGTTGCGAAAATTTTCTCCCATTTTGTAGGTTACCTGTTCACTCTGATGGTGGTTTCTTTTGCTGTGCAGAAGCTCTTTATTTTAATTAGATCCCATTTGTCAATTTTGTCTTTTGTTGCCATTGCTTTTGGTGTTTTGGACATGAAGTCCTTGCCCGTGCCTATGTCCTGAATGGTGATGCCTAGGTTTTCTTCTATGGTTTTTATGGTTTTAGGTCTAACGTTTAAGTCTTTAATCCATCTTGAATTGATTTTTGTATAAGGTGTAAGGAAGGGATCCAGTTTCAGCTTTCTACATACGGCTAGGCAGTTTTCCTAGCACCATGTATTAAATAGGGAATCCTTTCCCCATTGCTTGTTTTTCTCAGGTTTGTCAAAGATCAGATAGTTGTAGATATGCGGCATTATTTCTGAGGGCTTTGTTCTGTTTCATTGATCTATATCTCTTTTTTGGTACCAGTACCATGCTGTTTTTTTTTTACTGTAGCCTTGTAGTATAGTTTGAAGTCAGGTAGTGTGATGCCTCCAGCTTTGTTCTTTTGGCTTAGGATTGCCTTGGCGATGCGGGCTCTTTTTTGGTTCCATATGACCTTTAAAGTAGTTTTTTCCAATTCTGTGAAGAAAGTCATTGGTAGCTTGATGGGGATGGCATTGAATCTGTAAATTACCTTGGGCAGTATGGCCATTTTCACGATATTGATTCTTCCTACCCATGAGCATGGAATGTTCTTCCATTTGTTTGTATCCTCTTTTATTTCCTTGAGCAGTGGTTTGTAGTTCTCCTTGAAGAGGTCCTTCACATCCCTTGTAAGTTGGATTCCTAGGTATTTTATTCTCTTTGAAGCAATTGTGAATGGGAGTTCACTCATGATTTGGCTCTCTGTTTGTCTGTTATTGCTGTATAAGAATGCTTGTGATTTTTGTACATTGATTTTTTATCCTGAGACTTTGCTGAAGTTGCTTATCAGCTTAAGGAGATTTTGGGCTGAGACAATGGGGTTTTCTAGATATACAATCATGTTGTCTGCAAAGAGGGACAATTTGACTTCCTCTTTTCCTAATTGAATACACTTTATTTCCTTCTCCTGCCTAATTTCCCTGGCGAGAATTTCCAACACTATGTTGAATAGGAGTGGTGAGAGAGGGCATCCCTGTCTTGTGCCAGTTTTCAAAGGGAATGTTTCCAGTTTTTGCCCATTCAGTATGATATTGGCTGTGGGTTTGTCATAGATAGCTCTTATTATTTTGAGATACATCCCATCAATACCTAATTTATTGAGAGTTTTTAGCATGAAGCGTTGTTGAATTTTGTCAAAGGCTTTTTCTGCATCTATTGAGATAATCATGTGGTTTTTGTCTTTGGCTCTGTTTATATGCTGGATTACATTTATTGATTTGCTTATATTGAACCAGCCTTGCATCCCAGGGATGAAGCCCACTTGATCATGGTGGATAAGCTTTTTGATGTGCTGCTGGATTCGGTTTGCCAGTATTTTATTGAGGATTTTTGCAACAATGTTCATCAAGGATATTGGTCTAAAATTCTCTTTTTTTGTTGTGTCTCTGCCCGGCTTTGGTATCAGAATGATGCTGGCCTCATAAAATGAGTTAGGGTGTATTCCCTCTTTTTCTGTTGATTGGAATACTTTCAGAAGGAATGGTACCAGTTCCTCCTTGTACCTCTGATAGAATTCGGCTGTGAATCCATCTGGTCCTGGACTCTTTTTGGTTGGTAAACTATTGATTATTTCCACAATTTCACCTCTTGTTATTGGTCTATTCAGAGATTCAACTTCTTCCTGGTTTAGTCTTGGGAGAGTGTATGTGTCGAGGAATTTATCCATTTCTTCTAGATTTTCTAGTTTATTTGTGTAGAGGTGTTTGTAGTATTCTCTGATGGTAGTTTGTATTTCTGTGGGATCGGGGGTGATATCCCCTTTATCATTTTTTATTGTGTCTATTTGATTCTTCTCTCTTTTTTTCTTTATTAGTCTTGCTAGTGGTCTATCTATTTTGTTGATCCTTTCAAAAAACCAGCTCCTGGATTCATTAATTTTTTGAAGGGTTTTTGTGTTTTTATTTCCTTCAGTTCTGCTCTGATTTTAGTTATTTCTTGCCTTCTGCTAGCTTTTGAATGTGTTTGCTGTTGCTTTTCTAGTTCTTTTTATTGTGATGTGAGGGTGTCAATTTTGGATGTTTCCTACTTTCTCTTGTGGGCATTTAGTGTTATAAATTTCCCTCTACACACTGCTTTGAATATGTCCCAGAGATCCTGGTATGTTGTGTCTTTGTTCTCGTTGGTTTCAAAGAACATCTTTATTTCTGCCTTCATTTCGATATGTATCCAGTAGTCATTCAGGAGCAAGTTGTTCAGTTTCCATGTAGTTGAGCCGTTTTGAGTGAGATTCTTAAACCTGAGTTCTAGTTTGATTGCACTGTGGTCTGAGAGATAGTTTGTTATAATTTCTGTTCTTTTACATTTGCTGAGGAGAGCTTTACTTCCAAGTATGTGGTCAATTTTGGAATAGGTGTGGAGTGGTGCTGAAAAAAATGTATAATCTCTTGATTTGGGATGGAGAATTCTGTAGATGTCTATTAGGTCCGCTTGGTGCAGAGCTGAGTTCAATTCCTGGGTATCCTTGTTGACTTTCTGTCTCATTGATCTGTCTAATGTTGACAGTGGGGTGTTAAAGTCTCCCGTTATTAATGTGTGGGAGTCTAAGTCTCTTTGTAGGTCACTCAGGACTTGCTTTATGAACCTGGGTGCTCCTGTATTGGGTGCATATACATTTAGCATAGTTAGCTCTTCTTGTTGAATTGATCCCTTTACCATTATGTAATGGCCTTCTTTGTCTCTTTTGATCTTTGTTGGTTTAAAGTCTGTTTTATCAGAGACTAGGATTGCAACCCCTGCCTTTTTTTTGTTTTCCATTTGCTTGGTAGATCTTCCTCCATCCTTTCATTTTGAGCCTATATGTGTCTCTGCACGTCAGATGGGTTTCCTGAATACAGCACACTGATGGGTCTTGACTCTTTATCCAATTTGCCAGTCTGTGTCTTTTAATTGGAGCATTTAGTCCATTTACATTTAAAGTTAATATTGTTATGTGTGAATTTGATCCTGTCATTATGATGTTAGCTGGTTCTTTTGCTCGTTAGTTGATGCAGTTTCCTCCTAGTCTCGATGGTCTTTACATTTTGGCATGATTTTGCTGCGGCTGGTACTGGTTGTTCCTTTCCATGTTTAGCGCTTCCTTCAGGAACTCTTTTAGGGCAGGCCTGGTGGTGACAAAATCTCTCATCATTTGCTTGTCTGTAAAGTATTTTATTTCTCCTTCACTTATGAAGCTTAGTTTGGCTGGATAGGAAATTCTGGGTGAAAATTCTTTTCTTTAAGAATGTTGAATATTGGCCCCCACTCTCTTCTGGCTTGCAGGGTTTCTGCTGAGAGATCTGCTGTTAGTCTGATGGGCTTCCCTTTGAGGGTAACCCGACCTTTCTCTCTGGCTGCACTTAACATTTTTTCCTTCATTTCAACTTTGGTGAATCTGACAATTATGTGTCTTGGAGTTGCTGTTCTCGAGGAGTATCTTTGTGGTGTTCTCTATATTTCCTGAATCTGAATGTTGGCCTTCCTTGCTAGATTGGGGAAATTCTCCAGGATAATATCCTGCAGAGTGTTTTCCAACTTGGTTCTATTCTCCCCATCACTTTCAGGTACACCAATCAGATGTAGATTTGGTCTTTCCACATAGTCCCATATTTCTTGGAGGCTTTGCTCATTTCTTTTTATTCTTTTTTCTCTAAACTTCCCTTCTCACTTCATTTCATTCATTTCATCTTCCATCGCTGATACCCTTTCTTCCAGTTGATCTCATCGGCTCCTGAGGCTTCTGCATTCTTCATGTAGTTCTCGAGCCTTGGTTTTCAGCTCCATCAGCTCCTTTAAGCACTTCTCTATATTGGTTATTCTAGTTATACATTCTAAATTTTTTTCAAAGTTTTCAACTTCTTTGCCTTTGGTTTGAATGTCCTCCCATAGCTCAGAGTAATTTGATTGTCTGAAGCCTTCTTCTCTCAGCTCATCAAAGTCATTCTCCATCTAGCTTTGTTCCGTTGCTGGTGAGGAACTGCGTTCCTTTGGAGGCAGAGCGGTGCTCTGCGTTTTAGAGTTTCCAGTGTTTCTGTTCTGTTTTTTCCCCATCTTTGTGGTTTTATCTACTTTTGGTCTTTGATGATGGTGATTTACAGATGGGTTTTTGGTGTGGATGTCCTTTCTGTTTGTTAGTTTTCCTTCTACTAGAGAGGACCTTCAGCTGCAGGTCTGTTGGAATAGGCTGCCTTGTGAGGTGTCAGTGTGCCCCTGCTGGGAGGTGCCTCTCAGTTAGGCTGCTCATGGGTCAGGGGTCAGGGACCCACTTGAGGAGGCAGTCTGCCTGTTTTCAGATCTCCAGCTGCGTGCTTGGAGAACCACTGCTCTCTTCACAGCTGTCAGACGGGGACATTTAAGTCTGCAGAGGTTACTGCTGTCTTTTTGTTTGTCTGTGCCCTGCCCCCAGAGGTGGAGCCTACAGAGGCAGGCAGGCCTCCTTGAGCTGTGGTGGGCTCCGCCCAGTTCGAGCTGCGGGGCTGCTTTGTTTACCTAAGCAAGCCTGGGGAATGGCGGGTAACCCTCCCCCAGCCTCGCTGCCACCTTGCAGTTTGATCTCAGACTGCTGTGCTAGCAATCAGCCAGACTCCGTGGGCGTAGGACCCTCCGAGCCAGGTGTGGGATATAATCTCGTGGCGCGCCGTTTTTTAAGCCAGTCAGAAAAGCGCAATATTCAGGTGGGAGTGGCCCGATTTTCCAGGTGTGTCCGTCACCCCTTTCTTTGACTCGGAAAGGGAACTCCCTGACCCCTTGTGCTTCCCAAGTGAGGCAATGCCTCACCCTGCTTCGGCTCGTGTACGGTGCACGCACCCACTGGCCTGCTCCCACTGTCTGGCACTCCCTAGTGAGATGAACCCGGTACCTCAGATGGAAATGCAGAAATCGCCAGTCTTCTGCGTCGCTCACGCTGAGAGCTGTAGACCGGAGCTGTTCCTATTCATCCATCTTGGCTCCTCCTCCCATAGTGGTGATTATTGCACACCTTGTGAATATATTATAAACCGCTGATGTACATATCTTAAAAGAGCATATTTTATGGTATGTGAATTATATCTCAATTTTTTTTATTATACTTTAAGTTTTAGGGTACCTGTGCACAATGTGCAGGTTAGTTATATATGTATACATATGCCATGTTGGTGTGCTGCACCCAGTAACTCATCATTTAAAATTAGGTATATCTCCAAATGCTATTCCTCTCCCCTCCCCCCTCCCCCCACCTCACAACAGGCCCCGGTGTGTGATGTGCCCCTTCCTGTGTCCATGTGTTCTCATTGTTCAATTCCCACCTATGAGTGAGAACACTGGGTGTTTGGTTTTTTGTCCTTGTGATAGTTTGCTGAGAATGATGGTTTCCAGCTTCATCCATGTCCCTGTAAAGGACATGAACTCATCATTTTTTATGGCTGCATAGTATTCCACTGTATATATGTGCCACATTTTCTTAATCCAGTCTATCATTGTTGGACATTTGGCTTGGTTTCAAGTCTTTGCTATTGTGAATAGTGCCGCAATAAACATACGTGTGCATGTGTCTTTATAGCAGCATGATTTATAATCCTTTGGATATATACCCAGTAATGGGATTGCTGGGTCAAATGGTATTTCTGGCTCTAGATCCATATTTCTGGCTCTGGATCCCTGAGGAATCGCCACACCGACTTCCACAATGGTTGAACTAGTTTACAGTCCCACCAACAGTGTAAAAGTGTTCCTATTTATCCACATCCTCTCCAGCACCTGTTGTTGCTTGACATTTTAATGATCACCATTCTAACTGGTGTGAGATGGTATGTCATTGTGGTTTTGATTTGCATTTCTCTGATGGCCAGTGATGGTGAGCATTTTTTCATGTGTCTTTTGGCTGCATAAATGTCTTCTTTTGAGAAGTGTCTGTTCATATCCTTTGCCCACTTTTTGATGGGGTTGTTTGTTTTTTTCTTGCAAATTTGTTTGAGTTCATTGTAGATTCTGGATATTAGCCCTTTGTCAGATGAGTAGATTGGAGAAATTTTCTCTCATTCTATAGGTTGCCTGTTCACTCTGATGGTAGTTTCTTTGCTGTGCAGAAGCTCTTTAGTTTAATTAGATCCCATTTGTCAGTTTTGGCTTTTGTTGCCATTGCTTTTGGTGTTTTAGACATGAAGTCCTTGCCCGTGCGTGTGTCCTGAATGGTATTGCCTAGGTTTTCTTCTATGGTTTTTATGTTTTTAGGTCTAACATTTAAGTCTTTAATCCATCGTGAATTAATTTTTGTATAAAATGTAAGGAAGGGATCCAGTTTCAGCTTTCTACATATGGCTAGCTAGTTTTCCCAGCACCATTTATTAAATAGGAAATCCTTTCCCCATTTCTTGTTTTTGTCAGGTTTGTGAAAGAACAGATGGTTGTAGATATGTGGCATTATTTCTGAGGGCTCTGTTCTGTTCCATTGGTCTGTATCTCTGTTTTGATACCAGTACCATGCTGTTTTGGTCACTGTAGCCTTATAGTATAGTTTGAAGTCAGGTAGTATGCTGCCTCCAGCTTTGTTCTTTTGGCTTAGGATAACTTGGCAATGTGGGCTTTTTTTTGATTGCATATGAACTTTAAAGTAGTTTTATCAGTTCTGTGAAGAAAGTCGTTGGTAGCTTGATGGGGATGGCATTGAATCTATAAATTACCTTGGGCAGTATGGCCATTTTCACAATTTTGATTCTTCCTACCCATGGGCATGGAATGTTCTTCCATTTGTTTGTATCCTCTTTTATTTCCTTGAGCAGTGGTTTGTAGTCCTCCTTGAAGAGGTCCTTCATGTCCCTTGTAAGTTGGATTCCTAGGTATTTTATTCTCTTTGAAGCAATTGTGAATGGGAGTTCATGCATGATTTGGCTCTCTGTTTGTCTGTTATTGCTGTATAAGAATCCTTGTGATTTTTGAACACTGATTTTGTATACTGAGACTTTGCTGAAGTTACCTATCAGCTTAAGGAGATTTTGGGCTGAGACAATGGGGTTTTCTAGATATACAATCATGTTGTCTGCAAACAGGGACAATTTGACTTCCTCTTTTCCTAACTGAATCATCTTTATTTCCTTCTCCTGCCTGATTGCCCTGGCGAGAACTTCCAACACTATGTTGAATAGGAGTGGTGAGAGAGGGCATCCCTGTCTTGTGCCAGTTTTCAAAGGCAATGCTTCTAGTTTTTGCGCATTCAGTATAATATTGGCTGTGGGTTTGTCATAGATAGTTCTTATTATTTTGAGATACGTTCCATCGATACCTAATTTATTGAGAGTTTTTAGCATGAAGGTTGTTGAATTTTGTCAAAGGCCTTTTCTGCATCTATTGAAATAATCATGTGGGTTTTGTTGTTGGTTCTGTTTATATGCTGGATTATATTTATTGATTTGTGTATGTTGAACCAGCCTTGCATCCCAGGGATGAAGCACATTCGGTCATGGTGGATAATCTTTTTGATGTGCTGCTGGATTCGGCTTGCCAGTATTTTATTGAGGATTTTTCACTGATGTTCATCAGGGATATTGGTGTAAAATTCTCTTTTTTTGTTGTGTCTCTGCCAGGCTTTGGTATCAGGATGATGCTGGCCTAATAAAATGAGTTAGGGAGTCTTCCCTCTTTTTCTGTTGATTGGAATAGTTTCAGAAGGAATGGTACCAGCTCCTCTTTCTACCTCTGGTAGAATTGAGCTGTGAATGTGTCTGGTCCTGTACTTGTTTTAGTTGGTAAGCTTTTAATAATTGCCTCAATTTCAGAGCCTGTTATTGGTCTATTCAGAGATTCAACTTCTTCCTGGTTTAGACTTGGGAGAGTGTATGTGTCGAGGAATTTATCCATTTCTTCTAGATTTTCTAGTTTATTTGCATAGAGGTGTTTATAGTATTCTCTGATGGTAGTTTGTTTTTCTGTGGGATCGGTGGTGATATCCCCTTTATCATTTTTTTATTGTGTCTATTTGATTCTTCTCCCTTTTCTTCTTCATTAGTCTTGCTAGCGGTCTATCAATTTTGTTGATCTTTTCACAAAACCAGCTCCTGGATTCATAGATTTTTTGAAGGGTTTTTTGTGTTTCTATTTCTTTCAG
Organism: Homo sapiens; assembly: GCF_000001405.40. Lineage (NCBI taxonomy): Eukaryota > Metazoa > Chordata > Mammalia > Primates > Hominidae > Homo > Homo sapiens. The sequence goes on from NC_000024.10 coordinate 13,779,858, forward strand.
TTCTGCTGTGATCTTAGTTATTACTTGCCTTCTGCTAGTTTTTGAATCTGTTTGCTGTTGCATCTCTAGTTATTTGAATTGTTAGCGTGTCAATTTTAGATCTTTCCTGCTTTCTCTTGTGGACATTTAGTGCTGTAAATTTCCCTCTACACACTGCTTTGAATGTGTCCCAGAGATTCTGGTATGTTGTATCTTTGTTCTCATTGGTTTCAAAGAACATCTTTGTTTCTGCCTTCATTTCGTTATGTACCCAGTAGTTACTCAGGAGCAGGTTGTTCAGTTTCCATGTAATTGAGCGGTTTTGAGTGAGTTTCTGGATCCTGAGTTCTAGTTTGATTTCACTGTGGTCTGAGAGACAGTTTGTTATAATTTCTGCTCTTTTACATTTGCAGAGGAGTGCTTTACTTCCAACTATGTGGTCAATTTTGGAACCAGTGTGGTGTGTTGCTGAGAAGAATATATATTCTGTTGATTTGGGGTGTCTATTACATCTGCTTGGTGCAGAGCTGAGTTCAATTCCTGGATATCCTTGTTAACTTTCTGTCTCGTTGATCTGTCTAATGTTGAGAGTGAGGTATTAGTCTCCCATTATTATTGTGTGGGAGTCTAAGTCTCTTTGTAGATCTCTAAGGACTTGCTTTATGCATCTGGGTGGTCCTGTATTGGGTTCATATATATTTAGGATAGTTAGCTCTTCTTGTTTAATTGATCCCTTTACCATTATGTAATGGCCTTGTTTGTCTCTTTTGATCTTTGTTGGTTTAAAGTCTGTTTTGTCAGAGACCAGGATTGCAACTCCCACCTTTTTTTGTTTTGCATTTGCTTGGTAGATCTTCCTCCATCCCTTTATTTTGAGCCTATGTGTGTCTCTGTGTGTGAGATGGGTTTCCTGAATACAGCACACTGATGGGTGTTGACTCTTTATCCAATTTGGTAGTCTGTGTCTTTTAATTGGAGCATTTGGCCCATTTCCATTTAAAGTTAATATTGTTATGTGTGAATTTGATCCTGTCATTATGATGTTAGCTGGTTATTTTGCTCGTTAGTTGATGCAGTTTCTTCCTAGCCTCGATGGTCTTTACAATTTGGCATGTTTTTGCAGTGACTGGTTCCAGTTTTTCCGTTCTGTGTTTAGTGCTTCCTTCAGGAGCTCTTTTTGGGCAGGCCTGGTGGTGACAAAATCTCTTACATTTGCTTGTCTGTAAAGTATTTTATTTCTCTTTCACTTATGAAGCTTAGTTTGACTGGATATGAAATTCTGGGTTGATAATTCTTTTCTTTAAGAATGTTGAATATTGGCCCCCACTCTCTTCTGGCTTGTAGAGTTTCTGCCAAGAGATCTGCTGTTAGTCTGATGGGCTTCCCTTTGAGGGTAACCCGACCTTTCTCTCTGGCTGCCCTTAACATTTTTTCCTTCATTTCAACTTTGGTGAATCTGACAATTATGTGTCTTGGAGGTGCTTTTCTTGAGGAGTATCTTTGTGGTGTTCCCTGTATTTCCTGAATATGAATATTGGCCCATCTTGCTAGATTGGGGAAGTTCTCCTGGATAATATCCTGCATAGTGTTTTCCAACTTGGTTCCATTCTCCCCATCACTTTCAGGTACACCAATCAGACGTAGATTTGGTCTTTTCACATAGTCCGATATTTCTTGGAGGCTTTGTTTCTTTTTATTCTTTTTTCTCTAAAATTCTCTTCTCCCTTCATTTCATTCATTTGATCTTCCATCACTGATACCCTTTCTTCCAGTTGATCAAATCGGCTACTGAGGCTTGTGCTTTCATCATGTAGTTCTCGTTACTTGGTTTTCAGCTCCATCATGTCCTTTAAGGACTTCTCTGCATTGGTTATTCTAGTTAGCCATTCATCTAATTTTTTTTCAAGGTTTTTAACTTATTTGCCACGGGTTTGAACTTCCTCCTTTAGCTCAGAGTAGTTTGATCATCTGAAGCCTTCTTCTCTTAACTCGTCAAAGTCATTCTCTGTCCAGCTTTGTTCTGTTGCTGGTGAGGAGCTGCGTTTCTTTGGAGGAGAGGTGCTCTGATTTTTAGAGTTTCCAGTTTTTCTGCTGTGTTTTTTCCCCATCTTTGTGGTTTTATCTACCTTTGGTCTTTGATGATTGTGATGTACAGATGGGGTTTTAGTTTGGATGTCCTTTCTGTTTGATAGTTTTCCTTCTAACAGTCAGGACCCGCAGCTGCAGGTCTGTTGTAGTTTGCCGGAGGTCCACTCCAGACCCTGTTTGCCTGCGTATCAGCAGTGGAGGCTGCAGAAGAGCAGATATTGATGCATGGCAAATGTTGCTTCCTGATCATTCCTCTGGAAGTTTTGTTTCAGAGGAGTACCCGGCTGTATGAGGTGTCAGTTTGCCTCTACTTGGGCGTGTCTTCCCGTTACATTACTCGGGGGTCAGGGACTCACTTGAGGAGGCAGTCTGTCTGTTCTCAGATCTCCAGCTGCATGCTGGGAGAACCACTACTCTCTTCAAAGCTGTCATACAGGGACATTTAAGTCTGCAGAGTATTCTGCTGCCTTTTGTGTGGCAATGCCCTGCCTCCAGAGGTGCAGTCTACAGAGACAGGCAGGCCTCCTTGAGCTGCAGTGGGCTCCACCCAGTTTGAACTTCCTTGCTGCTTTGTTTACCTACTCAAGCCTGGGCAATGGCGGGCGCCCCTCCCCCAGCCTCGCTGCCACCTTGCAGTTTGATCTCAGACTGCTGTGCTAGCAATGAGTGAGGCTTCATGGGCATAGGACCCTCTGAGCCAGGCGTGGGATATAATCTCCTGGTGTGCTGTTTGCAAAGACTACTGGAAACGTGCAGTATTAGGGTGGGAGTGACCCGATTTTCCAGGTGCCATCTGTCACACCTTTCTTTGACTAGGAAAGGGAATTCCTTGACCCCTTGCACTTCCTGGGTGAGGCAATGCCTCACCCTGCTTTGCCTCGCACTCAGTGCGCTGCACCCACTGTCCTGCATGCAGTTTCTGACACTCCCCAGTGAGATGAACCCGGTACCTCAGATGGAAATGCAGAAATCACCCGTCTTCTGCATTGCTCATGCTGGGAGCTGTAGACTGGAGTTGTGCCTATTCAGCCATCTTGGCTCCACCACCTTTGATGATGATTTTCATTCTTCACAAGAACTTTGAAACGGAGTTGACATTTTTTTTAAAGACATTTCTGTTGTATCTTTCAACTCTCTGGCAGTCAGCTTAGCACTAAAGTTCTTTTTAAAACTACAGGTGAAAAATAACTGCTGGTTACATTGAAACAATATATTCTTCTTGGATGAATATCTTTGAAAAATACAATTATTTTATTTTCAGGAAAAGTACATCAATCTGGACTGAAGTTATAATGCACCTTAAGGGTTCTAGGACCTGCCCTTCCCACCCCGCAGATACCAAAATCTGAAGATTCTCAAGTTGTTGATATAAAATGGTGTGGCATTTTCACATAACCTGCAAATACCCTCTTATATATTTTAAATTATTTATACATTACTTACATCTAATACAATGCAAATGCTATGTAAACAGCTATTACACTATTATTTAGGGAATGATGATAAGAAAAGTCTGGCATTTGCTGTTCTATGAATTTTCTTTTGGTGGCTTTATGCACTGTATAAAAATATAATTAGTATTATTATTTCTTAAATAATGTGTATTTGATCCAAAATACAAGCTTTTTTCAGTTTTTGATGTTATCATGCCAATCTTCTGGATATTTACTTCATGGGAAACAAAATAAGCTTCCTAAAATGTCCACCCAGAGAACCTGAAACATTTCACCAGCTCAATCTATTTATGTCATTCTTTCCAGCTCTTCAGGACCTAAACACTAACGTGTAAATTCCTTTTATGTCTCTCTATTGCTTTCACTTATGTCTTTGATCAGTGCCATTTGTGAAAACAATTTGCTCTGTGACAGGCACACTGCCACTTGCCAGAGAACCAATGGCAAGCACATGTTAGGGTAGGCACTGCTTCCAAAGCTTTTGCAGGCTGGGCGACAGTTGATCATTACTATTAAAACAACACACACAATTTGCACTTGTCCACTGTGTGACAGAGTGCCTGGGAGATGTGCAAGATGCTATAAGAGCAAGCAACAGAGGTATCTGTGGTAGTCAGGGTGATGGGATCTGGGAAGGCTTCTTGGACAAAGTGGCATTTTCTTTGAAGAAAGGACTCTACAGGAAGGCTGGTTGTCTAGAGACAAGTGTATTTCTATATGGTCAAAATTTTTTTTCCTATAGAATTCCATTAAATGAGAAATATTTATACAACACAGAGAGACATTTTTTTCTTTTCTTTTCTGAGACAAAATTTCGCTGTTGTCGCCCCAGCCGGAGTGCAGTAGTGTGATGTTGGCTCACTGAAACCTCCACTTCCCAGGTTCAAGCGATTCTCCTGCCTCACCCTTCCAAAGTACTGGGATGACAGCATGAGTCACCATGCCCAGCCAAGACATTTTTCCTCGGTTAATGAAAAGACTTTTTACTGAGGATATTCCGTAACATTTGAAAGAAATCTTATGTACAACAGATATATGAAGAAAGACTTCCCCGTGAACCTTTTAAATAGACTTTTTATTTTTTAGAGCAATTTTAGGTTCACAGCAATTGAGCAGAAAGTACAGAGAATATCCACATACTCTGCACCCACCATGCACAGCTTCTCCCATTACCAACATCCCCCACCAGAGTGGGATATTTGTGACAATGGATGAACCTACATTGACACATCATCATCATCAGGGTCTGTAGTTTACATACACTTCACTCTTGGTGTTGTATGGTCTATGGGTTTGGACAAATATATAATGACTTGTATCCATAGTTCCATATATCCCTAGTTCCATGTATTGCTTTAAAATAACTTAAACCAAGCGTGGACACAAAATTGTCCATTCAGGGTCACAGGCAATTACTTGTAGTGTCAAAGCATTGATTGGTATCTGAAGAAGGACTTCCCCTGGGGCAGAGTGTTGAAATGTATTGGATTCTTACATTTTTTGATTGCTTTTCTGCTCAAAGAGCACCACATGTAAGTAATGTAGGTGTATTGTGGTGGAATAATGTCATGCACACCTGGACTAAACAAAGTGGCCAGCATTTATTGGGGGCTTACTGGCATCCCTGATGCTAGTGAGCAGGGTTCTTAGAAGTTCTTAGTGGAGATAAATAGTATAACACCTGATGATTGATACAGGTAAAAGCACAGAATGGCTTCAAAACCTTGGCATGGAGGCAATTATTTTAAGAAAAACAGGAAACTCAAAATCCAAAAAGGAACTAGGGATGCATTTTGAGGGAAAATATATAAGTGCATGCATAGCTATGTGCGTCTGTGTGTGTGTGCATATAAAATCTCCTTGTGGAAAAACATCATGAATAAATGCAAAAGATGAATGAAGTGCTGGAGAATTTTTGCAATAGACAAATGATCATTTAACTTAAGTGGTACTAATACTTGCTAAAGTTGATTTTAACATATTGAACAATCCACAATAGATATGGTAAAAGAGACAGACTATAGATGGTAAAGGAAAACAAATGCCCAGTCAGATAAAATTAAAGCAAAATGCTAATATGATTGCCCACTCATCATGTTGGCAAATGTTGAAACATTGCTATCACCCAAGGAAAAAACAGGATGGAAAGGCCTTCCCTTTTTTATTGCAAATTTTAATTGTATTTTAGTATTTGCTTAAATACTGTATGTTAGTATTTTCTTTTCTTTTCTTTTGAGACAGAGTTTTGCTTTTGTTGCCCAGGCTGGAGTACAATGGCCTGATCTCAGCTCACTGCAACCTGCGCCTCCTGGGTTCAAGCAATTCTGCTGCCTCAGCCTCCCTAGTAGCTGGGAATACAGTAATGTACTACCATGCCTGGCTAATTTTGTATTTTTAGTAGAGATGGTGTTTCTCCATGTTGGTCAGGCTGGTCTTAAACTCCCAACCTCAGGTGGTCCGCCCACCTTGGCCTCCGAAAGTGCTGCGATTACAGGCATGAGCCACCACACCCGGCCAGTATTTTCAATACTAAATACTTTCAGTATTTTATTTATTTTAGTATTAGTCTCACTAATAAGACTGAATCAGTTACTCTAGGGTATTATCCATTGTGAGTTGGGAGACATTAAGTCAAGGATTACTCCACAATGGCTAAAGACAATGCTAATGGCAAATGATAACATAATCAGATGGTTTCTGCTAGCTTTGCCCACTATTCCAGCCTAGCATAACCTGAATTAAAAGATCTCAGCCAGAGAAAAAACATGAACAAAATCTTAGTTATGTGGAATGCAGAAATTCTAATGTTCAAGATAAAGAATCATAGTCCAAAAATTTGTTACGTCACTTCAGTAATAACTAAGGATTTAAAAAATCGTGTGCTAAACATTTTGATAAGTACTTTACATGGATTATCTTTTTAATCATTCCAAGCAGCCTATGACATGCTGTCTTCACTAATTTTAAAAAATCATTCTAATCATAATAATCATTTATGCTTGCTTGCCATTGCCCCAAATATTTCTTTGTAATGACGGAGTTTTTCATTTTTTTGATTAGTAGAATATTTTACTTGAATGAAAATATCTTGGTCAAGGCAATGCACTGATATTAATTCCCAATTTAAAATATTGGTTTCCTTCTGATTTTGATGGGTGTGTATAGGTCAATAGTATGTGGAGCACTGAATTCCAGGAAAGAAGAAAAATCCGTGTGGGGCAGGGCAGGGGGGTTTACATTTTGAAGGGGAGGTTGGGCAGCTGAAGACAATCTCTGCTGCATCCTTTGTGCTTTTGTTGTTGAAATTTGGCCATTCAACCTACACAGTAGAAGGGAACGAAAGAAAGCTAATCAAGGTGTTTATTAGTCTGTTCTCACACTACTGATAAAGACATACCTGAAACTGGGTAATTTATAAAGAAAAAGAGGTTTCATGGACTCACAGTTCCGCATGGCTAAGGAGGCCTCACAATCATGGTGGAAGGTGAAAGAGGAGCAAAGGCATGTCTTACATGGTGGCAGGCAAGAGAGTGTGTGTGGGGGGGAAACTGCCCTTTATAAAACTATCAGATCTCATGAGATTTATTCAGTATCACAAGAATAGCATGGGAAAAACCCACCCCCAGGATTCAGTTATCTCCCACAGGGTCCTTCCCACATCACATGGCAATTGTGGGAACTACAGTTCAAGATGAGATTTGGGTGGGGACACAGCCAAACCATAACAAGGTGTGTCCTGCACAGGGCTTCTCAGGACTCTAATTCTCTAATTTTGTTTTAATTAACTCTTTAATATTTGCGAAATTAAAAAAAAAAATATTTCCAGAGATAACATCTTCTGTAATGAAAATCCTGCAATCTACTTTCTGTCCTTTTACCTGATCTCCCCTCCTATTCATTACTCCATCCCATCCATCTGAACTGCTGCTTCCTCAACATACATTATTTAGGACTGTTGGACCAATCTTCGTCTCTCCTTTCAAGGTTATAAATCTGGAAATTCCTTCAAAATTGAGTGTGCATCTTGCTCCTTTCTTCACCTGTGGCTTTACCTGTTGGGTTATTTACCACTGAGGTTAATCACTGGCTTTGTCACTCTGCATATTTTACTTGATTTCCCTAACTACAGGTTTCTTAATTGTAAAATGAATAAATGAAACCTATGTCATTTTGTGGGATGATTACATAGGGTGAGTATGTAAAATATCAAGGCACATATCTGCCACATAGATTTGGTCACTATAATAATAATAATAATTATAGTCAAGGTATATTGCTGCATTAGTGATATTTTTGTCAACCTATTGACAACGGTTGCCATGCCTACTTTTGGAACCCCAGGCAACAGTTGCCATGTCTACTTTGGGAACTTCAGTCACCCTTCCATGCCCTCAGAAATGTGCCTTCTGTATGAAGACCAAATGCTGCACTCCCTTGCTAATGTGATACAGACAGGTAAAGAGGAAAAATAGAGTCTTGTCCCCAGGAAACAGCCTAGTTGATCAATGAAGACACAGACAAAAATAAAGTATATCATTCAGCAGGAAAGGGTGTGATAAGACCCCAAAGAGGAAGACAGTAAGTGCAGAGATAGCTGAGGGTCCCCTGATCTCATCCAGAGATAAGATCCTGCTCTTCTGCCTAGGAAGAGAAACATCTGGAAGGGAAGGAGGTCTCATTTGTGCCCATGTCAAGGATTCTAGACCAAGGAGCAGGACCCCGCTGACCTGACTCAAGAAGACTCAAAGCCTTCAAACCAAGATGGTGCTGAAAAAGACCTTCAGGAACTGGCTTTGACCTAGTTCCAAGGTCTGAGGCTGTCCACTTCAGCCCTGAGTCTCTTTAGAATGTGCCTCATTGCTTCCCATTACTGGATGGAGAGGAGCTTGGAACCCTCAAGTTGAGTCCAGGATGTGCTCAGACAGGTGTGGTCCTTGGAAGTCCCGGCAGGAGCTAACACTGCACAGGGGAAGCAGGGGAAGTTTTAACTATGAAACCCCTCTAGCATATAGCCCTAATATTTGTTTCTTCTCAGCCTTAACTCCCAATAATTCCTTCACATACCTAGGGTTTTAGCCAATCATATGAACCTACACACTGGGCAGCAAGCTGAGAGTGGCCATCATGTAGGAAATTCTGCAGAGCTGCTCTGCCCCAGCCCCCAGCATCCACATGCTGTGCTGCTCAATGCCTAGCCCTTTCTTTTTGCAGTTGTCACCCTGTTTATGACCATGCCCCTCTGTGAACTTTTAGCTTGTTACCAAGCCAATGGCTCCCTTTATAAAACCTCAATTTTATAAAAGGGAATATTATGCCCTATTAAATATGTTCTCTTAACACTTCATTTTCCAGTGATTAAAACGTGCCTACCATTTGTCCAGCGCTAGCCTCTGCCCAATTGAATTACTTCTCTCATGTAATCCCTGCCAAAAATTGTAGTGAAATCCACCCCAGGCTGTTTGTAATGCGTCTCCAGCTTCAGTCCTTGCTTGTTTCGATGAGGGGCATGGACGTGGGGGAAAAGATGAGGGCCCAGGTGTGGACGTACACAACTCAGTAGGTGGTGTGTAGGTTCTTAGGAGACTGGCTAAAATCCTGAGAATGTGTAGGAATTATTGGGAGTTAAGGCTGAGAAGGAGTAAAAAGTAGGGCTATATGGTCGAGGGGTTTCATACTTAAAGCATTCATATGGGGCTGAGATCTTTTAAGCCAGTAATCTTCACATTGAAGAAGAAGATTGCCAATTCTATAGAGTTGAGATTTATTTAGTGGTTTGGGGGATCCTATAATTAAACCATTATTGGGAAGGGACATATTCAGATATATTATTGGCAGTGGATGGGCACAATGTGGTATATTCATATAGCTGAATCTGACGGTCAAAAAAGATGAAGTACTAATATATACTGCAATGTACATGAAGCAAGATTGCTGTAGCATTTAGCATCAAGAAGGCAACACATATTGTATAATTTCGTTTATATAAAATGCCCAGAAGAGGCAAATAGATAAAGACAGAAAGTAGATTAGTGTTTGCCAGGGTAAGGCAAATAGTGGGAAGACAGAATGGGAGTGACTACAAATAGGTCCAGGTTTCTTTTTGGGCTGATGAAAATGTTCTACAATTAGATAGTGGTGATGGTTGCATAGCTTTCTGAATATACTCAAATTGTACAGTTTAAATGAGTGCATTTTGTGAATTGTATCTCAATAAACTTGTTATTAAAGTATTTTCTAAAAGATTTTTTTGATTCAATTTTCTTTTCTCATAACTGCAAACACATGTCATCTTGCTGTATCGATACTGGTATCCTTCATATTAAAATTTTAGACGTTCAAACATAGGAAATGGGTGATTTTATCTCATTTCCACCTTGAACTTCAGAGAACTAGAGGTCATGACATCTTAGCTGTTGGGTGATGTTTTCTGCTAGCTTTACCACGTATTCCAGCCTAGCATAACCTGACTTAAGAGATCCCAACCAGAGAAAAATACATGACCAAAATCTTAGTTATGTGGAATGCAGAAATCCTAATGTTCAAGATAATGAATTACAGTCCAAAAATTTGTTACATACTGAGTGTATCTATTGTTTCATTTAGTTATCCCAGTGACCTGATGTATGAGATATTGCTGATATGCTTGCTTTATATGTGAATAAACTGAAGCTTGGGGATGTGAAGTCCGTTGTCTGTGATCATATGTTTGGTGAAAGAGTAAGAGAAGGCTTTCCACATGAGATTTGATGTGGTTTGGATTTGTGTCCCTGCCCAAATCTCATGTCAAATTGGAAGGATGGGAGGTAATTGGATCATGGGGGCAGATTTCCTCCTTGCTGTTCTCATGATAGTGAGTGAGTTCTCATGAGATCTGATGGCTTAAAAGTGCATAGTACTTCCCTTTCCACTCTCTCTCTCTTACTCTGCCATGGTAAGATGTGCTTGCATCTCCTCTGCTTTCTGCATGATTGTAAATTTCCTGAGTCTCTCTGGCCACACTTCCTGTTAAGCATGCAGAACTGTGAGTTAATGATATCTCTTTTCTTCATAAAATACCCAGTTTTAGGTAGTTCTTTATAGCAGTGTAAGAACAGACTAATACAGGATTTTTCTCCCGATCCCAAACTCTTATTTCTGTAAATTGGTTGACAGCAAAAGCATCCACAGTGCATAAGTTGTAAATTTCCCAAAGTGCTGATTGTTGGCAGACTGTCTAGTGTTCATTTTCCTGCTTCACTGCTCAAAACACCAAAGTTGCCTCAGACCCTTTTTCATTTCAGACAGCTTGGAATCTTTACTATTTTATGTGTCTTTGTTTACAGAATGAAATCAGTGACAAAATGAGACTTACATTACAAACACATTTTCTATCACTGAAAGTGAGGCACATCAGGTTTTGCAAGATTGGGCGTTTGTTAAAATGCAAATATTCAAAAATTATATGCATAAATTATAATTTTAAATTAGAAATCTGTGTATGTGTAGCTTTGTATTAGAAAAGTGTATAATGGGTCAACATTTTTTCTTTTTCTTTTTGCAGAACAGTGGTTCCCTGCTTTGGTGCCAGAATCACAAGTGATGTTCTAAGGTAGATTTCCTATACCTGTATGAATGGTGCAAAAACTTCTAATTTGGGAATAATTATAGTTTCACAGAAGTCACAAAGCACAAAGAAATCACGTGTATCCAGTTTCCACCAATGGTTGCACTTTAAGTAGTTGTAAACAATATCAAAAGCACAAAATTGACATGCATGCAATGTATGTATATAATTTTGTGACATTTTATCACATGTAAGATTTGATTTGGGTAGTTATCACTGCCATCAATTTACAGGTGTCAGTGGTTCTATATACTACCTTATTTTATGTTTTGTTTGTAATTTCCTGTTAAAAAGCATTAAGGAGAAAATGTTTTCTGGTTAGGCCAGAGAGGATTTCATGTATTCCATTTACACTTAGGTAATTTTGCATGCATTTTCATTTCTTTGTAGGAATTGCTGGTTTAATTTGCTGCGTTTTTTGTTTTTTGAGATGGAGTCTCCCTCTGTCACCCAGGCTGGAGTGCAGTGGCGTGATGTCAGCTCACTGAAACCTCCACCTCCAGGGTTCAAACGATTCTCCTGCCTCAGCCTCCCAAGTAGCTGGGACTACAGGCTCTCACCACCACACCTGGCTAATTTTTGTATTTTTAGCAGAGATGGGGTTTCACCAATTGGCCAGGCTGGTCTCGAACTCCTGACCTTGTGATCTGCCCACTGTGACCTCCCAAAGTGCTGAGATTATAGGCATGAGCCACCCCGCCCGGCCAATAATTTGCTTTTTAATAAAACAGACTCTTTTCCATTTTTGAGTATTCTTTTCTGCACACTAAAGAACATGATAAACTTTCTTATCTTACTTATTTATATGTTTGATATAATACATTTCTTACCTCAATCCCAATACACCACAATTTTTCCTTTTTTAATATTTATATGATAATGCTCCAGCTCCAGTCTGAAGTACATTTTATAATAAGATTGTATTAATGAGTAAAGTTTACAAAGTTTGCTAAAAATTTTGCAGCAACTTTGGGATCATAATAATGTTTGATAAAATTTATTTCATGGGGCTGGGCATGGTGGCTCATGCCTGTAATCCCAGCACTTTTGGAGGCTGAGGTGGGTGGATCACAAGGTTAGGAGATCGAGAACATCCTGGCTAACACAGAGAAAATTTACCTCTAATAAAAATACAAAAAATTAGCTAGGTGTGGCGGTAGGTGCCTGTGTCTCAGCTACTTGGGAGGCTGAGGCAGAAGAATGGCATGAACCTGGGAGGAGGAGGTTGCAGTGAGCCGAGATGGTGCCACTGCACTCCAGTCTGGGTGACAGAGCAGGACTCCATCTCAAAAAAAAAAAAAAAAAAAACACACACACACACACAAGAAAAACAAAAATTATATCATGGGTATTACTTTTAGTCCTAAAATAGAAATATACCTTTATTTTATAAACAAAATTTAATCTAAGGAATATATAATATTGAAATAGCATATTTATAAAAAGGATTGTTTTGTTAAAGGTCTTTCAAATACATAAATTATTATAGAATCATATTCCTAAACTAAAAACTTTGTTTCTAATGATGCATTTCCATAATCATGCACATATTTTGTCATTTAATACACATGAATTTTACTTTAAAATAGAGCAGAATTCTTATGGGAATGTGAAATAATTTGGTGAAGGTAAGCTTTGCTTATTTCTGACTGTCTAGATCGTGGGCAGAAATGAAATGCTTGGTTACAATCCACTTATTCTGTTTATGTAATGTCTTAAGCATTTGCTCTGTACAAACATTTTTGGGTATTAATTATATTAAGTGGTTGTCAGCTGGAACTTTGGATAACTTTTTTTATGCCATCATTGCAGATAAAGCACATAATGTCATGAGGCTGATTAAATTTCATAAGTATTCTTATTGTCCAATTTTTAAAAATTGTGTATTATAGGAAAGAGAATTTGTTACGTTGGTATTACTTCTTATTTAAGCACTCATATTTTCCATATCCCATCAAGAAATTATCTTTTACAAACTTAGAAGGAATTTGAATTGAACAGTTTTATTTGAACTACTTTAAAATTATTGCAGTGAAAGAAATTTGTACATTAGGGACTATAGATGGTTAAACCATAGTTTGCAAATGATTAATCAAGGCTGCCATGAGAGACTGAATTCCACAAGAAAAGAAAGCAATCCTTTTTGTCAGAAAGGAAGAATCAATCAATAAGTCACAATTAATCCCAACTGAAAACTCTGGAATATATTACAAAGCTCACAGAAATTTAAGGTTTGTCTTTAACTTGGGATCCCTGGGAATCTTTGGGAATGAATCTTGCTTATTAATCAAAGTTTGTCTCCTTTGGATGTTATCATGACTGGATACCTGTGCAGATAATTAGTTTGCATTTCTTTTGGGATTCATGAAGTACTAGGTGGGATTTTTCTCTTAATGCGTTATGTTAACAAGGTTACTGGTAATCTGTAGTCACTCCGTTTTACAGACAGGGAAAATCAGGCACACATATATTTGATGATGATTCTATAATCACTCAGCAAGCCAGTGTAGGCATAACAGATCCCTGTGTCTACACTGTTACATACGGGCCAACAATTCTAGAAACTAGTTTTTATGAATATAGGGAGAGAAAAGTCAGAAAACCCAGAAGCAGTGTTGACGATACAATTTTCTGATTATCTGTTTGGAAGATTAGGTTTGCATAATGTTTTCTAGAAACCACACACTGTTTAATCACTTCTGGTGACCATCTGCAAAGCCTGTCAGCTTCCCCTTCAGACCCCCTGTGGAACAGATCTCATCTAACCACTCTTCCTGTCTCCAGCCTGCCATTCTCTCCGGCTGTGATGAATCCAAGAGCATCCTGTTGGGTCTCTCAGCCTCCACTCTTACCCCAAAAAATCACATTTCCTCATGGCTGCTGGAAAGACTCTTAAAAATACAAGTGGCATCGGCCAGGCGCGGTGGCTCACGCCTGTAATCCCAGCACTTTGGGAGGCCGAGGAGGGCGGATCACGAGGTCAGGAGATGGAGACCACGGTGAAACCCTGTCTCTACTAAAAAATAAATAAAATTAGCCGGGCGTGGTGGCGGGCGCCTGTAGTCCCAGCTACTCCGGAGGCTGAGGCAGGAGAATGGCGTGAACCCGGGAGGCGGAGCTTGCAGTGAGCCGAGATCGCGCCACTGCACTCCAGCCTGGCAACAGAGCGAGACTCTGTCTCAAAAAATAAAATAAAATAAATAAATAAATAAATATATGTATGTGTGTATATATATGTATATATGTATGTATGTATATAAGTGGCATCACACTGCTGTCTACCTTAAACCTAATGATGTATTTCCTTCTCACTCAGATGAATCCAAAGTTTTATGCTTATACTCACTGGTTCTCTATTGTGTGCCTGTGCTCTGCCCCCAACTTTGTTGTTGTTTGTTTGTTTTTTGAGATGGAGTCGTGTTCTGTTACCCAGGCTGGAGTGCAGTGACATGATCTCACCTCACTGCAATCTCTGTCTCCTGAGTTCAAGCGATTCTCACACCTCAGCCTCCTGAGTAGCTGGGATTAAAGGCACCTGCCGTAACGCCCAGCCAATTTTTGTATTTTTTAGTAGAAATGGGGTTTCACTGTGTTGGCCACGCTGGTTTTGAATTCCTGACCTTAAATGATCTACCCACCTCAGCCTCCCAAAGTGCTGGGGTTACAGTGTGTGCCACCATGCCTGGCCTCTGTCCCCAACTTAATCACCTTCTACTCTACCACTTCATGACTGCTTTCCCCTCCACTCAGAATGTTCCTTCCCTTGCCTCACGAACTGTCTTCATTCAGGTCTTGGCAAAAAAGCCAATTTCTTAGCCATGACTTCCCAGGTCACCCTCCAACATACTTAGAAGCTTTATTGTCCATATTGTGCCCATATGTGATGTTATGGAGTTACTGCTTTATCTGCTTAAAATCTTCCTCGTTCACCAGAAAAAAGCTTCATGGGGACATGAGGACATACATGCTGTCCTCATTGTTCAATGTGGTGTCCCCAAAGCATAAACTGGTATTTGGCACATAGTAGCTGCTCAGCAAACATTTTTGATGAATGAGTGAATGAAACAAACACTTATATTGCATAATCCTACCCAATGTCTTTACCGCATTACCTTCAGGAAAAAAAGCACCATGTCATCCATTCTCAATGTGCATGACTTACTATGTTATTTAGGGAAAGTTTGCTGTTATTTTTCCTGTGTGAAAGTTGATCATATAAATTGAGTCATTTTTGTCATACTCAACTAAGTCAAGGGGCCAGGGGGAGAAAACACAGGGCATGTAATATTTCAAGAAGATAATTCTCTGCAAGCCTGGCTACTCAAGCTGCCTGCCATAACCTGAAACTGGTTTTATCTATAGCTACTGAAACAAGCTGTTGCAACTTTAAGACCAATTTTTCCTACTGTTGTTACTCATCAATCAGAACTTACCAGCTCCCTAAAATTTTATTCCTGCTGGTGAACTTTCTTTCAAAACAACACATAACATCTCTCCTTTTGGTATAACCTCTTTGTTCTTTGGACATACTGAAGAATACCTGGTCTATCTGTATGCCTCGAATGGAAATTCTTGCTTCCTAAATAAAATGTTTTAACTGTAGAGATTTGTATCTGTGCTTCATCAGACTTCAAGAGTATGCTGGGCTTGACATAATGGAATCAGCACTGTGAGCTCAAGGGTCTTTAGCTCCTGCACCACTCAACCCTAGAGAATGAGGAAGAGTACCTTATTGCCCAGCACTGGTCTAGGCCAGTGGTTCTCAACTGAGGGCGATTTGCTCCCCAAGGAACAATTGGCAATGGGTGGAACTATTTTTGGTTGTCAAAGTTGGGAATGAGGAGTTATTAACATCCAGTGGGTTAAAACCAGGGATGCTAATATAGAACCTATACTGCATGGAAAGGCCCTCCCACAGCAAAGATTATCTGGCTCCAAATATCGGTAATGCTGAGATTGACAAACCCTGGCCTACACATTTGGGGAGTTATGAAAGAAATTAAGAGCATGGTCCTCAGCAGTTTTAATTTATTATATAAAGAAAATAAATGTGTAGTTTACTGAGCACAAGGTATGTGCCAAGTACCATTTTAGGGGCTCATTATGTCTAGGAATACTGATTGTCATCAAGTACTCTCTAATACTGGTGAGAGAGGTTGCTGTTTGCCTCCTAATCCAGTTTCTCCTCCTCTCTGCTAAAGGAAACCTCATTCCTCACCTGAGCTCATTTTCACCTTGGGTTAAACATCTATATTTCCCCAAGCTCCTTTGCTTCTAAATTTGGCCACTAACTAATTTATTGCCCACATGGAATCATTGTGAAGAACTTTCAAAATGTCTTTTTAAAAAGGTAACTGATTTAGCTAGAAAGTGTACTGGTTTGTTCTTTCCCCCTTGCTCTTTGCTGCTTGTTAGAGGGCATACCAATGGCAAGGGCCCCAGCAGCTTTCTTGGGCCATGAAGTACTTTTGAGGATGGAGTCCAGGCTGAGAATACTGACAAGAAAGATAGGAGGAACCTGGGTCTTTGAAGCTATTGAGTCCCCATAGCATCCTTGCACATGAAAAGGAAATAACTTTCTATTTTGCTTAAGTTACTGTTATTTTACATTTCGTTTTCCCTATGAAGATGGAATTGTGTGTGGGCAAACTTAATCTTAGCTTAATCTTGGAATGGCCATCTTCATGTCACAGATGCTCAGGAAAGGTAGGTGACTTTCTTACAAAGTCACTTATCTAGTAAGTACCAGTAAATCCCCCACACAGGATTTAAACTGTGTTCTGATGGAATTAAAAGCCAGTGATTTTCTCATTGGGTACCTCACACATATGAAGTCTTATAGAATAACTTTTTAAAACTGATTAAAAATCTCTTGCTCAGTTTGTGGTTGCTTCTCTTGATGTGCTAAGTTTTTTCCTGAGTCACCCGTATAGCTACTGTGAATAGTGTAATGTCCTGGCAAAACAGTGGCCTAATTGTACTGAATGAGCTGTATTTTCTCTTTCTTGCTTTTATACCCCCATTGTCCAGTGGGAAGTCAGAAAGATACAGCCTGAAGATGGCTTACTCTTCTAATTCAGCTTCATTTACGACCATAAGGCTGCAGTTTGCCCTTGGCCGTTGCAAAATAAACTGTTTGCAAAATTGACATCTAAACACAGTTTCAGTCTTGCATGGTTAAGGGCAAACCATTCATTCATTCATTCATTCATTCATTCATTCATTCGTTCATTTTTTTGAGATGGAGTCTCCTTCTGTTGCCCAGACTGGAGTGCAGTGCACTGCAACTTATATCTCTCGGGTTCAGGCAACTCTTGTGCTTCAGCCTCCCAAGTAGCTGGGACTATAGGCATGCACCACCATGCTCGGCCTCCCAAAGTGCTGGGATTACAGGTGTGAGCCGTCATGCCTGATCAAACCTTTTAAAATATATCAAATATATCCTAAAATGATGTCTTTACAATAACTTATGTTTAGTACTTCAATTTTAGTAGTAAGTAAATAACAGTATAATCTCTCTCTTTATTTTTATTTTTATTTTTTTTCGAGATGGAGTCTCGCTCTGTTGCCCAGTCTGGAGTTCAGTGGTGCACTCTTGGCTCACTGCAACCTCCGCCTCCAGGGTCCAAGTGATTCTCCTGCCTCAGCATCCCAAGTAGATGGGACTACAGGCACCCACCACCATTCCTGGCTAATTTTTGTATTTTTAGTACGGATGGGGTTTTGTCATGTTTGGCCAGACTGGTCTCAAACTCATGACCTCAGGTGATCCACCCGCCTTTGCCTCCCAAAATGCTGGGATTACGGGCGTGAGCCACTGCATCTGGCCAAGGTCATTTGTCTCTAATCAAGAAATAACTATATACCTTTGGCTTAAAAACAACAACAACAACATATATATATATATATATATATATATATATATATATTTAAAATTCTATCTAAATAATCTTTGCAATCAATTTTTAATCTTAGTTTCATTTTTTTAGTCCAAGCCACCCTAAGAACTTTTTGGAATGAAATGTTACTACAATACTGTAAAACATGCTGATAAAATGGGATATATTTCCATTGTAATGATATTTTTAAGTTGGTCCAATCTTAAGAATGTACATTACTTCAAGAACCTGTTTTATTTATTCTTTCTTTCGAATAACAAATAGCTCCATGCCAAATATAATGTGAATCAGATCCTATCTTTTTGTATAGGATGTATTATATCCCATATATTATAATGTGGTGGCTGTTCAGCGCTTTCATTTGTGTTTCTAGTTTAACATTTTCTTTAAATACATTTCATTTGCTTATTCCAATACAGTCTGATTAATTCTGTTTCAGTAGATGTTCATTGATCATCTACTATGTCCTAGTCCCTAGTGATAAAGTGATACTAAATGTGAACTTGGTCTTTGCATTAATTTTTGCTCACTGAGAAAATTCCAAGCTATTATTACTTCACCCCTTCTTAAAAATTCATGCAATATTCCTCTGAGTCCCCATTACTTGAAGACTTATATAACCACCTTCTACCCCTTACTTTGCCCGTTAGAGCATTCGTGTACCTTTAGAATCCATTTCTGCTTTTCTTTTTGCTAACCTCTCAATTCTAACTCTTTTCCAATGTTCTTAGTTTCCTGTGTATTCACCCATTAATGGTTAATGTGTGAATAACTTAGTTTCTGTCAGGCTCTGTTTATGGTCTCCTGGCTTGATTCTCATGTTCATTACTTATTTGTTACTCTGGGATGGAAATATTTGATAAAGAATGAGAAAACTATTTGAATGGGCCACAGACACGTGGATCCTAGGACTGACTCTGTTAAGTGTTAGACAGTTTCTCTCAGTAAGGGAACATGGGTGATACAGACCACTGAGATCATTGTTTGCATAAATGATGGAGAGAAGAATTCTAAAGCTAGAGGGAATATTTTGGAATATTCCAGTACAATTCTTTCATTGCGCAGTTCAGGAATCTGAGGCCTAGAGCAATGATATATCCAGCCAAAAACAGCCTCCAGCTCGGAGGAAATGGTTTGTCTTAGATTCTATTTTTCGTTGTACGTAATTTCTCTAAAGGCTCACTTAGGAATGATTTGGAACATTTGACAGGAGATTTGAATTGATGGGCAGAAAGCCCTTGTATTTAGTTATAGTACAGAGTCAAAATATTTAAATGTCAAAATATTTTAATGAGCTGTGTTAACATCTATGTTTCCTAGTAGCTTTTCCTGGTAGAGAGGACAAATATTCTTCTCTCTACCCATCCAATGTTGATGACTTAAATACTTATAACAAAAGATAGATTACAATGAGAAAAACATACAAATTTATTTAGTAAGTTTTACATGATATGGAAGTAAATGATTAATTCCATATATTTTTATGGTAGCTTTGATAAAGAGTGGATGCTGATGGAGAAATATGATAGAACAAAAAGGGTGTGATGTAGTGGAGATAAACTGGGGAATTTAGCAAGGCCTGTTTGTTCAGGTTCCTCTCTGTGACCCTTCACCTTCAGAGATGAGCATGTTCCTTTCTTCCAGGAGTCAGGAGGCCCTCACCTGAGTGTCTTCTGACCTGTTTCTTGGTAATGTTGGAAAAGCTTTCCTAAGCTATATGCCCTGCATCGGGGAGAAGCATATATGTGGGTGAGGAGGGGAGGTCAGAGAGACTTTCCTACTTCTGTTTTTTTAATATACCAAGGTGCCATATTTTGAGTAGTGTCTTCTGAATCCCATCATCCTTTTCAATGTAACTTTTCATTAAACTCAGTGTTCTAGGATAGGGGTTAGCAAATGACTTCTATAAAAACACCAGATAGTAACCATCTTTGTCTTGGCAGCCAATATGGTCCCTGTTGCAACCACTCAACTCTGCTGTTGTGGCACAAAAGCAGTAGTACAGAATATATAGACCAAGAAGAGTAACTGTGTTTCAATGAAACATTATTTGTAGATACTAAAATTTGAATATCCCATAATTTTCACACATTATAATATTTTACTTATTTTTTTCCAACCATTGAAAATAAAAATAACATAGCTCACTAGTTAAACAAAAACAGGTGACAACCTGGATTTGGTCTGTTGCTATAGTTTCTAAACCCCTGTTCTATGACATTACAGTCACACAGACAAAACAAAACTGAAACAAAATAATAAAAATGCATTTTTCTGACAATACAAAGACATATCTTTTTTTTTTTTTTTTTTTTTGAGACAGTGTTTTGCGCTTGTTGCCCAGGCTGGAGTGCAGTGGCGCAATCTCGGCTCTCTGCAACCTCCACCTTCCAATTTCAAGTGATTCTCCTGCCTCAACCTCCTGAGTAGCTGGGACTACCCATGCCCGCCACCACGCCTGGCTAATTTTTGTATTTTTAGTAGAGACAGGGTTTCACCATGTTGGCCAGGTTGCCTCAAACTCCTGATCTTGTGATCTGCCTGCCTCGGCCTTCCAAAGTGCTGGGATTACAGGCATGAGCCACCCCACCCAGCCAGACATATCTTAAAACATTCAAAGTCAAACAAAATGGACAGTTTCTGACATCGCTTATAGAACATTCTTTATCAACCTGCGGGGATTTGAAATAATGAATAGTAAAAAAAAAAACTTCAAATAAATCACAGTTAACTTTTGAAAATCCAGCGTTAAAATGAGATGATCAGAGTCAAGAACAATTGTGAAAGACTTGAAAATTGGCAAAAGTAAAGACTATTTTTTCTCTCTATTGCACTTTTCCAAGTTCTGTGCAGTGTTCACTGTCTTTGAACTATTTTCCCTCTCTGCAAATGGTAGAAAATTGATAATATAGATAACTCTTGTCCATGAAAATGCAAATAAATTGTGTCTAGTGGAATACACTTGATACTTCCTCCAGTAATACAACATTTTGTATATATTTGTAAATCCATTCCAGTACCAGCATTCCTTATTTACGCTATTCACCCATCAATCCATCAATCCATCCATCCAACTTAATCTATCATTTATCTATCTATCTACTGAATTTTTCCTTTGAATCAAATATAACATATGACTATTTCTTGAATTACATAAAATCTGTGGTACATTTTCATTTTATATTTGTGTGAGAGTCATGACCTTACTTTATAAAAGATTTCTCCTTTAACCTTCAGCTCAGAGTTATATTTCAAAACATTGACTCTAAGAATGGCATGTCCCGTAGTAACCACCACATATCTGTGGGAAGTCTGCATGCTTATCTTTCTGCCTTTGGGTGCCAGAAGTGACTGGCTTGATATGGGCGCTACAACTCCAAACTGTTAGAAATTTTCTAGCTTTATTCAGGACCAATTTGAGAGGTGAGGAAGACTGGTTTTGTTTGTATTAAAATCTGTACGGCTTTATTTGCCATCTGTGAAATTTATCAGGTGAGGACCCAACTTCTGAAATACATCTGAATGTGACTATTGAAATTTTTGTTTTGTATGAGATACTTTCTGTGATTTATGTGAATATGACAGTAAATCCATAGCACCCAAGGAAGACATTTCTCAGGAGCAAAATGAAAACTCAGACATACATGAAAATCCACTGTGCCCAAGTATCTAAGAACCAAAGGTGAATTTTTTTTATCTGATTGCAATTCTAATATGTAGTGGATCAAGATTTTAAATGTTTAGATACTTTAGACTTGTTGCAGTACTTACTGATGCTCATACAGTATTTCCTGACTTTATAGATGTTACATTTCAAGAATAATGTTGCTGTTCACCAAACATCTGTTGTCCAACTTATTGATCTCCTTCGGAGTAAACAATGATTTCACAGCCAGATCATGTTTGACAATGACTTCAGGAGAAGTGCAGGCTTGTGTAATTCAAAGAGAGAGATTTATGTAGAAAACGTCTCAAGTTGGGTATAATTAATTCCCCTTCATTTTGGATATTAATGTTATTATTTTGACAAGTACATGTCTTTACTTCCATGAGATCATGTCTTTATTTTTCATGAGAAAATAAATATGATGGGATAATTAACATTAGAAGAGATAAGAGAAATATTCTATTATTTCCTTAAATCAACATTTTGGACTTAACATTTGTGTAGAATGCATGCAAAAATAAATTGTTAGTGTGTGTGAGGTTTCAACTAGTGTTCTTTTGAAAAAGCCATCTGTATGAACAATATTATATTAGCATGATTAATATAAATCACTGGATGTAAATTTCTCCAACTGTCCTATAGCATGATGCCAAAAGTTGATTACAAGTAGACTTGGCCTTTTATGCTCAGTAAGACATGATGTCTCTCTTTCTCTCTGTCTCTATCTCTTATTTTTTATTTATTTATTTTTTGAGACAGGGTCTCACTCTGTTGCCCAAGTTGCAGTACAGTGGTACCATCATGGCTCAGTGCAGACTTCAGTTCCGGGGCTCAAGTAATCCTCCTGCCTTAGCCTCCTAAGTAGATGGGAATACAGGCATGTGCCACCATGGCTGGCTAATTTATTATTATTGTTTTGCAGAGATGAGGTCTCACTGTGTTGCCCAGGCTGGTCTTGAATTCCTGGACTCAAGCCATTTGCCCATGTTAGCCTTCCCAAAGTGCTAGGATTACAGGCGTGAGCCACCATGCCCAGCCTGAAGTTTCTCTTAAGTGAGTTGAAGCAGTTGAAAATGAACTTAGGGCTGCATGTGTGGCATGATTTACAAATTATTTATCCAGTGTTGTGCCATAGGAACATTAAAGTAGGTATAATCTCTGATGCAAAGGCAGAAATGGAAAGAAAAAATAGAAAAAAGTGAGAGCATGGGAAACAGATTAAAAAAAAAAAGAAAACTCACAAATAGCTACATAAACAACTAATTTCAAAACACCATTTCTTAACTGGCCAGGCTATAGTCCTGAGATTTTTGAGAAACCGCTGAAGGCTTCCAGCGGGGTCCCTTCTAGTGATAATGCAGGTGGATGGATCAGTTAATGATTTAAACAATTAGCGATTTCCTGCAAAATTCCAGCTGTCACTGCCCCCTGGAATGCAGACTCACAGTTCTAATTGGAGCCTCCAGTATTGAAGGCGGCATGAGTTGGTGTCACTGATTTGCTTCCCCTGACCACCGTCATTCTTATGGTAAGCGTTTTCTGCCCTCACACTGAGAACTTTTATCAAACATATTAGTGTGCATTTGGGTGATCATTAGCCTGCGGTAGCTGAAACATTCCAGGTTATTTTAGCCTAGAAACTAGCCTGTCTGCTGAAAGAACATGCAAAGCTTCCTGCTAAGCTGGTGCACAA
This sequence comes from Homo sapiens, assembly GCF_000001405.40. NCBI lineage: Eukaryota > Metazoa > Chordata > Mammalia > Primates > Hominidae > Homo > Homo sapiens. Next base: position 13,803,241 of record NC_000024.10, read on the forward strand.
TCAAAATATAAGGGAAAGAACAGGTTCCTATTTAGATTTAAATCCAATATGTGACAAGTTAATAGCTCAGTGTGTTTCTGCTTTTCCATGTCAATTTTACGGGTGTGAAAGACTCTTCCACCTGCTATAAACTTCAAAGGAAAGTCATGTGGAAGGGGAAATGCACCTCTGTTTAAGTCTTTTCTTAATCTCTTATGATTAATTTCTTCTTCCATCTGATGAAAGAAAATGCAAACGAAATCTCTTATTTGGTTCACAGTTGAAGATGAGTTCCAGAAAGCCGCCTTTAGAAAGGGAATCTGTTTTGAACATATGAAAACCATCTGAGTCAAGATGTATTACATGGTGATTACAGTCTGACAGATGTTTTGAAGTTGTAATGTGTTCATCAGAAAGCACACAGAGCAGGGATGAGTGCTGATTGTTTGAAGATGTTGAGGTTTATTCTGGCAACTGGAAAAACACACCAATGCTGATTGAAGTTTGGGGACCCTATGTTTCAGAAAATAGGATTGGATTTCAATCACTGGTTAATCAGAATTTCTGGGCATTGAACATGAGATTGTATCATATCATGTTGCTTTATCTCTGCCATGAGAGTCACCGTCAAAATATTCTCTCCTGGGGTAGAGCACTCTCACATGAATTTAAAGGGGGTCCACATTTGCTTTTCTATGTTCATAATTTTGACTCCACATTATAGGTAATCTGTGGAATGAGATTCAAGTCTAGTTGTCTCCTGAATCACACACAGGAGTTCCTCTTAGGAAACCTAATTTGTGTTTGTGCATTGTCTACTTTGGAAACTTCATTTCTCTGTGTTTCTAAAAGAGCATTGTAGGGAAATAAATGGAGGTTTTAAATTTAGCTCTGTTTTTACCACCTGGGTGAATATAGACAGCCTTGCTGAGAGACAGGAGTAGCTGGGTTTCCTAGGCTGACTAAGAATTCCTAAGCCTCGCTAGGAAGGTGACCACATCCACATTTAAACACGGGGCTTGCAACTTAGCTCACACCTGAACAATCAGGCAGTAAAGAGACCTCACTAAAAGGCTAATTAGGCAAAAACAGGAGGTAAAGAATTAGGCAATCATCTGACCTGAGAGCAATCATCTCACCTGAGAGCACAGCAGGAGAGACAATAATCTGATCGGTATATAAATCCAGGCATTAGAGCCGGCAACGGCTACCCTCTTTGGATCCCCTCCCTTCATGTGGGAGCTCTGTTTCCACTTTATTAAATCTTGCAAGTGCACTCTTCTGGACCATGCTTGTTATCGCTTGAGCTGAGCTTTCACTGACCCTCCACTACTGCTGTTTGCTGCTGTCGCAGACCCTCCACTGACTTCCACCCCTCCAGATCCAGCAGGGTGTCCATTGTGTTGCTGATCCAGCCAGGCACCTATTGCTGCTCACTATGTGGCTAAAGGCTTGCCATTGTTCCTGCATGGCTAAGTGCCTGGGTTCGTCCTAATCGAGCTGAATACTAGTCGCTGTGTTCCACAGTTCTCTTCCGTGACCCACGGTTTCTAATAGAGCTGTAACACTCACCGCATGGCCCAAGATTCCGTTCCTTGGAATCCGTGAGGCCAAGAACCCCACATCAGAGAACAAGAGGCTTGCCGCCATCTTGGAAGTGGCCCGCCACCATTTTGGGAACTCTAGGAGCAAGGACCCCTGGTAACATTGCTGTCTAACTTGCCTGAAAAAGAGAAGATAGATAGACTAAATTGTTTCAAACTAAAACAATTTGCCTTTCTCAAGAGTTATTTTATCTGTTCAATGGGGAAGAACCTGCCTTGATCCATAAATAATGACATTCAACCACCTTGGCATATTTATTTTGCAACCAGTTTAGGTCTAGGAATGTCATTGTAAGATTCATTGCTCAAAGCATGATGTTCTATGGGTAATCAGTGTGTGTGGGGGTGTGTGTGTGTGTACTGGATTGCACCATCTTTTTTCATCTGGGTTGGAAAACAAAATCACTTTTTCTGAGGGGGATTTTTGTGAGTTACTCCCTTCTCCCTGTTTGATGCATATCTATGCAGGAAGTGGTTTTTTTTAAGACAAATGTCTGTCAGGACCTTTAATTTCACAGTGAACGTCAGAGCTAATGAAAGTTCTGCTAGCTATGAAGTGGCAATGTAGTATAAGCAAACTCACTAGGCATCTGGAACTTTCCAAGGAGTAGAATATGAAACTCATTGTATCCTGGTGGTACCAAAAGCCACTGGAGAGAGACAGTATTTATACCTGCCTGATGGATGTATCACTTCCAGGTGCTCTAGAATCTATGCCTTGATTACACGGCTGAACTATGTCTTTGCCATTTCAAATCTTCCTTTAACAAATGGCTTTTGCTGAATGGTATGTTGTTGCAGTGCACTGTGGATGATAACTTCAGAAATTGTCCTACAAACCTAGTCATTAGGGCTGCTCTAAAGAGGTTGTTGAGGACATCAGTCTGTTATGTCATGCCATTTTGGGGAGGAAATTTGGAGAGGCATTAATTTTTTTTTCTTTTTTTCTTTTTTTGAGGTGGAGTCTGGCTCTGTCCCCCAGGCTGGAATGCAGTGGCATGATCTTAGCTCACTGCAACCTACGCTTCCTGGATTCAAGCATTTCTCCTGCCTTAGCTTGTGTGCCACCACATCCGGCTAAGTTTTTCTGCTTGTGTGCCACCACACCAGGCTATTTTTTTTTGTATTTTTTTAGTAGAGAAGGGGTTTTTCTATGTTGGCCATGCTGGTCTGAAACTCCTGACCTCAGGTGATCCATCCACTTTGGCCTCCCAAAGTGTTGGGATTACAGACCTTAGCTACCTCGTCCAGCCAAGAGACATTCATTCTGATTGCATTATCAGTACTTATTGTGCCTCCTTGAGAAATGGGTAGATAATTTTAGCCTATGGATGCTGTGAATTTTGCAGTCAATAGTGTTTTCCTCTTACAGTTGGTCATTAGAAAGCTAAAGCTTAAATAAAACAGCCTGTCTTTAACAAGTGTGCTGGAATTGATCATATGCATTTAGGAAACTTGCTTTATCCCTGACAGTATTTATTTATTTCTCCTCATTTTAATTTCCTTTTATCTCATTTTTTTTTTCCCACTCACTTAAGATGTGTTTTCCAGCTGTAATCATAAGGAGCTTTGTAAATTGTCTTGAATTATTTTAAGAGTGAAAAATGGGCCTGGTGTGGTGACTCAAGCCTGTAATCCCAGCACTTTGAGAAGCTGAGGGTGGATCATGAGATCAGGAGTTCGAGATCAGCCTGGTCAAGATGGGGAAACCCCGTCTTTACTAAAAATACTAAAAATTAGCTGGGCACCTTCCCTCCCTTCCCTTCCCTTTCCTTTCCCTCCTTGCCTCCTTCCCTCCCTTTCTTCCATTTTCCCTCCCTTCTCCCTCCCTCCCATCCTTTCTTTTGTCTTTCTTTCTTTCCCTTCCCTCCCTCCCTCTCAGTCTCTTCTTCTCTCTATTCTTCTTTATCTTAAGGATTTTTTTTATTACTATACTTTAAGTTCTGGGGTACATATGCAGAATGTGCAGTTTTATTACATAGGTATACACAGGCCATGGTGGTTTGCTGCACCTATCAACCCATCATCTACATTAGGTATTTCTGCTAAGTATATCCCTCCCCGAGCCCACCAACCCCTTAAAGGCCTCGGTGTGTGATGTTCCCCTCCTTGTGTCCATGTGTTCTCATTGTTCAGCTGCCACCTATGAGTGAGAATATGTGGTGTTTGCTTTGCTGTTCTTGTGATAGTTTGCTGAGAATGATGGTTTCCAGCTTCATCCATGTCGCTGCAAAGGACATGAAACTCATCCTTTTTTATGGCTTCATAGTATTCCATGGAGTATATGTGCCACATTTTCTTTATCCAGACTATCATTGATGGACATTTGGGTTGGTTCCAAGTCTTTGCTATTGTGAATAGTGCTGCAATAAACATACATGTGCATGTGTCTTTATAGTAGGATGATGTATAATCTTTTGGGTATATACCCAGTAATGAGATTGCTGGGTCAAATGGTATTTCTGGTTCTAGATCATTGAGGAATTGCCACACTGTCTTCCAGATTGATTGAACTAATTTACACTCCCACCAACAGTGGAAAGGTGTTCCTATTTCTCCACATCCTCTCCAGCATCTGTTATTTCCTGACTTTTTAATGATTTCCATTCTAACTGGTACGAGATGCTATCTCATTGTGGTTTTGATTTGGATTTCTTTATGGACCAGTGATCGTGAGCTTTTTTTCATGTTTGTTGGCTGCCTAAATGTCTCTTTTGAGAAGTGTCTGTTTGTATACTTCACCCACTTTTTGATGGTTTTTTTTTCTTGTAAATTTGTTTAAGTTCTTTGTAGATTCTGGATGTTAAACCTTTGTCAGATGGATAGCTTGGAAAAATTTTCTTCCATTCTATACATTGCCTGTTCATGCTGATGATAGTTTATTTTGCTGTGCAGAAGCTCTTTAGTTTAATTAGATCCCATTTATCAATTTTGGCTTTTGTTGCCATTGCTTTTGGTATTTTAGACATGAAGTCTTTGCCCATGCCTATATCCTGAATGGTATTGCCTAGGTTTTCTTCAAGGACTTTTATGATTTTAGGACTTACATTTAAGTCTTATATCCATCTTGAGTTAATTTTTGTATAAGGTGTAAGGAAGGGGTCCAGTTTCAGTTTTCTGCATATGGCCAGCCAGTTTTCCCAATACCATTTATTAAATTAGAAATCTTCACCCCATTGCTTGGTTGTGTCAGATTTGTCAAAGATGAGATGGTTGTAGATGTGTGGTATTGCTTCTGAGGCCTCTGATCTGTTCCATTGGTCTATATATCTGTTTTGGTACCAGTACCATGCTGTTTTGGTTACTGTAGCCTTGTAGTATAGTTTGAAGTCAGGTAGCATGATGCCTCCAGCTTTGTTCTTTTTGCTTAGGATTGTCTTGTCTATGCAGACTCTTTTTTTGGTTCCATATGAAGTTTAGTTTTTTCCAGTTCTTTGAAGAAAGTCAATGGTAGCTTGATGGGAATAGCATTGATTCTATAAATTACTTTGGGCAGTATGGCCTTTTTCACAATATTGATTCTTCCTATCCATGAACATGGAATGTTTTTCCATTTGTTTGTGTCCTCCCTATTTCTTTGAGCAGTGATTTCTTGTACTCCTTGAAGAGGTCCTTCAGAGACATTGTAAGTTGTATTCCTAGGTATTTCATTCTCTTTGTAGCAGTTGTGAATGGGAGGTCACTCATTATTTGGTGCTCTGTTTGTCTGTTGTTGTGTAGGAAAGCTTGTGATTTTTGCACGTTGATTTTGCATCCTGAGACTTTGTTGAAGTTGCTTATCAGCTTAAGGAGAATTTGGGCTGAGACGATGGGGTTTTCTAAATATACAATGATGTCATCTGTAAACAGAGACAATTTGACTTCCTCTTTTCCTAATTGAATACCCTTTATTTCTTTCACTTGCCTGATTGCCCTGGACAGAATTTCCAATACTGCGTTGAATAGGCGTGGTGAGAGAGGGCATCCTTGTGCTGGTTTTCAAAGGGAATGCCTTCAGTTTTTGCCCATTCAGTATGATATTGGCTTTGGGTTTGTCATAAATGGCTCTGATTATTTTGGGATATGTTCAACTGATACCTAGTTTATTGAGAATTTTTAGCATGAAGGGTTTTGAGTTTTGTCAAAGGCCTTTTCTGCGTCTATTGAGATAATCATGTCTTTTTTTCATTGGTTCTGTTTATGTGATGGATTACATTTATGGATTTGTGTAAGTTGAACCAGGCAGGCTTGCAACTCAGGTATGATTCCGAGTTGGTCGTGGTGGATAAGCTTTTTAATGTGCTGCTGGATATGGTTTGCCAGTATTTTATTGAGGATTTTGCATTGATGTTCATCAGGGATATTGGGTTGAAATTTCCTTTTTGGTTGTATCTCTGTCAGGTTTTGGTATCAGGATGATGCTGGCCTCATAAAATGAGTTAGGGAGGATTCCTTCTTCTATTGTTTGGAATAGTTTCAGAAGGAATGGTACCAGCTCCTCTTTGTATTTTGGTAGAATTTGTTTGTGAATCCATCTGGTCATGGCCTTTTTTGGTTGGTAGGCTATTAATTAGTGCTGCAATTTGAGAACTTGTTATTGGTCTATTCAGGGATTTGACTTCTTCCTGGTTTAGAGTTGGGAGAGCATATGTGTCCAGGAATTTATCCATTTCTTCTAGATTTTCTAGTTTACTTGCATAGAGTTGTTTATAATATTCACTGATGGTAGTTTGCATATCTGTGGGATCGATGGTTATACCCCTTTATCATTTTTTTATTGTGTCTATTTGATTCTTCTCTCTTTTCTTCTTTATTAGTCTGGCTTAGTAGTCTATCTATTTTGTTGACCTTTTCAAAAAACCGGTACCTGGATTCATTGATTTTCTGAAGGGTTTTTCGTGTCCCTATGTCCTTCAGTTCTGCTCTGATCTTAGTTATTTCTTGTCTTCTGCTAGCTTTTGAATTTGTTTGCTGTTGCTTCTCTAGTTCTTTCAATTTTGATGTTAGGGTGTCAATTTTAGATCTTTCCTGCCTTTTCTTGCAGCCATTTAGTGCTATAAATTTCCCGCTGCACACTGCTTTAAATGTGTCCCAGAGATTCTGGTATGTTGTGTCTTTATTCTCATTGGTTTCAAAGGACATCTTTATTTCTGCCTTCATTTTGTTATGTACCCAGTAGTTATTCAGGAGCAGGTTCAGTTTCCATGTAGTTGTGCGGTTTTGAGTGAGTTTCTTAATCCTGAGTTCTAATTTGATTGCACTGTGGTCTGAGAGATTGAATGTTATGATTTCCATTCTTTTGCATTTGCTGAGGAGTGTTTTACTTCCAGTTATGTGGTCAATTTTAGGCTAAGTGTGATGTGTTGCTGAGAAGAATGTATATTCTGTTGATTTGGGGTGGAGAGTTCTGTAGATATCTATTAGGTCTGGTTGGTCCAGAGCTGAGTTCAAGCCTTGAAAATCCTTGTTCATTTTCTGTCTTGTTCATCTGTCTAATATTGACAGTTGGGCGTTAAAGTCTCCCACTATAATTGTGCAGGAGTCTAAGTCTCTTTGCAGGTCTCTAAGTACTTGCTTTATGAGTCTGGGTGCTCCTATGCAGGCTAATCACCCAACTGTGTTGGGTGCATATATATTTAGGATTGTTAGCTCTTCTTGTTTCATTGGTCCCTTTTCCATTATGAAATTCCTTTAATTTTCTCTTTAGATCTTTGTTGACTTAGAGTTTGTTTTATCAGAGATTAGGATTGCAACTCCTGCTTTTTTGTTTGTTTGTTTGCTTTCCACTTGCTTGGTAAATATTCATGCATTCCTTTATTTATATGTGTTTTGCATGTGAGATGGATCTCCTGAATACACCACACTGATCGGTCTTGACTCTAATTTGTCATCTGTGTCTTTTAATTGGGGCATTTAGCCTGTTGACATTTAAGGTTAATATTGTTATGTGTAAATTTGATTGTGTCATTCTGATGCTTGCTGGTTATTTTGCCCATTAGTTGATGCAGTTTCTTTATAGTGCAGATGGTCTTTACAATTTGGTATGTTTTTGTAGTGGTGGGTACCAGTTGCTCCTTTCCATGTTTAGTGCTTCCTTCAGGAGCTCTTGTAAGGGAGACCTGGTGGTGGCAAAATCTCTAAACGTTTGCTTGTTTGTAAAGGATTTTATTTCTCTTTAGTTTATGAAGCTTAGTTTGGCTGGGTATGAAATTCTGAGCTGAAAATTATTTTGTTTAAGAATGTTGGATATTGGCCCCCACTCTCCTCTGGCTCCTAGGGTTTCTGCAGACAAACTGCTGTTAGCCTGATGGGCTTCCCTTTGTGGATAACCCAACCTTTCTCTCTGGCTGCCCTTAATATGTTTTCCTTCATTTCAACCTTGGTGAATCTGATGATTATGTGTCTTGGGGTTGCTCTTCTCGAGAAGTATCTTTGTGGTGTTAGCTGTATATCCCGAATTTGAATGTTGGCCTGTCTTGCTACGTTGGGGAAGTTCTCCTGGATAATATACTGAAGAGTGTTTTCCAACTTGATTCCATACTCCTTGTTACTTTCAGGTACCCCAATCAAATGTAGAGTTGGTCTTTTCACATGCTCTCATATTTTTGGGAGGCTTTGTTCGTTTCTTTTATGATTTTTTTTTCTAATCTTGTCCTCTTGCTTTATTTTGTTAAGTTAATCTTCCATTTCTGTTATCGTTTCTTCTGCTTGATTGACTTGGCTATTGACACTTGTATATGCTTCATGAAGTTCTCGTGCTGTGTTTTTCAGCTCAATCAGGTCATTTATGTTCTTCTCTAAACCGATTATTCTAGTTAGCAATTCATTTACCCTTTTTCAAGGTTCTTAGCTTCCTTGAATTGGGTTAGAAAATGCCCCTTTAGCTCAGAGGAGTTTGTTATTACCCACCTTCTGAAGCCTACTCCTGTCAATTCATCAAACTTATTCTCCATCCAGTTTTGTTCCCTTGCTGGTGAGGATTTTAGATCCTTTTTAAGAGAAGAGGTGTTCTGGTTTTTGGAATTTTCAGCCTTTTAGGGCTAGTTTCTCCTGCTCTTTGTGGATTTATTTACCTTTGGTCTTTGATTTTGGTGACCTTTGGATGGGGTCTTTGAGTGGACGTGTTATTCTTTTTTTAGTTTTCCTTCTAACATTCAGGCCCTTCTGCTGCAGGTCTGCTGGAGTTTGCTGGAGGTCTACTCCACACCCTGTTTGCCAGGGAGTCACCCACTGAGGCTGCAGAACAGCAAAGATTGCTGCCTGTTCTTTCCTCTGGAATTTTTGTCCCAGAGGGACACCTGCCAGATGCCAGCCACGGCTGTCCTGTATGAGGTGTCTGTTGGCACCTGCTGAGAGTTGTCTCCCAGTCAAGATACATGGGGTCAGGGATCTGCTTGAGGACGCAGTCTGAGCCTTAGCATAGCTTGAATGCTGTGCCAGGTGGTCTGCTGCTCTCTTCAGAGCCATGAACCGGGGACATTTAGGTCTGCTGAAGCTGTGACCACAGCCGCCCCTTTCCCCAGGTACTCTTTCCCAGGGAGATGGGGTTTTTATCTATACATCCCTGACTGGGGCTGCTGCCTTTTTTTCAGAGATGCCCTGCCCAGAAAGGGGAAACCTGGTAGTCTGACAACAGTGGCCTTGCTGAGCTGCAGTGGGATCCGCCCAGTTAGCTGGTGGCTTTCTTTACATTGTGAGAATAAAACTGCCTATTCAAGCCTCAGCAATGGTGGACACCCCTGAATTTCTCTTATTTAAACCCTGCATTTTCTCCAATCTGTTATCACACAGGAATATACACACTGACACCAACTGAGCTATTGCTGTTAATACAATGAACACAGTATTGACAGAGTGGCCTTTCCATTATCATTAAATAGGCCAGAAGCCATTCATTGTACATCTCTGTGCTTAAAATTTTCAGCTGGGGCTCCCATAACTTAAGGCAGAGAGAAAGTCTTTCGTGGAAATCAACATAAACATTTACTACACATAAGAATGGAGAGAAATTTGCTGTTTGTTAGAAAATTGGGCTCAAGTCAAACTGTCTAACTAAATGATACTCACTTTAACTCACTGCAAATGACTAATTCTGCATCAAATTCCACATAAGGAGAACTGTTTGCAGGGAGAACTGTGAGAGCCTCAGGGGCCAGGACAAGCCCTGAACTGTGCAAGCAGAGATCATTTAAGAGTTCAGCTGTCCATTCAGAGATTCATCTTCTTCCTGGTTTAGTCTTGGGAGGGTGTATGTGTCAAGGAATTTATCTTCTAGATTTTCTAGTTTATTTGTGTAGAGGTGCTCCCCAAACCTCCATTTCTCTCTGGAATTAATTAAAAATGGATAAATTATTAATATTAATTAAAAGATTAATACATCTCAAGCACCCAAGCTAAAAAAGTCAAAATCCTCCTTCGTTGCTCCTTGTCCTTTATCTATCTAGCTGTCTGCAATGTCCTTCTGATAAATCTCTCAGACAGTTTTGCTATCTCCTCTGATATCACTGAAGCATTTACTGTCCCTAAAATGTGGTAATTGCACAGCCCCAGTTTTTCTCCCCGCTTTTGCTCTTCATAGCTCCCAAGGTCTTAGACGCTCTGCTTCTCAAACTTTAGTATACTCAAGAATCTCCTGGTGGGCTTGCTCACATGCAGATTCCCAGGCCATACCTCCATAGATTCTGATGTGGTGTGTCTGGGATGGGGCCTGAGAGTCTGCATTTCTAAGAGGATACCAGTAGATACTTGTCCATGGTAGCCCTAATTGAGGCATCACATGTACAGGATCACATGTAATTTTTCAGCATGCTTCATATTGAGTATCCATCTAACTTTCCAGATGACTCTGCTCTTTTGTTTGTTTGTATTTTTCAAGTGTTCATTTTTTCATTCTCATTAGACAATTTTCCCAGACTCCTCAGCATGCCATATTCTTCTGTACCTCTTTGCGTTTGCTTGTAGTAATTTGGAGAGGTAATTCAGCATGGGGATGAAGAGCAAGTGGCAATCCTGTGACTATTAAAGTAGTTCAGAAAATAATCAACACACTGTGGCCTCTCTCCTTAGGGGCTGTGTAATCTTGGGCAAGTGATTTTGTTTTGTATGCCTCAATTTTTATATCTGAAGAAAAATGGGGCAGATTATAATAGGGGCTACCATGTAGATTCTTGTGATGATTAGACGGCTTAATGCATCCCATGGGTCTTGAATACCCATACAGCATGTGTTAACTCTCTTTGTTTTCTTCTTTACACTTATTACTTTACCTGTTACTCCAGACCCATATATATATATACTTTTTAATATTTATTTATTTATTTATTTATTTATTTTTTTGCTGTGAAATTCTCCTTCTCCTACAAAGGCCAGATTTTTTTTTTTCTCTGCCGATGTCTCTAACATTTACCTTTCTTTAGTCCCAGGACCAATTGATGAATCCTTCCTGCCTGTTTGCAAGATGCCATGTTGATGCTTGCATTCATTGTCTTGTAGTTTTTGCCTTACGTATTTTTTGCAGGTAGAGCCTGAAATTCTTGAGTCTTGGAAACTCATTACCCTGATTCCTCCTTCTTGGCTCACTTTTCATTTGTTAGGTTTTAAATAGATGCCATCCACGTGCCTGACCCTGTGCTTGCGAAGAGTTCATTTGGGTGATGGAGTGCTGTGTGGGGAGTAAATTCAGTCATCTAAATCAGAAATCTTAAGTTCTATGCTCTCAGAAGTGTACCTCTTGATCAATGTGATTCTTTCACTTCATTATGTTACATTAGGAGTAATTTGACATTTTTATTACTTCTGGATTACTTTCCAAGTACACTGATAGTAACTGGCTTGATCTTAGGTCGTTATGTTAATATCTTACATTTGGTTAGGATTTATAGTTTGCAAAGTATTATCACATAAATAAATACCTTTTGCTTTTAAAGCATCTTTCTGAGATGGGAATGGAAAGTATTCACTTTCCTTGATTATTATGCAAAATGCTGGATAGAGTGACCCTATCAAAGTCCTGCAGCTAATAAGATGTGGGGACCATAGAATGGGCCTTTATGTCCTTGGAGACTTTGAAAGAGGAGTCTTAGGAAAGCCTGGAAGATGGGGCAGACTGCATGTTACTTGAGGAAAGTGTGTAAAGGGAGAAAGTGTATTCCGGGTATGGTTCTCCTTTCTTTTGGTAGTGTGGCCATGAGGAAGAGAAAAAAGAGGGAAGTCAGGTTTTGAGAGACTGGGCAATCTCTCAAACAATAGATGTAGCTATATTCTCTTGAAAGCACATAAATATTCATCTTCACATTTTACTGGTTTGTATTGATACTAATTTTCTTTGTCCTATATAAAATTGCTATGTAAATACACTAGTATAGCAATGGAAAAACTTTCCCTTTACCCTCATAGGTTTCTGTTATTAGGGCCTATAAATTTAATTCACAAAAGACATATTAACAGGAAAACAAGGCAAACAAAGCTTATCTGATGATAATATTTTCACATGCACAGGGACTTCACAGAAAAGAAATAAAAACTCAAAGAAGTGGTTAGACCTAGAAGTTTATATACCATTTTAATGAAGGGCAATACATTGTGGAGAAGAGAATAGACAAAGAAAAGGAGGTTTTGGGCTCCAGGCAGTAAACTGTGGGAAAGTGACCTAGAAATGTATGGTAGATAAGACTTATTTACTAAGGCTTGTTATGCAGATAAGAGTTATTTTTCTCTTCCTGGTATGGGAGAAGGGAACCTTTTTGCAAATGGAAAGTTATATTACATTTACAAAGAGAAATTTATGTCTGCTTTTAGGCAGAAATGCGGAAGGCAGAGAGTTCTTCCTGTGTCTACTGTTTCTCAGTTGCCCTTAGCTCAAAATAATCCTTATGCCACAGTAGCATATTTTGGGATGGCATATTCTGATACTCTTAACTAGGGAATCTGGACCATACATAACCTGATCACATATTATGAGAGTTGATTAGTGCTCAGTGCTAGAGTGAGAGAATGATGGGAACTGGACATGAGCCTGAGGGCAGTGTTCTCAGTGTGGAAGGTTAAATGAGCAGGTGCCTCCATGTCACTTAAGTTGTATAAAATAAGAGAAATAAGCACAGTTGATTAGATTGCCTTATGTCTTCCTGGGATATCATCTAATTGTCAACTCTAAAACTTTTCCTCACCAACAAAAACACCCTGGTTCAAAATTTTTATTATAGTTGTCTATTTGGGAATTTAATTTAAAGAAATATCATTGAACTATGTTGAAGAAAGTTTGTGTTTTATGACTACTACTTTCTAATAAACAGCTTTTCTTTTATTATAAAAGTAACATTTTTATTTTTTATTGCAGTAAAAAAACCCACACAAACACACACAACATAAAGAGCTATGATCACATCATTGCACACCAGCCTGGGTGAGAGTGAGACCCTGTCTCTGAAAATAATTAAATAAATAAGTCAAAAATTAAAATTTACCATGAGAGCCAGTTTTGAGTGTATAGTTAAGTAGCGTTAAGTATATTACAATTGTCGTGCAACAGATCTCCAGAACTTTTTCATCTTACCAAACTAAAGCACAGTACTCATGAAATAACAACTTCTCATTTCCCTCTCTCAGCAACTGGCAACCACCAGTCAACTTTCTTCTTTTATGAATTTGACTATAGAAATAACCTTTTTGAAGGATAAGGTTTTTTTGCTTTTTTTTTTTTTTTTTTTTTTTTTTGCAAAAATACCTAAAGGTGGATATTATAAGCATAAATAATTTAAAAGTTTGAGGCCAGCACTTTGGGAGGCCGACGTGGGTGGGTCATCTGAGGTCAGGAGGTCAAGACCAGCCTGACCAACATGGTGAAACCACATCTCTACTAAAAATACAAAAATTAGCTGGGTATGGTGGCAGGTGCCTGTAATCTGAGCTGCTCGAGAGGCTGAGGCAGGAGAATTGCTTGAACCCAGGAGACGGAAGTTACAGTGAGCCAAGATTGTGCCATTGTACTCCAGCCTGGTGACAGAGCAAGACTCCACCTCAAAAAAAAAAAAAAAAAAAGTGTGAAACATTTGACTGTATGTCTCCAGAGGCCTAAGGATTTCAATATGCCTACTTATAGGGACTCTTGCAAAGAAAATCAATACAATTTTTCTTACCTCTACCTTTATACTATATGGTAATATTATTTTGTTTCTTAAAGTAGCAATTTAGAAACCAAATAAATGTCTGTAACTGTTTACTTTGTTTACTATTATTATGCATTATCAGTAAGCCTTTGCTAAGTAATGCTATGGTAACAAACAGTCCCCAAACTTCACTTTATTTTACTTTTTCTCACGTGCATATCAGGAATAATTTATGCTCATTTTTATGGTGAAGGATGAAAAATGGCAGAACTTTGGGAAACCTCTTAAAAATTCTGCTGAAATGTGGCACTTGCCGCTTCTCACATTCCGTCAGTCAAGCAAGTCACAGAGCCAAGAGTGATATCAATGAGACACAGAAGTATATGTAGTAATGGTCATAGATATAGTATCCTCTTCCAGGTAAGGGAGAAAATATTTGGGATTCACACATGCAATTTACTTTACTAGGCAAATCACTTGTAATGGTGAAATATTATTTTTAATCATGAGCATTTTCATAGGTCTGAAAATAATGGCAACAATAGGAAATGCTTCAATTCATTTATGTATTGAGAATCTAAAATGAAAATCAACACAGGAAGAATGATTTTTGCATCCTGTCTAAGCCATCACTTATTTAAGATGTTGAAAACGATATTCTTTTGCACTAATATGAAAATGGTACTCCCTAATTTAGGACTGGTAAGCGCAACTTAACTGGATAAAATGGTGACCATTCATTGTGTGAAAATTCATATAGTGTTTATTTGCATACATTATGTGCATCACAATCTGCTATAAATTTTTTTCTGCACTTAAACTTTTGAATTACTTTACATATTACTCTGCTTAATGTCTTGGCTTTATTGATTGGTTCAGCCAATCAACTCTCTGACTTTGTCTATGTCTCCTCCCTTACTTTCCACTTGTTTTCTCAGTCAGGGAATTTTATAGAGGTTTATATGTATGAGATTCATGCTTTAGATTAGTAATTTAAAATCTCCCCAAAATATTTGCCATTTTTAACTGGTTTTGCTATTATAGACCACAAATTACTGGTGCCAGGCCACACAACATGATATGATGCACCTATGTGCTCAGACCTGCATTTGAGGGGCCACTGAGCTAGACCAAATTTCTTCAAACCTTAAAGGGCATCACCTGGAGATCTTTTTCAAATGCAGATTCTAATTCAGCTATCTGTGTGAGTCTGAAGGCATTGCATTTCCAACAAGGTCCCAGGTAATCTGAGGCTGCAGGGTCCATGAACCACACTTTGAACAGCAAGAGTCTAACCAATGAAATTGTGAATACTGAAGTTCATGGGTGTGGCACCTTATCTACATCTACATTACTAATTAGTGGTGAAGGTCCTCCTAACGCATGACTGAGTGAAGGTTCCATCCTACTGTGTGTAACCACCATTGTTTATTTAGTTTTGTTCCTAACAGAAATTATTCTGTGCCTCAAGCCAGGATTTTATTTGATTTCACCACAAGCTATAAAGTTCCTTCAGATAAGCTGGGTTCCAGGATTTTAAAATTAAAGGAGAAAATGTGTCCAGCACAGGAAGTTATTTATGTTGTGGAGGATAAGTCTCTGGATTGGTAGCAGTCTGTTCATCTATCAGAAAAGTCCCCTGGACATGGCCACAAGAGAAATGGAGTGTTTTACACTATAGCAGGTGGGCACAGGAGCAGAGAGGGAGTGTCTTTAAGCACAATACCTACAGCAATGAAATGCTGACTCTTCTCTGATTTCCTCTCCTTTCTAATTCTATAGACAAGCAAAAGTAGAGATGCATGCCAACCAAAGAGGGGCATATTTTCAGGGCTGCTTTTCTTTCCTGGCCTCTCCCATCTTGATGAAAAGGACCATGTGAAGTGTGTGTGTGCATGTGCCCAAGCATGTGCCTTGTGGTTGGGAGCTCCATGTAAAACGGCTGTTCTTCTTCTTCTTCTCCTCCTTCTCCTCCTTCTTTTTCTTCTTCCTCTTCTCCTTCCCCTCTCCTCCTTTCTTCTTCTTCTTCTTTCTTCTTCTCCTCCTCCTTCTTCCTCCTCCTTCCTCCTCCTCTTCTCCTCTTCCTCCTCTTCCTCCTCCTCTTCCTCCTCCTCTTTCTCCTTCTCCTTCTTCTTCTTCCTCTTCCTTCTTCTCCTTCTCCTCCTCCTCCTTCTTCCTCTCCTCCTCCTCCTTTTTCCTCTTCTTCTTCCTCTCCTTCTCCTCCTTCTTCCTCTTCTTCACAAAACATTAAAAAGTTACCATTCCAATCACTTTTAAGTGTGTGGTTCTGTGGAGTGAGACACATTCACATTGTTGTGCAACCATCATCACCATCTCCAGAACTTTTTCATCCTCCCAAACTAAAACTTGCCCCATTGAACATCAATTCCCCCCATTCCCACAACCATCATTCTAATTTCTGTCTCTATGAATTCGACTACTCTGAGACCCTCATACAAATGGAATCATAGAATAATTATCCTTTTATGTCTGCCTTATTTCTCTTAGCATGCCTTATCTCTTTTAAAGTGAAGTTTTAATTTAATAAGCATTATTATTATTTTCACTCTGCATTGTTGAACTGAAGGTTGGTGGGATGGTATTGTGTCTGGAATTGGTGGGTTTTTGGTCTCACTGACTTCAAGAATGAAGCTGCGGACCCTTGCGGTGGGTGTTACAGCTCTTAAGGCGGCACGTCTGGAATTGTTCATTCCTCCCGGTGGGCTCGTGGTCTCACTGGCTTCAGGAGTGAAGCTGCAGACTTTCGCGGTGAGTGTTACAGCTCATAAAAGCAGCGTGGACCCAAAGAGTGAGCGGTAGCAAGATTTATTGCAAAGAGCAAAAGAACAAAGCTTCCACAGTGTGGAAGGGGACCTGAGCATGTTGCCATTGGTGGCTCAGGCAGCCTGCTTTTATTCTCTTGTCTGGCCCCACCCACATCCTGCTGATTGGTAGAGCCAAGTGGTCTGTTTTGACAGGGTGCTGATTAGTGCGTTTACAATCCCTGAGCTAGACACAAAGGTTCTCCACTGTACCCACTAGATTGGCTAGATACAGAGTGTCGACACAAAGGTTCTCCAAGTCCCCACCAGAGTAGCTAGATACAGAGTGTTGATTGGTGCATTCACAAACCCTAAGCTAGACACAGGGTGCTGATTGGTGTATTTACAATCCCTGAGCTAGACATAGAGGTTCTCCACTCCTCACCAGGCTCAGGGGCCTAGCTGGCTTCACCCAGTGGATCTCGCACAGGGGCTGCAGGTGGAGCTGCCTGCCAGTCCCGTGCCCTGCGCTCGCATTCCTCAGCCCTTGGGTGGTTGATGGGACTGGGCGCTGTGGAGCAGGGGGTGGCACTTATTGGGGAGGCTCGGGCAGCACAGGAGCCCATGGAGTGGGTGGAAGGCTCAGTCATGGCGGGCTGCAGGTCCCGAGCCCTGCCCTGTGGAAAGACAGCTAAGGCACTGCCAGAAATCGAGCGCAGCGTGGGTGGGCTGGCACTGCTGGGGGATCCGGTACACCCTCCGCAGCCGCTGGCCCGGGTGCTAAGTCCCTCATTGCCTGGGCTGGCAGGGCCGGCTGGCTGCTCCGGGTGTGGGGCCCGCCAAGCCCACACCCACCCGGAACTCCAGCTGGTCCGCAAGCACGGCACGCAGCCCTGGTTCCCACTCGCGCCAATCCCTGCACACCTCCCTGCAAGCTGAGGGAGTGGGCTCCAGCCTTGGCCAGCCCAGAAAGGGGCTCCCACAGTGCAGCGGCGGGCCGAAGGCCTCAAGTGCCGCCAAAGCGGGAGCCCAGGCAGAGGAGGCACCGAGAGCGAGCGAGCCAGCATGCTGTCACCTCTCAGTATCATCCTCAGTCCCTTGGTCTCTTGGGTTGAATAACTGCATATATTAATCCATTATTTTAAAACTATTTATTCATTGTAAAAGCCCCTTGAACCTAACAAATGCCTGACACATGTGTTTGTCTCCTCAGATTATTTGGTATCTCCTTGGGAAAAGAGGCTGTGGATTACAACTGTTGGGGCTCACTTGAACTCCTTAAAAGGCAGAGCAAGCTTTTATTTTTTTCTATGTCTTTGAGCACCAAGACTGGCCATGCTCACTAAAGGGAATTGAAGTTTAGAGAATGTGAAATGGGCGGCATATACAGATTGGTCTAGGGGTCCTTTCTAGTTCTCCCAGAACCCAAGGAAGCAGACTTCATTTTCCCCATTGTACAATATAGAAAACTGGGAGTTAGATGGAATAATGGACAAGTTTGCCAAAATTTGTTGGTTGGGGGCTACATTGCAGGACTTTTTGTTTTAAAAGCTCATGTTCTTTCTTCATACTTCAAATTTCTGTTCTTGGCATCAGAAGCTGAGTAGATTCTCCCTCCAAGTATTTGGAAAGGAAATATAAAACTTAATTTTTTCACCATACTGAATATTGTTTCGTTCAGACAATATCCCCACACGGAGAACCAGAAACAAAGACATCATAGTCCTTAGGCACTTGGAGTTCAATCTCCTTTGAAATTCTCAGGAAGATCATTTGTTTTACACAATATTCGCTTTGAACTTGGACTCACTTTGGGACTTTAAGTAACCTACAGGATTCCCTAACTGAACCCAGTTGTCCCATTATGATAGGGAATTGTTTTTACTCCTCAAATCAAAGTGATAGCAAACTTTTCAAAGTGTAGGGTGAACCTTTGCAAACACTTTTTTTAAAAAATTCCTTTGCTTTAGCTCAGTGTCTAACCAAGGAAATGAGAAACCATCAGCGCAGGTAGAGAGCTCGCTGGTCAGGTCATCCCTGCTGCTTGCAAAACAATCCAGACCTTGTCTGAGTGGGGTGAACATGGCAGTCCCAGTAGGAACAGCTTGGGTTGGTCATGGCTGTTAATTTTTTTCTCTATTTCTGAACCCTACAACCCACAGATATGTGTTCATCGCATTATTTCCTTTCTGGGTGGCAGGAATCAATATAAAGCTGCTGTGGTGATTTTACCATCCTCCCTTTTATTATTACTTTTGTACCTTTTTATGCCTTGCTATGTTATCAACCCTTTTACTGCTCTGAGTTAAAGACAGCACATAAATAGTTATGCAAATAAAATGAAAGCGTATATTGTTTAATTTACCTTTAGTTATTTCAGAGAGAAAAAAAATACATGTAACCTAAATGTTCCAACGTATTTCTTAACAGTTGTATCTGCTTTGGGAAAAGAATCTCTGTAAATTTTCTTTTAAAATTTTTATTTCCTTAACTTTGTGTGGGTACATAGTAGGTAGTAGGTGTACATATTTATGGGATACATGAGATGTTCTGATACAGGCATGCAATATGAAATAAACACATCATGAAGAAGGGGTTATCCATCCCTTGAGCATTTATCTTTCAAATCTCAGTAAATTGTAAAGCATTTCTGTTCAGTAGGTAGACATCAGCCACATTTGCTATTTTAAGTTTACATTTACCTAAATTGAATACAATGAAAATTCTTCGTCTCTGTAGCCTAGTGGTTTTCGACCAGAGGTGATTTTGTCCCCAAGGGGATATCTGGCAGTGTCTGGAGACATATTTAGTTGTCATTACCAGGGAAGATGTGCCACTAGTATCTAGTGGGGGGCTCAGGGATGCAGCTCAACATGCTGCATGGTAGTGTTACCATGCACAGAACAGCCACCATCGCAAGGAACCATTGGCCCAATATGTCAACAGTGGCGAGAGTGAGAAACTGCACTAGCCACATTTCACGTGCTAAGTGTCCTATGTAGCTAGAAGCTGTGATATTGAACAGCACCAACTTAGAGCATTCTCCACTGTCAGTGCTGACATTTGGTTCTGTCAGGCAGTGTGGTCTCAGGTGAGAGGGAAAAGATAAGAAGGACTGGAAGCAGGGAAGTGATATTCTCATGAAAATACATTTCTTTGAATGAGACCACAGATTCTAGATTTCTTTGCCATAGACAGGTTCCATCTTAAGTTTCTGAGGTTATGATTGTCACTGAAGTCATACTATTAGTAACAGTACTCAGCTGTTTGTGGAGTACTCCCTGATCGACAAATGGTTTGTCATGAATTGTCTCATTTAATTTTTGTAAAACTGTAAAACAAAGAAGCTCTCTATATTCCAGGTGAGAAAAGTGGGGTGATTTATTTTTCTGTTATAACAATGTGTAGCATGAACCCTTGCAATAAAAAAAGAATATATTTTAAAAAGAAAACTGGCTAGACCATGACCTGTTACATGGGTGGAGTCCAGGTCTTTATGTGACAATATCTACAAATTCACAGATCATATTTTTATAGGCACATCTCATTAAAGAAAAGCAGAACTCCACTCCCTTCCCCTCACACTTAAAGAGGACTTATTGACAGATGATGCACCTTTTTTTGACATGTATCAAGTCATTTTATTTTTCATGTTTGGGAAGACCATTTTACTCAGATTAGCTTATGCAAATAAAGATAACATAATGCATGTTTCTTAGTTGTCCTTTAACTTCTACTTTAAAAAGAAAATTTGAGGATATCTTTAGTTGCACATTAGTTATGTTATCTTGGCCAAATGAGGTAATTTGGAGAGAAATCAAAGTATGTAATATTAAATGAGACATATAAGAACCCAATACTAAAATTTAGTCATTTGCTGGCTGTACAAAGTAAAGGTAGCTAGTTGGCCATTTGTGTTTCATAAAAGACAGTCAAAACAACATTTTGCTTACAGAAGAGAGAAGTACATGATGGACTGGATAAAAATAATGTGGTACATATACATCATGAAATACTGTGCAGCCATAAAAAGGAATAAGATCATGTCCTTTGCAGGGAGATGAATGGAGCTGGAAGTCATTATCCTCAGCAAACTTATACAGGAACAGAAAACCAAACATCTTATGTTCTCATTCATAATTGGGAACTAAACAGGGAGGGGAATAGCACACACTGGGGACTGTTGCAGGGTATGGTAGGAAGAGGGAGAGCATCGGGATAAATAGCTAATGCATGTGGGGTTTAATACCTAGGTGATGGGTTAATAGGTGCAGCAAACCACCATGGTACACGTTTACCTGTGTATCCAACCAGCATATTTTGCACATGTGCCCTGGAACTTAAAAATTAAAAAAGAAGAATTAGGGCACCCACAGAGAGACCGCTTTTCACAATTTCTACCCTGGATTGTTGAAATAGAAGCATAATTTTAGAGACCCATGAAATGGGTTTCTTATATTTAAATATCTTAATGATTGCATTGCATAGATGGTTAAGACCAACCACTATTTTCATCTCCACCTGCAACAGAGTCCGCTGTTTTCATTATTTCCTGAGGGTTTATTATGCACCTGAGTGGACTATCTTTGCACACTACCATGGAGGAAATGATTTCTGGTGAAATGGTTTCCATGCCTTTCTTAGATAAAGGATTTGAGGAAATCCTTTGAGATGCTGCCTTTCTCTGCTGAGTGATGCAGACAGCATATGATCAGTTTATGTATTACCATATGTTTTGGCCTAAAACTGATGCCTATGGACAGAGTTGCAGTTAACCAAGATTGTGCTACTGCACTACAGGCTGGGGGACAGAATGAGACTCCATCTCAAAAAAAAAAAATGATGCCTATGGAAATGTGGAATACATTATGTTAAAAAATACTTAGGAGTCTCTTTCTCTTCTTAACGTTTGAAAGGAAATTTGTGCTAATTGAGAGGTGCCAAATTTACAGCTTTGAGATCTTGCAAAGTTCATTTCTTGTATAGGATGTACAGGAGCCCAGACTGTGTGTGGCAAGCCACCTAGTTACCGAGGCAGGAGACTGAGGGCACGAGCCGTTCCAGTATAATAAAATATATAAAATAAGAATAGTTATACTAGATATAGATCTTAGATATGATTATGAATATCATTAATCATTAGTTTGTAGCAATTATTATTTATTCCAATATTATAATAATCCTCGCTCTATAATCATAACCTAGGAAAAACCAGGACATACAGAGACAGGAGCCGAGGAGACGTAGTGAGAAGTGACCAGAAGACAAGAGTGCAAACCTTCTGTTATGCCCGAACAGGGTCACCAGAGGGCTCCTTGGTCTAGCGGTAATGCCAGCATCTGGGAAGACGCCCGTTGCCAAGCAGACCTTGGTCTAGCAGTAGCGTCAGTGTCAAGGAAAAACACCTGCTACTCAGCAGACTGGGAAAGGGAGTCTCCCTTTCCCTGGGGGATTTAGAGAAGACTGTGCTCCTCCACCTCTTGTGGAGGGCCTGACATCAGTCAGGCCTGCTCGCAGTTATCTGGAGGCCTAACCCTCTCCCTGTGATGCTGTGCTTCAGTGGTCATGCTCCTAGTCCGCCTTCATGTTCCATCCTGTACACCTGGCTCTGCCTTTTAGATAGCAGTAGCAAATTAGTGAAAGTACTAAAAGTCTCTGATATGCAGAAATAATAGCATAAGCTGTTCTCTGTCTCTCTCTCCGCCTCGGCTGCCAAACAGGGAAGGGCCCCCTGTCCAATGGACACATGAGCCACGTGACCTTACCTATCATTGGAGATGACTCACACTCTTTACCCTGACCCTTTTGCTTTGTATCCAATAAATAATGGCACAGCCAGACATTCAGCGCCACTACCGGTCTCTGCCTCTTGGTGTTAGTGGTCCCACAGGTCCAGCTGTCTTTTCTTTTATCTTTATCTTGTGTCTTTATTTCTATAATCTCTCGTCTCTGCTCATGGGGAGAAAAACCCACTGACCTTGTGGGGATGGGCCCTACACCAGATGAACTAGACTCTCTATTTCTGGACTTCCTTCCCTGGCTCACATAATGCATTTTCAATCATATTTGAAAAAAATGACTCTTCCATCAAAAGTGGGCTGTGGAAATGAGGGTTTGTTGTTATAGTAGATGAAATAGATTGTATAGAAAGAAGACATGGCAGGAGGTAGGGCAGACATGACTTGGTTGGGAGGTAAAATATATATTTATATATTACAGTTTGCTTAAGAAAATCCATTTGGAGCTTCTCTGTGGTTCCTGGGGTCCCCATATTTTAGGGGTGAGTCAGGGAGTGACATATGTGAATTACAAATTTCACATGAATGGGACGTGTGCATTTTATTATGATGTCTTCAGTGCCATGCTTATCATTTTAACCTTCCGGATCCCTAATGCTTTAAAGCAAGCATGTCCAACCCATATTATATATATTTTATATCGTATATGTAATATATATATGTTATATATATAATGCAGCATACTATATAGTATACACAGTATCTATATATGATGCCATATACAAGACCATATATATATATATACATACACACACACACATAATAGGCCACATTATCATGTAAGTTATATATAAATGTTGATTGATTTGACAAAAGTCTGGGTTTTCTAAGCATGTAGAGATATCAAGATCCTAAAACATGAAAACACAGGTAACTTGTGGTGGATTTGGGTATTAGCCCACGTTTTCTTCCCTGCATAATCAACATTGAGGCATCAGAAAGATGTTCATTTATTTTCCTTTTAAATGAACAGGAAATTATTTTTCAGAAATTTACCATTGTATTCCTCAGTAATAACCAGAAGGGAAATCTGCACCTTTCTACAAATATTATTGTATCTGATTTTTACATGCTTTGACCTAGTTCTCTTGAAAAATATATTTGAACATGAAATATTTAAATGAAGCAACTTTTATTTATGGAAATACAAACCACTTTCCTTAGGGCATATTATATAAACTTTAATAAATACATCATAAGAGGAAAAATGGAAGTATTTGTGAGAATCTAGTATTTCAATTTTCTTTCCTCTGGAATCAGTTTCTCTCATATGTAACAGGTACCTTTACATCACCTCACGAATTATAAACACTTAAATATTATGAGAAATACTTTTCCCTTCCTGTGACATACTGGGATATGGTATAAACATTTAGTGAATGAATAAACTCTGATAGCTAACCCATTTCTCCTGTTTAACATAATTAACTCAGTCATTTATTCATTTGCTTTTTAAAAACATTATTGTGTTTGCTTATTATATGCCAGAGATTTTTATGCAAGGTGCTACTCATATAGGCATAGACTCTGTACTTCATGGAGCAGAATTAGTATACTAAACATAGAAAGACTTAAAAAAATAACGAAGGCAGCATTTGCTCAATTAGTACACGTTGTATCATGTGATTTCAGGAAAATAGGGTACTAGGCTAAGAAAGATAGAAGATAGGAATTATTGCAAAGTGCTCTGAGGATATGTAGGGTTTTCTACCTAAAGGGAAGAGCACGTGCAATGGCACTGAGGCAAAAAATTATTTGGCACCTTTAGAAAAGTTTAAGAAGCTGCTGTATCATGACAAGACACCTGGCAACAGGACCTTAGAGGATGAATTCTTTTATATTCTGTATAAAGTGCAGTGATGGAATCCAGAGAGGTTGTAAGCAGGGGAGTGATTTGACAAAAGATATTTTGGGGAACGATGAAGAAGGCTGAGAATGGAAAGCGGGAGTCTGGTTCCGAAACAAACACACCAATTTAGGCAGAAGAGGTGGGTAGCTCAGTCAGGTGAGGCTGCAGTGAAGGCAGAGTGAGGCAGTTGGATTTCGGGAGACGGGAGGCAAAATTGGCCAGGGTTGGATACAAGAAATGAGGGAGATGGAAACATCCGTTCTGATGCCAGTTTCTTAGGAAAATGCAGAGAAAGACCAGTTACTTTGATGAAGCCAATTGGAGGAGAAGTTGGGCTTTTCCTGCAAGGATAAAGGGAAGCCCTGTTAAAATTCATTTGGGGCATGATAAGTTTAAGCCTGTGAGATTATCAAGGGGAGCTACTAAACAGACAGGTGGACATCTGAAGTCTCTAGCTCAGAAACAATGAGATGTAAATTTGAGTTGTCCAGAATTGTATTTATGGCCATCTAGGAAAATTCTTGGGTAAGTTCGACATTTCGGCATGTTGCTGGGATTCTTCCAGGGTTTGACCCTAGGAGTATTTGTAGTTGCTCCTGTCAGTGGTAATTTAGCAAGCATGGTTGGAGAGATGCAGACTGACATCTTCTGGGATGTTGGCCTCAGTGAGAATTCGACATGATGAATATTAGATGGTAGAGCAGTTGGAATCAGAGGCTGAAGAATGGGACCAATACTGATTCCAATCCCCACTCTTGGCCTCATCCATCACCATCATCTCCCTGCCCTTTTCTTCTCCAAAATAACGACTAGCAAAATAAAACTCTGGCCGGGTGTGGTTGCTCACGCCTATAATCGCAGCACTTTGGGAGGCCAAGGCGGGCGGATCACGAGGTCAGGAGATCGAGACTATCCTGGCTAACATGGTGAAACCCCGTCTCTACCAAAAATACAAAAAATTTGCCAGGCATGGTGGCAGGTGCCTGTAGTCCCAGCTACTCGGGAGGCTGAGTCAGGAGAATGGCGTGAACCCCGGAGGCAGAGGTTGCAATGAGCAGAGATCGGGCCACTGCAATCCAGCCTGGGCAGCAGAGCAAGACTCCGTCTCAAAAAAAAAAAAAAAAAAAAAAAAGAAAAGAAAAAGAAAAAGATAACTTTATCTTGTGGGTCCATGAGGCTTCAGAAACATAAGGAAATCATGATTTCTGTAAGTGTTCTAGTATATCTTAGGCGATATGCTGATAGATACTATAAACTCAGGGGAAGAAGGAAGTGATGATCCCAGATGCTGGTGATGGGGAACCACTCCTGATTTTTTTTTCTTTTTTTTTTTTGACTCCACAAGATTTACAAACGGAACAAGGATACTTTGAGTGGAAGTAATCACATAGTTCCAACACTTTTTTGGGGGAGGGGGGAGGGGGTAGAATTTATGAATAAAAAAAGTTAGTAAATGTTTTCTCTACTTTTCTTTCCTTGTTTATCTATTGGGCAAGCTACCTTCATGTCAGCTGTACTTGGATGAAAGATACTTATTAGTATATGCAAACTGGTGTGTCTACCCTATGCAAATGATGGTAAGATAATTAAAGCAATTGGTTCTTGTGCATCTGTTTTTCAGAAGACTTCTATACAGAATTCTAAATTGTGCTTTCTTTCTCATCTACCATATCAACTCAACCCATCCACCTTCTTTGAATTACTGTTAATTTCAACAAAGTTTGTACTTGTGATAAATTTTTAGAGGTATCATCCTTAAATATTACACAGGAGATTGCATATATTATAATGTACATATATAATACTACATATATTATTAATCATATTAATCATGTATGTAAGTCTATTAAGCAAGTTGGGATTTAGAAAATAATAGGCTTTTGTTTTTCCAGTAGTTTTGGGTCTGCTATGGCAGCCCATTTCAGACCCCATGAGGTCTACTGGATGCTGAATATCATCAGCCACGTGATGATTTGGAGTGGAAAATAAAGATTTCCCATGCCCTCCCTTCCTCCTCCCTGATACTTCCCCTACTGTTATCTTGCATTAGTGTGATACATTTGTTACAACTGATGGATTAATATCGATACATTACTATTAACTATAATCCATAGTTTACGTTGGGGTTTACTCTTGCTGTTGTATATGCTGTGGTGTTTGACAAACACATAAAGTCATGCACCCACCTTTACAGTATTTCATACCATAATTTCCTAGTCCTAGAAATACCCTGCACTGTGCCAGGTCATCCTACTCCCATTCCACACCCCTGGTCTTCTCGTTGTCTTCCTAAGAGATGATTGTTTGCACACCAACATGGCACATGTATATATATGTAACAAACCTGCACGTTGTGCACATGTACCCTAGAACTTAAACAACAACAACAAAAAAACAAAAACAGAAAAAAACGATTTTTTCCCTTTCTCTTTTGGCTATTTCCGCACAGCCGCAATGAAAGGACTTGCTGTGATGCTTTGAGGGAGGAAGGCACCACCAAGTGTCCCTTAACTTCCCGCACACAGAGCCAGACATCTCCAGTTACTGAGAGACAGCTTTGCCTTCTCTGACCTCCTGGGCAAAAGGCTATCAGGTGGCAGAGAGCAGCTGAAGATAAGCAAGAAGGAAGATGAAAAGGAGAGCAACTCAGAACTCCTACTAGGGTCTGGAGACTTATCGTTTTGATACCGTGACTCCCCTTTCTCATCTCAAACCTTTCGGCTCAAAGTTGACCAATCAAATGGTTGGTTTGTGGCTAGTAAGATGACAAGTTTTCCAATCAAAGGTTTTTCTTGATCGAAGGGGTCGTAGTCTCACGGGTCTCAAGGAATGAAGCGGTGGACTGCAGTGGCATGTGTTACAGCTCGATTAGAGAAACGCGGGGACCCAAAGAGTGTGCCAGGGCAAGATTTATTAAAGCAAAAGCTAAGGTAAAGTGAAAGCAAAAGCTAAGGTAAAGCGAAAGCAAAAGTAAAGCTTCCAAGCGGTGGAAGGGGACCCAAAGGGTTGCTGTCTCTGGCTTGGTTGTCTTATGCTTATGTCCCCTTGTGACCCCTCCTCTTTCCCTTTTTCTGTCCTATATAATTAGCTTATTTTCTATCTGCTTATGGGTTGGAGGGCCTGATTGGTTAAAAACATCAGGCTGCAGCTACAGCTTAAACTCCCTATGTGATTGGTTGAAGTTTCAATCCCTTAGCTTGCAGCTATGACTCATTTTGGCGTACAGGAAAGTCTCCTTTGATTGGTTGAAGTTTCAATACCTTAGCTTGCAGCTGTGAGTTATTTTGGCTTAGGGGAAAGTCCCCTTAGGGAGTCCCTATTGACCCAGGAAGTCCAGACAACTTAGCCACTTAGTCCCTCACTAGGACAGTGGAAGGTTAAGGGCTCGGCTCCCACGGTTGATTTGCCTGTCTTCGGTTGGTGGTATTCTGGGAGCTGACACCCTGAACCTTTGTGGAGGTTTTCATTGTTATTGTTTTAACTTAGTAGGCCTTAGTGTGCCTCAATTTGCAATTGCAAAAATGTGGCATCAACCCATTATTGATAAAGGGATAAACTGTGGTAGATAGATAGATAGATAGATAGATAGACAGATAGATAGGAATACAACTCAGCCATAAAAAGGATGAATTAATGGCATTTGCAGCAACTTGGTTGAGATTAGAGACTATTATACTAGGTGAAATAACTCAGGAATAGAACACCAAACATTGTGCACTCACTCATAAGTAGGAGCTAAGCTATAGGATGCAAAGGCGTAAGAATGACACAGTGGAGTTTGGGGGTCCAGGGGAAGGGTGGGAAGGGGATGAAAGATAAAAGATTACAAATTGGGTGCAGTGTGTACTGCTTGGGTGATGGTGAGAGGTGACAACGTGCTAGGGCCCTTGCTTGCTCTCGGGTCTTCCTCAGCCTCGGTGTCCACTCTGGCTGTGCTTGAGCAGCCCTTCAGCCTGCTGCTGCACTGTGGGAGCCTCTCTCTGGGCTGGCTGAGGCTGGAGCCAGCTCCCTGCTTGCGGGGAGGTGTGGAGGGAGAGGTGTGGGTGGGAACTGGAGCTGTGCACAGCGCTTGGGGGCCAGCGTGAGTTCTGGGTGGGCATGGGCTCCGCAGGCCCCGAACTCGGAGCAGCCGGCTGCCACCCCCGGCACAGTAGTGAGGGGCTTAGCACCGGCGCCAGCAACTGGGGAAGGGGTGCTGGGTCCCGCAGCACTGCCGGCCCACCTGCGCCATGCTCGAATTCTTGCCAGACCTCAGCCACCTCCCCACGGGGCAGGACTTGGGACCTGCAGCCTGCCATGCCCGAGCCCCCCTGTAGTGGGCTCCCACGCAGCCCCAGCCTCCCTGACGGGCACCGCCCCCTGCTCCATGTTGCCCGGTCCCATCGACCACCCAAGGGCTGAGGAGTGCAGGCTGGCCATGTGGGACTGGCAGGTAAGCCTATGGCCCTGGTGCCAGATCCACTAGGTGAAGCCAGCTGGGCTCCTGAGTCGGGTGGGGACTTGGAGTTCTTTTATGTGTAGCTGGGTGATTGTATAATGAACCAATCAGCACTCTGTGTCTAGCTGGGAGTTTGTGGATGCAGCAATCAGCATTCTGTATCTAGCTAATCTGGTGGGAACTTGGAGGACTTTTATGTCTAGTTAGAGGATTGTAAATGCACCAATCAGCACTCTGTGTCTAGCTAAAGGTTTGTAAACGCACCAATCAGTGCTCTGTGTCTAGCTAATCTAGTGGGGACTTGGAGAATTTTTACATCTAGCTAGAGGATTGTAAATACACCAGTCAGCACTCTGTGTCTAGCTCAGGGATTGTAAATGCACCAATCAGCACCCTGTCAAAATGGACCAATTAGCCCTCTGTAAAATGAACCAATCAGCTCTCTGTAAAACGGACCAATCAGCGCTCTGTAAAATGGGCCAATCAGCAGGATGCGGGTGCAGGTGGGTCAGATAAGGGAATAAAAGCAGGCTGCCAAAGCCAGCATTCTGAAGGTGCTTAGGTCCACTTCTGCACTGTGTAGGCTTTGTTCTTTCACTCTTTGCAATAAATCTTGCTGCTGTTCCCTGTTTGAGCCCACACTGCCTTTATGAACTGTAACACTCACCGTGAAAGTTTGCAACTTCACTCTTGAAGCCGGTGAGACTACTAACCCACCAGAAGGAAGAAACTCTGAACACATCCGAACATGAGAAGGAACAAACTCCGGACCCACCATCTTTAAGAACTGTAACACTCACTGCAAGGGTCTGTGGCTTCATTCTTAAAGTTAGTGAGACCAAGAACCCACTAATTTCAGACACAATGCATGCACCCAAATCTCACAAATCACCAGTAAGGAACTTACTCATGTAACTAAATATCGCCTGTTCCCCAATAACCTATGGAAATAAAAATTTTTTTTAAAAAATGAGCTTATGTGTGCCTGACACTTGAAACTTATAAGCATATTGCAGTCACTCAGACCTCACTGCACTTCTACAAAGTAGTCTTCTTTCCTTATTAAAATCAAACAGGCAATAACATTCCAAAAAGTCTGCTGTTAATGGGCTATAGTCATTCTTCCCTGCAAATTCAGATGCTGAAGCCTTAACTCCCAGTTGCTCAGAATGTGACTGTATTTGGAGTAATCGTCTTTAAAGTCGTAAAGTAAAATGAAGTGAATAAAGTGGGCCCTGATCCAATAGGACTGGTGTCTTTATAAGATGAGGATACAGACATGCACAGATGGACACAGGGAGAACACAGGGAGGACACAGGGAGAAGACAGAGTGTACAAGTCCAGGAGAGGGGCCTCAGGAGAAGCCAGTCCTGCCCACATCTTGATTTTTGACTTTCAGGCTCCAGGACTATGGGAGATTCAATGTCTGTTGTTTATAAGGCACTGCGTCTATGTATTCTGTGATAGCAGCCCAAAATGGACTAAAACACTACATAAGAAGAGGAAATGAGGACACAGACACACACAGAGGGACTGCCTGGTGAGGACACAGGGAGAAGATGGTGTCTACAACCCAAGAGAGAGGCGTCAGGAGGAACCACCCTGCCCACACCTGGATCTTGAACTTCCAGCCTCCAGGACTGTGGGAAAATAAATGTCTGTTGTTTAGGCGGCCCAATCTATGGGATTTTGTTGTGGCATTTCTAGAAAACTAACCCATCCATCTATATCCTCATAATTTCTCACCTGGCTGCTCTGTATACCCCTGTAACCTGCAGTGTATTACTTCAAAATGTCTTCTAGTTTGCACTGCTGTGGTTCTCTTGTCCTCCTGTTTGCTGTTCTGCTTCTAGACCTGCCCTGGCCTGTAGCCCTCTCTGGGCCATTGAAGTTTTATTTATTGTGATAAATATATATCAAAGACAGGCTACTTACAGGATACTGTATACATTCTTTAGGGCATGTTTGCATATGAAGCATGAAGCAGTCTTTGTGTTCTAAAGATTATAGCATAGTTTTGGGTTAAAGTCTATATACATCTCTCTTAAAAAAATTTTTATTAAATTATAGACCGGGTCTCACTGTGTTGCCCAGGCTGGTCTTGAACCGCTGGCCTCAAGCAATCCTCCCACCTTGGCCTTTTCAAGGACTGGGATGGCAGGCATGAGCCACCATCCCTGGCCACATTTCTTGGTCATAAGAACTATCTGTAGGAGAGAAGGAAGTAGAGAATGGAGCCAGGATGAAATGAACGAGGTGGGTTTTAGTCCCAGTCTGGCAAGTTGGATGACCTTGGGCATGTCATTAAAGTTCATGGTGCAAGTAAAGGTTAGTATTAATAACTCATCAAGTAGAAGTATGTGCAAGGGCCATTCAGACTTCAGTCTGATGCCTAGTCAGGAGAAGGCAGAGGAATGGGGAAGGCACCAACAAACCTAAGCCATTATCCCAAAGACGATGTCCAGGTGTGTCCACTTGAGACCTTTTTTTGTGTGTGGAACAAGACAATGTTACCCAGAGAGCTACCTCGGAAGTCATTTTCAGGGATGGATTTCATGCTGTGTGCAGGAATGCAGCCCCTTCCCCTCCATGCCGGCTCCCCTGTTTTCAGTGGGTATGAAGCTGATGTCTGCTCTTGTTCATATTTTCCGTGACATTCTAGTGCATTTCTGCCTACCTCTGCCACTCTTGAAAGCCTGGCCAAAGTGTGAAAGTGTCCCTCCTCCAGCCTGCCATCCACTTTGTTTTTGCGTTTAGAGACAGAAACGCTGGGTGCAGTGGCTCACACCTATAATCTCAGCGCCTTGGGAGGCTGAGGCAAGTGGATTGCTTGAGGACAGGAGTTTGAAACCAGCCTGGCCAACATGGCGAAACCCTGTCTCTACTGAAAATATAAAAATTGGCCAGTTGTGGTGGCACTCACTTGTAGTCCCAACAATTTGGGGGGCTGACAGCATGCCCAGCTAATGTTTTTGATTTCTAGTAGGGACAAAGTCTTGCTATATTGACAAGGCTGGTCCTGAACTCCTGGCTCAAGTGATTCATTTGCCTCAGCCTCCCAAAGTGGTAGAATTACAGGTGTGAGCCACTGTACCTGGCCAGTAGTGCTTTATTTTACATACTTTCATAGATGTGTTGTGATCAGACTACATTAGATAAATAGTTCTAAAAGTGGTCCATAATCTGTGAAGGTTCTAGGTTAAGTAAAAACATACTTAGTATCTACCTGCCAAATGATTATATATTATGTGATTAGTTCTCTCAATCTACAAGTTTTTCTTTCAAATTTAAACTGTTTTTTCATTGGAATCAAAGAAGTAGCCTCAGAAGTAATGATTTTAGTTCATCATCCTAAAACTTAAAAGCCTAAAACCTTTGCTAAAAATATGAACTTTGGTTACTATTTTGGGTAGTTGTAGGCAGTACATGATCATAGCACCTATATGTGTGATATGTAAAAAATTCTAAAGTAATTGTCGACTGGTAGTATTATTTCTCTAAAATTCACTCCTCTTATGGAAGAGAGATGTGGGGTTGTCACAAGGTGAACTCCAAAATTGAAGTTCAACCTGAGAGGCGACATGGGTTCTTGGCTTCATGCAGGAAGGAATTCTAGAGCAAGGCTACAGAGTAAAGTGAAAGCAAGTTTATTAAGAAAGTAAAGGAATAAAAGGGTGGCTGTGCCATAGGCAGAGCAATGGCATGGGCTGCTTGATTGAGTAAACTTATCGTTATTTCTAGATCATATGCTAAATAAGAGGTGGATATTTATGAGTTTTCTGGGTAAGGTGTGGGGAGTTCTGGAACTGAGAGTTCCTTCCCATTTTAGACCATATAGGGTAGTTTCTAGACCTTGTCACAGAATTTGTAAACTGTCATGGTGTTGGTGGGAGTGTCTTTTAGCATGCAAATACATTATAATTAGTGCATAATGAGCATGCAGACAACCAGTGGTTCCTTTCACTGCCATCTTGGTTTTGGTGGGTTTTGACTGGCTTCTTTACTGCATCCTGTTTCATCAGTGGGGTCTTTGTGACCTGTATCTTGTGAAACCAGTCCTGCCAACCTCCTGTCTCATCCTGTGACTAAGAATGCCTAACCTCCTGGCAATGCAGCACAGCAAGTCTTGGCCACATTTTACCCAGCCCCTGTTAAAGATAGAGTCCTTTGGGTTCTAACATCTCTGGCAGGGCTTCTGTCTTTTATGTATCTTTTTAATTGTTTGGAGAAATAGGAAGTTTTTTCTTCCATGCGAAGTGTGAGAGAAAGTGTGTCGTTGTTTTCTCCTGCATCACTTTAGATTTTCTTGAAATCTTTTTTTTTTTTTTTTTTTAATGGTCGGAGTATTAGAAAGAAGTAGACTTTTGGCAAACTTAGCCTGCAAACATTTACTCAGATGATTGCATATAGGTTGTGTTGTCAGAGAGATTTCATGGAGGATTATTAAAAGAAAATGTTGGCTTTCATTAATAACATTTTCAGAAATGTCTTTAGATACTGCTGATTACTAGCTATTGGAAGTGAAGCAGGCATGCAATTAAATTAGAGCTTTAAATGAATTACATATACCGATGCTACACTTGGCAGCCAGAGATTCTAGATTAAGAGCAAAACAAGTGTGTTATGCATTGCTTTGATTAGCATTCGAGAAATATACCTATTTTTGTAAGTGATATTTGTTTTGTGTATGGTATTTGACTGTTCCACAAGCTGTCAGGACCTTGGCTATGTAGGATCATGGAGTTTTCAAAGGCCTGAGACTTTTTCTGCACTGATGTCTACAGTTGTGAAAATGCACCTGTGTACTCATGTAGCAGCATATTTTTATAATGTATATTTTTAGCAGTGAGAGAAAACAAAAATCACACGCCTATTTTCAGACATTGTTAGCCACACAGCATTTAACAGTTTCTTTATGGAATAAATGTTTGTTCCTTGAGTGAAATGATAAAGACTTACTTTGCCAGTGGCAGGAGTGCCATGTGTTCACTTCAGATGGTCTTGAGGAAGATTTAGGTCTAAGCATACTTATTAAATAACCACTAAATATTTTTGCCTTGAAGCAAAGTCAATATGCCATAAGTAACAAAATTAACTCTTTAAGGAACTCGCAAGTTATGTAAGTTGGATAAGTTTTTAAACAATGTTTCACTGCTACTAGAAAATTGGCTTTCTTTTGGTGTTGCTGTACTGGTAAAGAACTTGTTTTTGAACATGCTTTGGAGAGGTAAGCACTGTAAATTGGGACAGGCTCACATATGTCTTGGAAAAAAATTATTAAAGAGCTCAAAATTTTTAAAATTAAAATAATTAAAAATGGATTGTTCATATGCAACATTATTGACTATAGAATCTAAAATATTGTCATAAGAAATATATGTTATTAATGAAACTTATGTAAAACAAGAAGACACATTACTCCAAAGAAAATGGTCTGGGGATTGTTCATGGGCAGAGATTCAGCTACTTGCAAGGTAAGTCTTTGTCATTCCACTCGAGAAACATCCAACAAACATTTATTCCATAAAGAAAATGTTAATTGTGTTTCAAACTTGATGGCAGTTCTTTTCAAAGGTTAGTAAGCATCAGAATTTTCAGTAGAACTTGTTAAGAGAGATTTCTGAACTCTGATCCCAGAGACTCTCATCGTAGGTTGAGAAGAAGGCCCACGAATTTTCATTTGAAATAAACTCCAAGAGGTGCCCATAATACCAGTCACTGATCATACTTTGAGCAGTATTGTTATACAGAATTGACAGTTGGCACGGGGCAGTTAGTTTCATACATATCTTTGATTTAAAAAATTGGCAATGGATATCAAAAATAAGTTTTTTCATAGAGTCTTCCAGTGTGTATTCTAACTATAACTGTATTTTAAAATAAGGAGGTGCTTACTAAAATATGGTGAAAAAGTAGTATTGGTACACTGTATATCCTGAATTCTACATTATATATGTCTGAAATTTAACTGGGAATTTCTACTGTAATTGGAAAATTTATCAACAATGAATATAAATAATGAAATTCATTATTATAAGAATGAACATATATTATAATGAAAATAATCATGAATGTATGAGAGCTAGGGCCTTGCCTATATTGGATGCTGACATTTGACTATACATGACCATTCATGTTTACAATTACAATTTGCATTAAATATAATTTTGACAATCAAATCTCCATGCAAATGAATGTAACATTTTTTTTTTCAACCATGAGGTATAGCTACTATCAATCGGGCACACACAGATATCCCATATGTACATACATGCTATATATACTTTATATATTATGTGTGTATATATATTATATATACTATATATAGCTATATATTATTTGTGTATATAGTTCATTTATTCAACAATCTTAGTATTTATTATTACAGTCATTCTTCAAAAATGGAGTCTGGCTAGTATCATTGATTAATTAGAATGTATATAGTATTAAGTTATATGCATGTATGTTTAAGTAAACTTCATTTTCTGTTATGAAACTCTCATGTCAGAATCTAACAGATTTAGTCAATGTATTTTAATGGAGTGATTAAACTGGATGTATCCTAGTGCTGTTGGATTCACTGAGATAAGGAACCAACTTAACAATACAAATGTGTACATACATATAGACATACATTTAATACAATGCATTTTCACTTTATCATTTGTAGAAGAGTGTACAAAAAAATAGCCCAATGCTGCCAATTTAAAAGAAATGTTATATTAAGTATTATGAGAAAAAATTTCCTTTGAAACAACAACCTTTAGAAGGTATTTCTTACTAAATAGAAAATATTTCTTAGCTGGGCGCAGTGGCTCACGCCTGTAATCCCAGCACTTTGGGAGGCCAAGGCGGGCGGATCACGAGGTCAGGAGATCGATGCCGTACTGGCTAATGCGGTGAAACCCTGTCTCTACTAAAAATACAAAAATTAGCCAGGCATGGAGGCAGGTTCCTGCAGTCCCAGCTACTCAGGAGGCTGAGGCAGGAGAATGGTGTGAACCTGGCAGGCAGAGCTTGTAGTGAGCCGAGATTGCACCACTGCACTCCAGCTTGGGTGGCCGAGTGAGACACCATCACACACACATAAAAAAAGTAGGAGGAGAGGTTTCCTTCTTGCTGCTATATGGGCTTAAAGTTTATTTGTCTGCTTATTGAGACTTTTATATGTTATTTCAATTTTTTAGTAGACATAGGGCTATTAACGTTTTCTATTTCTTTTTTAGTAGCATTTATAGCCTGAGGCTTTGTAGAAAGTGAACTGTTTGAAGCAAGTTATGACATTAATAAAAATAAGTTAGTTCATATTGCCTAATTCACCTTTATTATTAGCATTTTGATGTTTATTAGGTCTGTAGTGATGAACATTTTTGCAATACTGACATCAATAAGTTATGTATTGTCTATTTTGTTCTTGATTCATCTGGATAGAATTTTGTCAATTTTAGTGCTCTTTTAAAAAATAACTTTTTCTTTTATTGCTTTTCTTTATTTTGGTCATTTTCTATGCTGTTGATTTTTGGTCTTTATTTATTTATTTTTTTTTACTTTTGCTTAATTTTGATGAGTTTGACCTTTATATACTATCTTATTGTAGGAACTTAGATAGTTGAGCTCTTATTTTCATTTCACATATAAGAACTTTATGCTATAAATTTTCCCCTATGCAAACCTACATTTTGTGTTATAGCATGTTTTTGTTTTTACACAGGTAAAATTTCTAATTAGTTTTGTGATTCCATCTTTGAGTTTCACGTGAAAGTATGGTTTATTTTGTAAATATTTGAAGAATTTTAGAGATATCTTTCTATTGATTTCTGGTTATCTTTTATTAAGACAATACTTCAGATTTCTATCTTTTTGAATTTTTTCAGAATTGCTTTTTGGAACACAGTATATTTGGTCTTGAATGACTTCATACGTAATATAAACATGTTATAAATGTATACTTCCATTGTTTTTTACCTTCGTTTGTATTAGTGTCATAAATCATTCTTCTACATTTGTTTCAAGCTCCACATCACATTTTTATCACTTGTGTTTTAAATTTGTCTTCTTTCAGAGATATAGAAACAAGAGAAGTCATCTTTTTAATATAATCATGTATTTATTATTTCTCGAACTAACTATTCATTCTTTGTGTAGACCCCAGTGTTCATCTGTTATCATTTTCCTTTTGTTTTTAACATTTCTTGTAATTGGGGTAGCTGTTATGAATTCGCCTTCTGTATATCTGAGGTAGTCTTTAAGGCAGCTTCAGTTTTGTGTGTGTGTGTGTGTGTGTGTGTGTTTGTGACATAGTCTCGTTCTGTTGTCCAGGCTGGGGTGCAGTGGTGCAATCTCGGCTCACTGTAAACTCCGCCTCCCGGGTTCACACCATTCTCCTGCTTCAGCTTCCTGAGTAGCTGTGATTACAGGGCCCTGCCACTGTGCCTGGCTAATTTTTTTGTATTTTTAGTAGAATGTTAGTGTTAATGAGGATGGTCTTGATCTCCTGACCTCGTGATCCACCCGCCTCAGCATCTTCAGGTTTTAAAGATATTTTGTGAGTATGAAATTTCAGGTTGATTTTTTTTTAAAAAAATAGTATTTTAAAGATATAGTTTCATTTTCTTCTGTCATGCATATTTTCTGAAAAATCTTTGACATTCTTATTCTTGTTTTACTGTTTATGAAGTGTCTTTTACTTTTCTATCTGCTTTGAAGACTTTCTTTCTGTATCTGGCATATGAAGAATATGATTAAATATACTTTGATTGAATTATCTTTGTTTCTTCTGCTTAGGGGTAACTGAGATTTCTCTAACTATAGACATAACATTTTAAGCAAATTTTTAATTTATTGTTCAATATTATTTATTTGTCCCATTTTCTCTCTTCTCTCCTTCTGGGACTCTAATGATACATATTAGACCAGCTTGTTTTGTTTCATGGGTCAATGAGTCTATGATCTTTTTGTTTGTTTGTTTGTTTGTTTGTTTCTTTTTGGTCATTTTCCACCGTCTGCTTCATTTTGATGGTTTTTTTTGTTTTGTTTTTTGTTTTTTTTTTTTTTTGAGATGGAGTTTTGCTCTTGTTGCCCAGGCTGGAGTGCAATGGCATGATCTCTGCTTACCGCAACCTGCGCCTCCCAGGTTCAAGCAATTTTCGTGTCTCAGTCTCCCAAGTAGCTGGGATTACAGGCATGCACCACCACACCCAGCTAATTTTATGTTTTTAGTAGACAAGGGGTTTCTCCATGTTGGTCAGGCTGGTCTCGAACTCCCAACATCAGGTGATCCTCCCACCTTGGCCTCCCAAAGTGCTACGATTACAGGCATGAATCACTGCACCCAGCCCATTCTGATAGTTTTTTTTTTTTTAATCATTGTGTCTTTGCTTTTCTTTTAAGTAATCTTGTCTTCTATAGTGTCTAATATTTTAAAAATTCCATTTGGCATGTTTTTCATTTCTTCCTTTTTACGTTTGGAAGTTCTACACAGCTCTGTTCTGTATCTTTCATTCCTTTCCTCCCTATGTCCATGTTTTCCTCTACATTATTGGGAATATGGAGCATATTTATAATAGCCTTTAAATGTCCTTTGCTGTTAATTTTATCATCTCTATAATGTCTCGTCCTGCTTCTGTAGATCTTGTTTTTCCCACTTTGTTTATGTGCCACAATTTCCTTCTTATTTGCACAGTGAATTACTTTTGGTTGGATCTCAAATTTTTGGGTTTTGAATTTTGCTATATCTTTCTAGAAAGCTTTAGACTTTGTTGTAGCATGTAATTAAGTTCCTTTTGAGATAATTTTTTTTTATTTTGAGGTTTCTTTCAAGTTTCTTAGGGTAAGATTAGAGTAACCTTTAGACTACGCCTAATTTATCCCATTACTAAAGTGATATCCTTCTGAGGATTCTAGCCAGCGCTTCATGAGTTGTGCATTCTCTCCACGTTGACTGTTTGAAATGTGGTTAGAATGGTTTCCTTTACTGATGTCTGGTTGTTCTTTCCTTAGACTTATGCAGTTTGAAGCCATGCACATTAAGGTCAGTATTCAGCTAAAAATGAAGAGGTCCCTCTGAACCTCTCCAGGTTTCTCTCTTCATGCAGTATCATCCTGCTTGATAGTCTACCCACAAGAGCTGGCCATCTCAGCCTCAATCTTTAGTCTATTTCTCCACAACTTGAAAATATGGCAGAACTATCTTGGGATCAGCCTTCCTTGCACTGTAGATTTGAAACTGCATCAAAATCATTCATTTTTTGGCAAAATTGAAATTCATCTCATTTGTGTCTTTTTAGGTTTTCTTGTCTTGTGCCAACTATTGTCCAATGTCTGAAGAAAGTGGCTGCATACAAGAGGCCTTCAGAAAGTTCATGGAAAAATGTAATCAAAAGCTAAAAATAAAACATATAAACTTTGTTTCCCCACATAAGCTCCATCAAGCTTTGATGTTACCAGCCAATTAGTCCATCCCTAAAAAACTGAGTGTTCTGGGAATTTAAACATGTCGATGTAGGTTTTGAAAAATATCATTCACTGAAGAAAAATAGGTGCCCTTTAAAGATTCTTATAAGAACAGGAAACAAAAACAAGTCAGAAGGAGAGAAATCAGGACTGTAAGTTGGATGCCTAATGATTTCTCATTGAAATTCTGGCAAAATTTCTTCCCTTTGATGAGAGGAATGAGCAGGGGCATTATTGTGGTGGAAAAGGGCTCCCTCTTGAAGCTTCCTTGGGCATTTTTCTTCTAAAGCTTTGGCTAACTCTCTTAAAATACTCTCAAATAACATATATCCAATGTTCACTTTTGTGCAAAGTTTTAGTATTAAAATGAGATGGAATTTGGCTCATTACATTGAAAGGTGAACTGTAAGACTATACAAAGTTTGTGCACAGCCTCTATAAGTTAACTGAAACTGACTTATGGTCTGCACTTGCTTATCAGAAAATAATCTTCGTAAGGCCAGTCTTCTGTCCAATTAGAGAGTTGTAGAGGTCTGAGTTGTAAACTAGAGTTACGATAGCTGCGATTGTTGACAAGTTCAGCTGTAGGAACTTAGAAATGTAACATGGCAACCAGGCCCTGAACCGTCTACCCATAGGTAACTTGGGTTATTTAACCTTAGCGTACCTCTCAGTTGATAAAGGAACATCTATTTTGGTCTCTCAGGTCATACCCACTAGGTCCCAATAACACCTTCCTTCCAGTTGTGAGGGATAACAATGTCTCCAGAAATTATGTAATGTCCCCTGGGAACCAGTCCCTTAACTTTTGGAATTTGCAGTTTCCCTTACTTGTTCATAATGAGGAAATGATGTTCCATTTGCATTAGAGTATTAGTCTGTTTTCATACTGGTATAAAGAACTGCCCAAGACTGGATAATTTATGAAGAAAAGAGGTTTAATTGACTCACAATTCAGCATGGCTGGGGAGGCCTACGGAAACTTACAACCATGGTGGAAGGCAAAGGGGAAGCAAGGCAGCAGGAAGGAGAAGTGCCAAGTGAAGGGGGAAGAGCCCTTATAAAACTGTCAGATCTGATAACTCAATATCATGAGAACGGCATGGGGGAAAGTGCCCCCATGATTCGGTTACCTCCACCTGGTCTCTCCCTTGACACATGGGGATTATGGGAACTACAATTCAAGATGAGACTTGGGTGGGAACTCAAAGCACAGCCATGTCAATTAGTTTGTATTTCATTTTGTGATGATCCAACCAGTCCAATAGTGATATAATACAGTAGTGTATAAACAAAGAAATAAGAAATTTCAAGGAAGATCTCTAAGAAGGTAAAATATGAATCACTTTTCTTTTTGTAACTTGGATGGATGTGATGAGTTTGTAGAATTTGACCATGTTTGTGAAATTATTTGAGATGGTAACCTATTTGAAACTGAATAATATGAATCAAAGAGTAAACAAGTATATTTGACAACTTTATAATTTACTCCTCTTTAAAAGAAATTACTTATCTGAGGATTTTAGGCCATCTATAATTAATTTATATGTATTCTCATTATTTCTTGTAAAATTTCTACAACTGTCTTTAAAAATTCTGATGCTAATAAAGGTGGCTAGCACTGATTGCACCTTTATATTGCACCTTTCTTATGTGCTAGTATCTGTGCTATGTGTTTTGGATGATGTATTTAAGGCTTAGGGTAATATTTTATCCTCCTTTTATATTTGAAGAAACTTACACTTGCAAAATTAATTTGGCCCCTAAATTATATAGCAGTTATCTTACGAATTTGTCATGCTCTGAAGGGGACGTGCTGTATTTGTTTCTGTTCCCTCTCATTTGCTATTTCTGTTCTTTGTTTCTGTTCCATCTTTCTTCAGTTTTCCACATCACTTTTACCTCCTTAAATCATTTTCAGTATTTGTGACTCTTCTTTAAAGCTTTGTGTTTGTCTAATTATTTGTTGATCTCATGCTTATATCTGTAACTTCCCACATGTACCATTATTATAATGCAAACTAAACTGTTATATGATTTTTACCTGTTTGGTAGTAAATGTGTAAACTGTAAGCATAGTGGGTCATCATTTTCACAGTTTTATCTGTTCACCACTAGATTCCTAGTACCTAGTACCTAGAATGCCAGTTTGGTCTATAACAATATACAAATGGTTCAGTGGGCTGAACATTGCATTGGCATTTTGATAATTACTACTAACAAATGCAGAAAGTAGGGGAGGGAAAGAAATCATAGTTTAACTAAAGTACCCAAACCATCCCTAATTCTCTGGGATTTGTGAACTTCTTGAACTATTATGTGCCTCATGATATTCTAGAAATCTTTCAGTAAGATTCTGAAGTGTTGCTGACTCATACAAGTTGACACATTTGTTTTCAAAATAAATAGAAAAGCTAGGCCAAGAAGAAGGAAGCCAAGATAAACATAAGTAAAGATTACGATAATTGAAAGAAGAGGGTATGTACTTGTAGAAAAGCGACTTCCCTAATATGCATGTTTCTGATTTTCTCCTAATTTTATATTATTCATGGCCAATGTCTATAATTTGCCTGGGAATCCAATTAATTGCAATCACATCTAACAAAATGGTATTTATAATTGGGTTTCCAAGCAAATTATACTAACATTTCTGAGCATAAATTAGTAATATTTGAATGGATTTTTTTTTTTTAAATTTCATGCCTGCTTAGTGTTTAGATGCCTTCTTTGAAAGAGACACCTGGCCGTTTTGCTTACTTTTTTAAAAGTATACTATCTTTTTTTTTTTTTTTGAGGTGGAGTTTCATTCACTCTGTTGTCTGGGCTGGAGAGCAGTGCCACAATTTTGGCTCACTGCAACCTCCATTTTCAGGTTGAAGCTATTATACTGCCTAAGCCTCCCCAGTAGCTGGGATTACAGGTGTGAGCCTCCACACGTGGCTAATTTTTTGTATTTTTAGTAGAGGCATGGTTTTGCTATGTTAGCCAGTTTGGTCACAAACTCCTGGCCTCAAGTGATCTGGCTGCCTTGACCTACCAAAGTGCTAGGATTACAGGCATGAGCCACCACACCCAGCCAAGTATACTATTTTGTTTTTAATAGAAACTATACATGCCCATTAAATATTAATAAAACAAACTGCACAGAAAAGTAAAACCAAACCATCACTCCAGATTTACCACATAGAAACAGCCATGGTTTACCAGGCAGGAAAGTGTTAACACAGCAAAGCCAAGACTGCAATCCTAATGCCTACTTAAATGGCTGGCAACAGGCCAGCTCCTGGAAGCTTTGTGCACACTAGTTTCAAATAAATGCTTAAAGTTTAATATTACTTGAAGGCAAGAGAAGACAAAGAACCCCCAAAATATTAGAAAAGATTATAAAAGACATTATAAGGTTGGAATTCTTACTCTTTGAATTCCATATTTGTTTTATTATTTACTAATGTTCTAATATTAAGTTCATGATAAGTCACACACATATGTTTTCTCCACACTCTTTCCACCTATCAGTTTTTCTAACATATTATTGTTTTAAAATTCTTAATTTTATTACAGCAAATTCTCTCTCCTAGCCATCATTCTTATTTTATTTAATTTCAGTTTCATATTTATGTGTGTAGAAATGTGATTACTAATTTTACTAATTCTTTTCCAATTTGTTTATTCTTTATTTTGTAGACGTAATTTTTTTTTCATTTATTTTCTTTCTTTTTTTTATTATTATTATGCTTTAAGTTTTAGGGTACATGTGCACAATGTGCAGGTTAGTTACATATGTATACATGTGCCATGCTGGTGTGCTGCATCCATTAACTCGTCATTTAGCATTAGGTATATCTCCTAATGCTATCCCTCCCCACTCCCCCCACCCCACAACAGTCCCCAGAGTGTGATGTTCCCCTTCCTGTGTCCATGTGTTCTCATTGTTCAATTCCCATCTATGAGTGAGAACATGAAGTGTTTGGTTTTTTGTCCTTGCGATAGTTTGCTGAGAATGATGATTTCCAATTTCATCCATGTCCCTACAAAGGACATGAACTCATCATTTTTTATGGCTGCATAATATTCCATGGTGTATATGTGCCACATTTTCTTAATCCAGTCTATCATTGTTGGACATTTGGGTTGGTTCCAAGTCTTTGCTATTGTAAATAGTGCCACAATAAACATACATGTGCATGTGTCTTTACAGCAGCATGATTTATAGTCCTTTGGGTATATACCCAGTAATGGGATGGCTGGGTCAAATGGTATTTCCAGTTCTAGATCCCTGAGGAATCGCCACACTGACTTCCACAATGGTTGAACTAGTTTACAGTCCCACCAACAGTGTAAAAGTGTTCCTATTTCTCCACATCTTCTCCAGCACCTGTTGTTTCCTGACTTTTTAATGATTGCCATTCTAACTGGTAAGAGATGGTATCTCATTGTGGTTTTGATTTGCATTTCTCTGATGGCCAGTGATGGTGAACATTTTTCCATGTGTCTTTTGGCTGCATAAATGTCTTCTTTTGAGAAGTGTCTGTTCATATCCTTTGACCACTTTTTGATGGGGTTGTTTGTTTTTTTCTTGTAAATTTGTTTGAGTTCATTGTAGATTCTGGATATTAGCCCTTTGTCAGATAACTAGGTTGTGAAAATTTTCTCCCATTTTGTAGGTTGCCTGTTAACTCTGATGGTAGTTTATTTTGCTGTGCAGAAGCTCTTTAGTTTAATTAGATCCCATTTGTCAATTTTGGCTTTTGTTGCCATTGCTTTTGCTGTTTTAGATATGAAGTCCTTGCCTATGCTTATGTCCTGAATGGTAATGCCTAGGTTTTCTTCTATGGTTTTTATGTTTTTAGGTCTAACATTTAAGTCTTTAATCCATCTTTAATTAATTTTTGTATAAGCTGTAAAGAAGGGATCCAGTTTCAGCTTTATACATATGGCTAGCTAGTTTGCCCAGCACCATTTATTGAACAGGGAATCCTTTCCCCATTGCTTGTTTTTCTCAGGTTTGTCAAAGATCAGATGGTTGTAGATATGTGGCATTATTTCTGAGGGCTCTGTTCTGCTCCATTGATCTATATCTCTGTTTTGATACCAGTACCATGCTGTTTTGGTTACTGTAGCCTTGTAGTATAGTTTGAAGTCAGGTAATGTGATGCCTCCAGCTTTGCACTTTTGGCTTAGGATTGATTTTGTGATGCAGGGTCTTTTTTGGTTCCATATGAACTTTAAAGTAGTTTTTTCCAATTCTGTGAAGAAAATCATTGGTAGCTTGATGGGGATGGCATTGAATCTATAAATTACTGTGGGCAATATGGCCATTTTCACGATATTGATTCTTCCTACCCATGAGCATGTAATATTCTTCCATTTGTTTGTATCCTCTTTTATTTCATTGAGGTTTGTAGTTCTCCTTGAAGAGGTCCTTCACGTCCCTTGTAAGTTGGATTCCTAGATATTTTACTCTTTTTGAAGCAATTGTGAATGGAATTCACTCATGATTTGGCTCT
Organism: Homo sapiens; assembly: GCF_000001405.40. Taxonomy (NCBI): domain Eukaryota; kingdom Metazoa; phylum Chordata; class Mammalia; order Primates; family Hominidae; genus Homo; species Homo sapiens. Next base: position 13,847,717 of record NC_000024.10, read on the forward strand.
CTGTTTGTCTGTTATTAGTGTATAAGAATGCTTGTGATTTTTGTACATTGATTTTGTATCCTGAGACTTTGCTGAAGTTGCTTATCAGCTTAAGGAGATTTTGGGCTGAGACAATGGGGTTTTCTAGATATACAATCATGTCGTCTGAAAACAGGGATAATTTGACTTTCTCTTTTCCTAATTGAATACCCTTGATTTCCTTCTCCTGCCTGATTGCCCTGGCCAGAACTTCCAACACTATGTTGAATAGGAGTGGTGAGAGAGTGCATCCATGTCTTGTGCCAGTTTTCAAAGGGAATGCTTCCAGTTTTTGCCCATTCAGTATGATATTGGCTGTGGGTTTGTCATAGATAGCTCTTAGTATTTTGAGATACGTCCCATCAGTACCTAATTTATTGAGAGTTTTTAGCATGAAGAGTTGTTGAATTTTGTCAAAGGCCTTTTCTGCATCTGTTGAGATAATCATGTGGTTTTTGTCTTTGATTCTGTTTATATGCTGGATTACATTTATTGATTTGCTTATATTGAACGAGCCTTGCATCCCAGGGATGAAGCCCACTTGATCATGGTGGATAAGGTTTTGGATGTGCTGCTAGATTCGGTTTGCCAGTATTTTATTGAGGATTTTTGCATCAATGTTCATCAAGGATATTGGTCTAAAATTCTCTTTTTTTGTTGTGTCTCTGCCTGGCTTTGGTATCAGAATGATGCTGGCCTCATAAAATGAGTTAGGGAGGATTCCCTCTTTTTCTATTGATTGGAATAGTTTCAGAAGGAATGGTACCAGTTCCTCCTTGTACCTCTGATAGAATTCGGCTGTGAATCCATCTGGTCCTGGACTCTTTTTTGTTGGTAAGCTATTGATTATTGCCACAATTTCAGATCCTGTTATTGGTCTCTTCAGAGATTCAGCTTCTTCCTGGTTTAGTCTTGGGAGAGTGTATGTGTCGAGGAATTTATCCATTTCTTCTAGATTTTCTAGTTTATTTGCATAGAGGTGTTTGTAGTATTCTCTGATGGTAGTTTGTATTTCTGTGGGATTGGTGGTGATATCCCCTTTATCATTTTTTATTGTGTCTATTTTACTGTTCTCTCTTTTTTTCTTTATTAGTCTTGCTAGCGGTCTATCAGTTTTGTTGATCCTTTCAAAAAACCAGCTCCTGGATTCATTAACTTTTTGAAGGGTTTTTTGTGTCTCTATTTCCTGCAGTTCTGCTCTGATTTTAGTTATTTCTTGCCTTCTGCTAGCTTTTGAATGTTTGCACTTGCTTTTCTAGTTCTTTTTATTGTGATGTTAGGGTGTCAATTTTGGATGTTTTCTGCTTTCTCTTGTGGGCATTTAGTGCTATAAATTTCTCTCTACACACTGCTTTGAATGTGTGCCAGAGATTCTGGTATGTTGTGTCTTTGTTCTCCTTGGTTTCAAAGAACACCTTTATTTCTGCCTTCATTTCGTTATGTACCCAGTAGTCATTCAGGAGCAGGTTGTTCAGTTTCCATGTAGTTGAGCTGTTTTGAGTGAGTTTCTTAATCTTGAGTTCTAGTTTGATTTCACTGTGGTCTGAGAGACAGTTTGTTATGAATTTCTGGTCTTTTACATTTGTTGAAGAGAGCTTTACTTCCAACTATGTGTGTTCAATTTTGGAATAGGTGTGGTGTGGTGTAGTACTGAAAAAAATGTATATTCTGTTGATTTGGGGTGGAGAGTTCTGTAGATGTCTATTAGGTCCGCTTGGTGCAGAGCTGAGTTCGATTCCTGGGCATCCTTGTTAACTTTCTTTCTGATTGATCTGTCTAATGTTGACAGTGGGGTGTTAAAGTCTCCCATTATTATTGTGTGGGAGTCTAAGTCTCTTTGTAGGTCACTCAGGACTTGCTTTATAAATCTGGGTGCTCCTGTATTGGGTGCATATATATTTAGGATAGTTAGCTCTTCTTGTTGAATTGATACCTTTACCATTCTGTAATGGCCTTCTTTGTCTCTTTTGATCTTTGTTGGTTTAAAGTCTGTTTTATCAGAGACTAGGATTGCAACCTCTGCCTTTTTTTGTTTTCAATCTGCTTGGTAGATCTTCCTCCATCCTTTTATTTGGAGCCTATGTGTTTCTCTGCATGGGAGATGGGTTTCCTGAATACAGCACACTGATGGATGTTGACTCTTTAACCAATTTGCCAGTCTGTGTCTTTTAATTGGAGCATTTAGTCCATTTATATTTAAAGTTAATATTGTTATGTGTGAATTTGATCCTATCATTATGATGTTAGCTGGTTATTTTACTCATTAGTTGATGCAGTTTCTTCCTAGTCTCGATGGCCTTTACATTTTGGCTTGATTTTGTAGTGGCTGGTACCGGTTCCTTTCCATGTTTAGTGCTTCTTTCAGGAGCTCTTTTAGGGCAGGCCTGGTGGTGACAAAATCTCTCAGCATTTGCTTGTCTGTAAAGTATTTTATTTCTCCTTTACTTATGAAGCTTAGTTTGCCTGGATATGAAATTCTGGGATGACAATTCTTTTCTTTAGGAATGTCGAATATTGGCCCCCACTCTCTTCTGGCTTGTAGAGTTTCTGCTGAGAGATCCGCTGTTGGTCTGATGGGCTTCCCTTTGTGGGTAACCCGACCTTTCTCTCTGGCTGCCCTTAACATTTTTTCCTTCATTTCAACTTTGGTGAATCTGACAATTATGTGTCTTGGAGTTGCTCTTCTCGAGGAGTATCTTTGTGGCATTCTCTGTATTTCCTGAATCTGAGTGTTGGCCTGCCTTGCTAGATTGGGGAAGTTCTCCTGGATAATGCCCTGCAGAGTGTTTTCCACCTCGGTTCCATTCTCCCTGTCACTTTCAGGTACACCAAGCAGACATAGATTTGGTCTTTTCACATAGTCCCATATTTCTTGGAGGCTTTGTTCATTTCTTTTTATTCTTTTTTCTCTAAACTTCCCTTCTTGCTTCATTTCATTCATTTCATCTTCCATCACTGATACCCTTTCTTCCAGTTGATTGCATCAGCTCCTGAGGCTTCTGCATTCTTCACGTAGTTCTCGAGTCTTGGCTTTCAGCTCCATCAGCTCCTTTAAGCACTTCTCTCTATTGATTATTCTAGTTATACATTCATCTAGATTTTTTTCAAAATTTTCAACTTCTTTGCCTTTGGTTTGAATTTCCTCCTGTGGATTGTAGTAGATTGATCGTCTGAAGCCTTCTTCTCTCAACTTATCAAAGTCATTCTCCATCCAGCTTTGTTCCGTTGCTGGTGAGGAACTGTGTTCCTTTGGAGGAGGAGAGGCACTCTGCTTTTTAGAGCTTCCAGTTTTTCTGCTCTGTTTTTTCCCCATCTTTGTGGTTTTATCTTCTTTTGGTCTTTGATGCTGGTGATGTGCAGATGGGTTTTTGGTGTGGATGTCCTTTCTGTTTGTTAGTTTTCCTTCTAACAGACAGGACCCTCAGCTGCAGGTCTGTTTGAGTTTGCTAGAGGTCCACTCCAGACCCTGTTTGCCTGGGTATCAGCAGCGGTGTCTGCAGAACAGAGAATTTTCATGAACCGTGAATGCTGTTGTCTGATCGTTTCTCCGGAAGTTTTGTCCCAGAGGAGTACCCGGCTGTGTGAGGTGTCAGTCTGTCCCTATTAGGGGGTGCCTTCCAGTTAGGCTGCTCGGGGGTCAGGGGTCAGGGACCCACTTGAGGAGGCAGTCTGCCCATTCTCAGATCTCCAGCCGCGTGCTGGGAGAACCACTGCTTTCTTCAAAGCTGTCAGGCAGGTACATTTAAGTCTGCAGAGGTTACTGCTGTCTTTTTGTTTGTCTGTGCCCTGCCCCCAGAGGTGGAACCTACAGAGGCAGGCAGGCCTCCTTGAGCTGTGGTGGGCTCCACCCAGTTCGAGTTTCCCAGCTGCTTTGTTTACCTAAGCAAGCCCGGGCAATGGCGGGCCCCCCTCCCCCAGCCGCACTGCTGCCATGCAGTTTGAGCTCAGACTGCTGTGCTAGCATCAGCAAGACTCTGTGGGCGTAGGACCCTCTGAGCCAGGTGTGGGATATAGTCTCCTTGTGCGCCATTTCCTAAGCCCATTGGAAAAGCGCAGTATTCGGGTGGGAGTGACCCGATTTTCCAGGTGCCGTCTGTCACCACTTTCCTTGACCAGGAAAGGGAACTCCCTGACCACTTGTGCTTCCCAAGTGAGGCAATGCTCGCCTTGCTTCAGCTCGTGCATGTTGCGCTGCACCCACTGTCCTGCACCCACTGTCTGGCACTCCCTAGTGACATGAACCTGGTACCTCAGATGGAAATGGAGAAATCACCCATCTTCTGCGTCACTCATGCTGGGAGCTGTAGGCCAGAGCTGTTCCTCTTCGGCTGTCTTGACTCCCCCCCCCACCTTTTTTTTTCTTTTGAGAAGGAGTCTCGCTCTGTCACCCAGGCTGGAGTGCAGTGGCTCAATCTCCACTGACTGCAAGCTCTGCCTCCTGGGTTCAGGCCATGCTCCTGCCTCAGCCTCCCGAGTTGCTGGGACTACCTGTAAATTTAATTTGTATCTTTGTTTTCAAAAAGGATCTACAGATGGTGTTTTCTTTCAGTTTGTGCATGAGAAATTTTACCTACAGTTATATCTGAAGTATACTTGGACTGGACAACTTTCTTCCTTGTATAAGTATTACTTTATTTTACTATGGTACTAGCCCATTTGTTCCTGTTTTCTGTTTATGGTAGAATGGCCAGGTTTTGCCATTGCGTGGTACATAGTGCCCCCTGCCCTTCCTCCCAAAAAACACACACACTCACACAGAGTTTATTTTTCTCAGAATTATATAGACATTGCTTTGTTAGCTTCATACACTAAGTTTAGTAGGGAGACATTTGGTAGCAATCATATTTTCTTTCCCATAATCAGTTTGCCTTTTTTACCTGGATGCCTGAAAAATGATAGTTTTCCCTTTGGAGTTCAGAAGCAGAAGATACATTCCAGTGTTGCTTGTTCTTTTCAGTTATTCCTAGAACATAACCTGCCCTTTGTTTATTTGTTTATAGTTTTTTCTGTTTAATTCCTTGATAGTTCTTTTTTTTTTTTTTAGACAGAGTCTCATTCTATCACCCAGCCGGAGTGCAGTGGTGCAATATCAACTCACTGCAACCTCTGCCTCCCAGGTTCAAGTGATTCTCCTCTCTCAGCCTCCCAGGTAGCTGGGATTATAGGCATGCACCACCATGCCCAGCTAAGTTTTGTATATTTAGTAGAGACAGGATTTCTCCATATTGGCCAGTCAGGTCTTGAACTCCTGACCGCAAGTGATTCTTGATATTTCTAGTTTATTTCTTAACTTTATGGTTTTTTTTTCATATTTTACATTTTTGTTTTTAACTCTCTTCTATCCCCTTTCATCTCATTTCATTGTCTTACTATCTTGTCTTCATGCTCTTATATATAATTGTACTAGCAGGAAATAGAACATGGACCACATATATATCTCTTGTCACACATGTTTTTATTTACCATAAAATTGATGGGTATTACACACATACTGATTTGAATAAGTCCTTTTCCAATATTTTCACATTCCTCTTAAGTCTCTAAACAATTAACTTTTATTATTACATGAAATTTTACATGCTTAATGATCATACTTTTATGACACTTAAATTATCTTTGTTCACAGGATTTCCTACTGGAGACCAATTTATACATTTTCTTTATATTTAGAGTATTAATATTCACACAGCATTTTCTCTGACCTGTGCATATTTCTCTCCTTATTCCATTCAGTTAGTAAATTCTCATTAAACTATGATTAATGACCTAGAGAGAGACCTTGTGTACACATATCGTATGTTCTCTAATTTATATCCTGACAAATAATATTTGTTAACCTAATCCAAGAGAATTATGGAAGATAATAGACAGCATCAAAATTTGCCTTTGATACAAATAAACAAAGAACAGTTAAATAAAGCTCCTCTGTAAGATTCCTGTAGCAAATCCACACTACTCTAAGATGAACTTCATTTAATTATGTGTTGCAATTTCTTAGATGCAGATTCCAGTGCTTAATCTGGAAATAGTAGGTTGGATTCTAGTGGCTGGACACACCGTAGAAAAATGTAGAGAATACCTTCTGTCTTTGGATCTCTTAAAAATTTTGTCAGTATGCCAGAAGAAATTTGAAATGTTCAAGGGTAAACTTGTAACAGTGGAAAAAAGACACAAATTACTTAACTCTTATTGAGTATGTATTGGGGGCCAACTATGCACAATAGTCTCTAGATCTTTGTGTGTGTTACTTCATATAATATTCATAATGTAACCTGTATTATTTCAAGATTATATACCTGTCCATAAACCTTGAGTGCAAAGATGAATATATTTGTTTCTATGATCCCCAAAATAATCATAAAAAACATTTTTGAATTCTTACCAAAAAGGAAAAAAATGAATATCCATACAAAACAACTCTCATATCGACTAGAAGATCTAAATTGTTGGGCTAATTATGATCATTCTCCTTTTCTGGTCATTGGGAACACATGCTTCATAACTGTTCTAGCTCACTGTCTTTGTTTATTATTTGTATTTACGTCTGCCCCAGTAGTTCAGTAAGTAATGAAGATAAGGAAGCACGGCTTCTGTTTTCCTGTCTCTCAAAGTTCAAGAGTGTGGCAGTTGGCATATAGATAATTAGAATAACATATGAATAGAGGATCCAAACTTTATCTGACTCTTGACTCATGCTCTTTTTTCGTAGGTGAAGAATTATGAACTGAGTTGATTTCATTATATATGATGCAAACTAAGTCTTTGTGATTTCCAAGTTACCAAGCAGGAAACAAATATTTCTACTTGGAAATCTCAGCCCTGAGGCAGTGGCCAGTGATTTTGGTAACTAAGTATTTTCTTTCAGTGCGTATAATGTGTACGTTTTGTTGAAAGAAGAAAGTTGGCAAATACTACACAATTGTCACAAATCTGTTAGCATATTTCTTTGATTACTTAGATTTGAAACTAAATTTAGAACTTCAAAACTCAGTGAAGTAAAACACATCTAACAGCTAACAGAAAAATGAACTGTAAAAGAGAGTACGAGAAAAAGCCTTGAGAATTGATGATGCTTTAAATGCTTGTAAAGTTTCTTTTTAATTACTTAGCTGCAAATTTGTCATAACTCAATAATGACACCATGACTTTTCTTCTAAGCTTTAAAGTTCTTAAATTGAAAAGTAATTTTAGGACAGCCAATTCATGTTATTTTCACATTTTATAAATGATTAATAACTAACAAACATCTTTATCTTATACCTACAATTGCAATTCAAAACTTGAAATTATACTTTTTCTAGCTAGTATTTCTACCATTTTCCTTTTGTTAATTAATCTAAGAAAAGAACAGGCATTTAATTGTATTTAACTTGTAATGAAGTACTGTTGCTTTGTCATCCATTAAATTTGCAATATCAGAAAGATTATTGTCACTACCAAACAATAGTATTTGGTGCTGCACACATTCTCATAGTATAAAAACTTTCTGTCCATTTTATTTATTTTTTTAATTCTGGTAAAATGCAAATAATATAACATTTGCTGTCTTAACTCTTACATATATTTTAATTCAACATTGTTTGGGAAAAAGAACCATGTGAGACTGTGGAGAATAATTTACGTTGAAATTGTAGTTATCCTGGGATTACTCAGATATTCCCTTGTGAAGTTATGTTTTGAGTCTTCAGTGGCATTTCCAGTCATCATCAACATGAGAATCATAGACTAAAATTAGTGAACTAGCTATCTTTTTGGAAAAGAGTTAGAAACATTTGTCCTCCCAATCTCCCACCTCCCATTAGAGACTTTGATAATGGTGAGGTGGTTTTCTTTTCTTTTCTGTTTTCTTTTCTCTGCTGTTCTTTTTTGTTTTCTTTTCTCTTTTTTCCTTTTTTTTTTTTTTGTTTTTTTTGTTTTTTTAAGATGGAGTCTCTGTCATCAGGCTGGAGTGTAATGGTGCAATCTCAGTTCACTGCAACCTCCACCTCCCGGGCTCAAGCAATTCTTCTGCCTCAGTATCCTGAGTAGCTGGGATTACAGACATGTGCCACTGCACCCAGCTAATTTTTGTATTTTTAGTAGAGACAGTGTTTCACCATGTTGCCCAGGCTGCTCTTGAACTCCTGACCTCAGGTGATCCACCCGCCTCGGCCTCCCAAAGTGCTGCCACCCAGGATTACAGATGTGAGCCACCATGCCTGGCCTTGTTTTGTTGTTTAATTAATATACCTCTACCATTGTGTGAAATACTCTGGTTAATATCGCAAATCTTTCACCATGTCTTTCCTAGATAACCCCCTGTCTCCAGGGTACCTAGGTGCCACCAGACACCTATCTGACTAAAGAGTCATGCTCATTTAGCAGTGAGGAGTAGCTGGCAGCATGCTGCCAGGTTTAGTAAGTGTAACCTGGTGGTAGGGAGTTATATTCAACTACTGTTGAGAAGCAGCAGCAATACATGGGCAGGACTTACCAGGTGTTTTCCAGGTGTTGCCAAGGCATTACCAGGCAATGGTAGGGATGACCCAGTGTTACCCAGGTGTCATGATGGTGCAGAGCCATATTTAGTCATCAGGGAGGAGCAGCAGGCAGCACACAGGCGAGTGTTCCCAGGTATCGTCCAGGTGTCACCCAGGTGTTTCCAGATGTTACCAGTAATGAGCCCTGGTTAGGGATCACTGTGGAGCATCATGCAGAATGCTGGTAGTGAGCTGCATGATGTTCCTATTCTCCCCCTGGACTTGTGTTCACCAAAGCCACCACATTTATTTCTTATATTCCTAAACCTGTTGTGACATCACATAAACAGAAATTGTCCTCCTTGCTCATCTTCCACTTCCAAAGTTGGGGAACCATGGCATTTGCATTGGTTCAGGTAGCCTGAATTGTTGTCACAAATGGAGCTTGACATGTACAATTGTTCAAAACATGCATACTTGCTTTTTTGCCCATGGAGCACTTTAAGGCACAATTCCCGGCAGGGTGCTGTCTTCCTCCATGTGGGCAGACAGTATCCTGGCATCTCTCCTCTTGTGGCCCCACCAGTCTCTACAGCTGTGGCACCACCCACATCTTGCTAATAAGAACATGGGGGTGCCACCCCCTACCACCTGCAAGCCTTGGTCCACAGTGGCACAGAAGTTTGCTGATTACATTCCATTCATGACAACATGGCCACCCCTAGGTAGAAGAAAGGCAGTGAAATTTAACCTGGCTGTGCACAGATGTTCCACATGAAAATGCATTTTGATAGGAGAAAATGCCTCTTTGATGGGATAAAAGAAAGCAAACACATCTATTTTGTCAAACATTCAAGAAGACTTCATGTGTCTTTAATGGAATAGTAGTTATCATGGAAAGCGTCTCCCATAAGGATAAAAGGAGGCTTGGGGTAAAAGTTAAAGTTATGGTGTTCATCTTTTCTGCTATCTTCTATAAAACAAAAAGGTAGTTAAGGTTAGGGCTGGGGCTTGTGGAGCTGTCTTGACTGTTGTCTTCCTTAAAGAAAAAAGAGGGCAAGAGCACAGAGAGCATCCTTCCTCTTTCTTTCCCTGGGTGGGGCAGCTTTTAGAAGTCTCAGCAACTCCTCCATTCCATGGCAGAAAGAAGCCATTATCTTCTGATTGCAGGGATAACCAAATGCTTTTTCCAACCATTTTTTCCTAATGAAAAAGAGGCATTTGAAAAATGGCTCTTTGACATTACTAACACTTTTTAAATAATACATTCCTCTAATAAGTCCAGGGCACGCTATTCTCACTAATGGTTGATAGATTCTGGGCTCAACCAAAATGTCCTCAGCAAGATGCTGTTCAAATCCCAACTATTTTACAGATAACATAGGTGTGGGCTGATTTTTAAACCAGATTCACATTCTTTTACTGCACAACTGATTGACAATTTCATATTCACAATAAAGACTGGAAATTATTGAAATATGTTCAATTAGGAGGCCTAGACAACTGTACTATATAATACCAACAAATATGTTACCATTGTGAGAACTGTAAAGTTTTACAGAACTACTGTTATTTTGATGAATATTAATATATATGAAAAAATAACCAGGTGTGAAGGCTCATGCCTGTTATCCCAATGGCTTTGGGAGGCTTAGGCATGAGGATTGCTTGAGGCCAGGACTTGAGACCACCCTAGGCAACATAGCAAGACCTGATCTCTATGAAAAATAAAAATTAGCTTGGGATGGTGGTTTGTGCTTTTAGTTCTATTTTGCTGGGAGGCTGAGGCAGGAGGATTCCCTGAGACTGGGATTTCAAGGCTGCAGTGAGCTATGATTGCACCACTGCACTCCAGCCTGGTGATAAGGCGAGACCTTATCCATAAAAAAAAAAAAAAAAAAAAGAAAGAAAGAAAAAATTAGGGAGAGCGGCTTGTTATAAAATGAAAATACATGTAGTCTATATAATCCAAAAAGGACCCTCAAGTTGTACTGAACAGGTTATTTATAATCAGTTTTTTTGACAAACATCTTGGAACCAAGGTGGAATATGTGATCTGTGAATGTGAGTGCATATACACAGTGTGTGTGTGTTGCATACAACATAAAATAACCACTCATGGATTATATTCCTTTGAGGAATCAGCATAAATTGTCACTTTGATAGGAGAAAACCAATATATGTATTTTGTCAAACATTCAAGCAAAAGCTTGATGGGAAAAAAATGTATAACTTCCTTTCAGATGCCTTGGAAATCAGACTTTGTGTCTTTAATGGAATATTTTTAAAAAATTCTTTTTTGACTTAGCCTCTTTTCCCCAAGGAGAACTATGAATGCTTTACCAGTTGTGAGTTCCTCAAATACACCCTGTTGGTGAAGCAGGGGGACTGTCCAGCTCCTGAGAAAGCCAGTGGATTTGCGGCCGCCTGCGTTGAAAGCTGCGAAGTTGACAGTGAGTGCTCTGGGGTAAAGAAATGTTCTTTGAATGGGTGTGGACCCACCTATCAAGTACCCAAGACTCTGTACAAAGATAAGGGGCATTACTGGGGGTGTGAAGAGACATGCAGTGCCACAGAAATCTGTGTGTGCCTAGGGAAGGGTGTCCATTGTAAGTGTGAAAAGTCCACAAAACATAAAATCTTAAGAAAATGTATTTTATATCATATACAGACATCTTAACATATTCATGGACCCATAAATATTAGCCATATTAACTGGACTTGGGGTAAAGCAAGTCATTCATATTAATTCTTTTTAATTTGACATATGCGATGGACAGCAACAATTCAGGAAGGTTTTTGTCTTTATTTGTCTTTTCTCTAGTCAGACTGATTCAAGTAAGCTCTACTGGGTACATTGGAGTAATAAATTGATTGAAATCCCTGGAAAATAGGCTGGGAGATACACACTTGAAAAATACACTATAAATATAATGGTGTTGTGCTTTTTCTGCTGACAGAATCCAAGAACACTAGTGTCATTGTACAGATCTTAAATATTTTGATTAGTACCTTGAGATTCTAGACAATGGAGTTCAATTTATCAAACAGCTTAGCAGATGCAATAGTTTATATTCAAAAGCCATTTCTAGAGCACTTAGCTCCTTAATATCAAGTGCTACTTGTCATTTTCTGTAAGTGGGACTAAGCTCTTTTTTTTTTTTTTTTTTCCTGAGATGGAGTCTCACTCTGTTGCCCAGGCTGGAGTGCAGTGGCACGATCTGGGCTCTCTGCAAGCTACACCTCCCAGGTTTAAGCGATTCTCCTGCCTCAGCCTCCTGAGTAGCTGGGACTACAGGCACCCACCACCATGCCTGGCTAATTTTATGTATTTTTAGTGGACATGGGGTTTCACTGTGTTAGCCAGGATGGTCTCGATCCCCTGACCTCATGATCCACCCTCCTCAGCCTCCTAAAGTGCTGGGATTACAGGCATGAGCCACCGTGCCTGGCCTAACCTCTTTTTTTTTCTAGTTGAGATGGTGTCTTGCTGTGTCTCTCAGGCTAGAGTGCAGTGTGCAGTGGCACAGCCTCAGCCCACTGCAGCCTCCCCATCCCAGGTTCCAGAGATTCTCCTGCCTCAGCCTGCCAAGTAGCTGGGACTACAGGCATGCCCCACCATACCCGGGTAAGTTTTGTGTGTGTGTGTGTGTGTGTGTGTGTGTGTGTTTTGTTTTTGTTTTTTTTGTTTTTTTTTTTCAGTAGAGATGGATTTCACAATGTTAGCCAGGCTTGTCTTGAACTCCTGACCTCAAGTGATCTGCCCGCCTCAGCCTCCCGAAGTACTGGGATTACAGGTGTGAGCCACCACATCTAGCCAGGACTAAGGTCTTTTAAAAGCCAAGCTGATTCCATTGTATTATGTATAGTTTGAGATACAATCAAAATACACTATGTCATATAACGTTTTGTTAATTTTTTGGGTCTCATAAAGAGTAATATAGAGCAGCAGTCCCCAGCCTCTTTGGCAACAGGGACTGGTTTCTTGGAAGACAATTTTACCTTGATCGGGAGAGGGGGCAGGGGATGGTTTGGGATGATTGAAACACATTACATTTATTGTCCATTTTATTTCTATTATTATTACCTTGTAATATGTAATAAAATAATTATACAACTCACCGTAATATAGAATCAATGGGGGCCCTGAGCTTGTTTTCCTGCAACTAGATGGTCCTATCTGGGGGTGATGGGAGACCATGATAAATCATCAGGTATTAGATTCTCATAAAGAGCACACAACCTAGATCCCTCACATGTGCAGTTCACAATAGAGTTTCCGCTTCTGTAAGAATCTAAAGCTACTGATGATCTGACAGGAGGTTCATGTGGTAATGTGAGTGATGAGAAGAGGCTGTAAATATGGATGAAGCTTTGTTCACTCACCCACCACTCATCTCCTGCTATGTGGACTTGTTCCTAACAGACCACAGACTGTTAGACCACTACTCAGAGGCCCAGGGGCCGGGGACCCCTAATATAGAGTCAGTCAGCAGGCAGTATTCATTAAAGTACAGAGATTAATAGATGCCTTTCCCTCTTTGTGTCTTTCACACACATATGCCAAATCCATATTGTTTCTAAATACTGGTAGTCTTTTAAAAAATGTGTGTAAAGCAGTATTCATCAATACCAGCTTTGAGTTATGTGCTGACTGCCTATTTTTGGAAGTCCGTGTTACTCTAACACTCATTCACATCTCTTAGAAGTTAGGTATTTATCCCATCTTCTTTTAGCTCTCACTTGGGAATATTCTTCTCTGAAATCTATGTAATTCATCCAGTGTTTTTTCTTTATTATTGGAAACATGCCATAAGTAGTGTGTCTCACATTCTAAATAATCGCTGCTTTTCTCTTCTTACCAAGTAATATTTCTTTAATAGTTTTAAAGTTTTATTGTGTTCATGCCTCTTTCTTTAAACTACAGCAAATCACTTTTGCAAAATTTAAAACCATCTAACTTCTAAAGCATCTGTCATTATGAAATCTTATTTGTCATTAAAGATTATGCTATGTATGAGTAGCATTCACCATAAAAATAGGATGCTTTTGGAATGGTCTTTTTAAAACCAGTTGTAAAACCTGTAGTGTTTTAAAGAGATAATATAAATTAAAATATGCATGTTTATAAAAGGATTGAAGAGTTAGTAGGAATTTCAATTCTGCCTGTTTCACTTGAAAATAAAGGGAATAGTAGAAAGGACCGGAATAAATGATTAAGTATAAAAAGACACTTTCAGTGTAAAACTACATTTAACAAAACTGGATGGACTTTTGTTAAAGTACTGAAGTCACTCTTCTACAACAAATTAGCTCTTAGATTTTTGTGGTGAGAGAGAGAGAGATAATCGATGGGAATCAGCTACAAATAGAATAAACAGACTGTTGACCTGACAATGACTTTTGCTTAATGAAGACCATCAAGTCAATAGATTGTTGTTTTGCAAAAAAGATATATATGTGCAGGTAGATATTTTTCTCTTGCTTTCTTCAGCAGCCCCTCAAGGAAGGCTGGTTTTCATGTCCTAGGACCTTTGACAGTGGCTCTGAATACGTTAGTTTGTGTAAAACGAGGGCAAATAGAGCCCATAGCAACTCCTTCACCATCTTAGCTAATGAGCCACTTGAAGTCCCTGTTGCCATTCCCAACCTGGAGTCCAGCTGCTTCTTCACTCTCAGAAGAGGAGAGGAGGTCAGATATCCCCAAGCCCCAGGGAATATGTCCATTCCAACCCATCGCTTGGCTTTGCGAGGTGAAAACCTGTGCGCAGTCATCACAGAAACCAATCTTGCAATCTTAGGATACTCGTGATCACTGTCTTTCCTACTTCCAAGATGCCTTCTTATTGCTCCAAACAAACTAATGTGAAATAAGATTCCCCCTTTCTCTCTGTCTCTGCTAGGTCTGTGTAATTGCTTTCCTTGATAAGAGTGAGAGTCATGGTGTGTTGAGATTAACTAGTCCTGCTCTCTGTTCACAGCTGCTGAAACTGTTGCAGGCTATGCCTAAGTGATTTTGGTAGTAGGTAGCAGAAATAGATTTAACATCTGTTCTTACTTGGGCTAGCTCTCCTGTCATTTTTAGTTTGAATCTATGGAGCCCTAATAAAAACATTCACTGAGCATCATTGCATTATTATATGATAGGCCAACTAAGGTCTGGTACAGTGGCTCACCCCTTTAATTCCAGCACTTTGTGAGGCTGAGGCAGTAGTTCAGGAGTAGCCTGAGCAAGATGGCAAGACATTGCCATCTCTGCAAACATAATAAAATTAAACAGGCATGGTAGCATGTGCCTGTAGTCATAGCTACTTGGCAGGCTGAGATGGAAGGATCACCTGAGCACAGGAATTCAAGGTTACACTGAGCCATGATCATGCCACTGCACTCTAGTCTGGGCAACAGAGTGAGACCTTGTCCCAAAATATATCTATATCTATTACATATCTGTCTCTCTAATAGGCCAACTAAAAGATTTGTCAATATAGAATATTTTTAATCTAAAAAATTACTACTTTCTGAATCATTTTAGGCTAGTGAATAATGTGGGATTGTTTTACATTTTAGAGATGAAGTGTATAAAACTAGACACAGAGTGTGCTATATGGAGAACCAAATTCTATGGGACAGATTGAAAACCTGAAGTTCCTTCTTAGCTTCTCATTCATTAATTAACATGTATTAAAGTGTTGTTGAATAGTGCTGTTTGGAGATTCAAAATAACATTTTCTTAACATTTTCCATGGTTTACATTTGTTTGTTTGTTTTTTTGAGATGGAGTCTTGCTCTGTCACCCAGACTGGAGTGCAATGGCACAGTCTTGGCTCACTGCAACCTCTGCCTCCTGGGTTCAAGTGATTCTCTTGCCTTAGCCTTCTGAATAGCTGGGATTACAGGCACACACCACCACACATGGCTAATTTTTTGTATTTTTAGTAGAGATGGGGTTCCACTATGTTGGCCAGGCTGGTCTCAAACTCCTGACCTTTTTATCTGCCCACCTCAGCCTCCCAAATTGCTGGGATTGTAGGTGTGAGCCACCATGCCCACCCACTGGTTTACTTTTAAAAGGGGCTGCTGTCACATGCATGGAGAAGTATTGGCACATTTCAGTTGAATACATGTTCATGGAGTGCCTACAATTTGCTGTCATCTGTAATTGGCATTGGGGTGCAAGTATACATGTGACACCAGCCTCCACATGGTCCAGTAGTTTATTACTGAGATTGTCATTAGCACAATACTCTTTAAGTGGGCAAATTGTTTTCCTAACCTTTAAATATATTGTCATTTACCAACCTCTGTACTGTGTTTACTTTTATTACTTATTGAATTAATATTTAAAAATATTTTTAAATTATAAAAACCCATACATACTTTCTGTTTAGTCTGCTGTATTTGTCAAAGGGTAAATGGAAAGTACTGATTTTATAGCTTCAAGAGCTTTATATACTGGTCTCTTGAGTTTTTAAAAGCAATGAGTGTCTTGAAATGATGATCAACAAAATTTCATATTATATATGTGTGTGTGTATGTATGTGTGTGTGTATATAAACATATACATATTTTTTGAGACAGAGTCTCACTCTCGTTGTGCAGGCTGGAGGGCAGTGGCACAATCTCAGCTCACTGCAACTTCAGCCTCCTAGGTTCAAGTGATTCTCCTGCCTCAGGCTCCCAAGTAGCTGGGATTATAGGCATATACCATCACACCTGACTAATTTTTGTATTTTTAGTAGAGATGGGGTTTTGCCATGTTGGCCAGGCTGGTCTTGAACTCCTGATCTCAAGTAGTCCACCTGCCTTGGCTTCCCGGAGTTCTGGGATTACAGGCATGAGCCATCGCACCCAGCCTCCTATTATATTTGAGCACTGAATTTGAGTTACACCATAAGAACCGCGCTTGACCGATGGCTGGAAGTAAGTTAATCTTCATAGACTAGTGTTATAGTTTAAAACAAACAGCAGAGATCCTTTCTTTTACTTTTTAAATAAAATTATTAGCATCAAAATGAAGGGTTGGAAATATTAACACGATTGGAGATGCCTGCTGGTACTAGTTCTATGAAATGCAAACCTTCATATAGTTGTAGAAAGTTTAAAAGGCTTATCTTCTACAGGTAGAACACAAATGAGTGCATTTGGGGGCACTTCCTTTTTCCTTTCTATTTCTATTACTTTCTAAATCTATTTTATGGCTTGGTGAGACAATCTTTCTTCTAGAGGGTGTGTGTTTTACTATTTTGCTGCCAAATCCCATGGCCTCCCTTGGCTTCTAACTGTGGCAAAAATGGTTTGGGCAGGGAGAGAGAAAAGTTAAAAAATTTTACAAATATAAAGATTGAGACTAATTTGTGGCTTGCAGTTATGTATATCTTCCTTTGATGTCAATCTGTTTATTTTCAAACAGACCTGATCATAGAGTTTATTTAATATTTCCACAAATAATCAATATGTAAAATATTTAAACTTCATTTGTATAAATAGATTCAGTTGTATAATGAACCCAATTGTATAAGTGGATTTATACAACTTCTCACAAATAAATTTTCAACAATTTTGAATTAAGTGGCCCAATACCTTAATGTGTTATAAATACAAATTCTAGGTTCTAATTACCTTTATAAGAGATATCAAGTGGTGATTAAATCACTATAACAATAGATCTTGCTACATTTTAATATCATTTAGACTCATGATAAAAAATTAATAGTAATAGTAAAATCTCACAGTGAGTATGCAACTGTGGATTGCTTATCCTAATTGATTTTTCTATTCATATATTTTCAGCATTTTAAAAAAGCATTGGCTTTCTGCTCTTGATTTCACAGAATTTTTTTTGCATTTTAAAGAAAAAAAAGTGGATGTTACATATTGCACATGCCATATAATAATGTCTGTAAATTTTTCAACAGAATAGTTTAGATTTCAGATGACTAATTTGTCCAAAAATAATTTTAAAGAGAAAAATGCTAATCATTTACATAATAGAAAATATATTGAGAAGAGATCCAGTCTACACATCTGGTTATGCAGTTGGGATGCTGGTTAGCCATTGAGTACTGTGTGTACTGGCAGTGAGGGCTGGAGGTCTTGAGAGGGGCTGAGCCTCATCTGCTCACAATTCTAGCAGAGTGCCAGAGCTACTTCCAATCAAAGGAGCCAACTGACCTTATTGCAAAGCAGGTGGACCATTTCTTAACATGCGTATTTCAGGGTCATGCTTCATTATAATTAAAGAGATTTTTAAATGAAGAAATTTGAACAGACATCACCCTTGTGCTCAATACATTTGTTTAAGGCTGTTGGTCTGTAAGTGCCATTCAAGATTAAAACCTTACTGCGAGGGGATTGGGCTGCTTGGGCTGGCTTCTGGTGAGTTAAGGTTTCTTCATAGGCTAGAGTATTTACTGTAGCTGTATTTACTCTAGAGGATTACACACGGGAAAGACAAAGAGCAAAGTAAATTCTGAAATCTCAGAGAATGTGCTCTATTAGTTTGAAGAACTGGTCATCTTTTTTTTTTTACTGTACACCAAAGAATCAAGGAAATAATGAAATGTTATCTGAGGCTACTATCTCTCTTCTTATCCACATACCCTTTCTGTAGAACTATTTGTCTGGCATCTGCTGGCCAACCTTCAATGCAAGAATGATACTAAATGATCACTTTGTTAAGATTTGTTTTTCATCACTCTGAACAAATTTTGATGGCTTTTTTCTTGACACAAAATATAGAGAGCTACTTCTATTAAAACCAATAATCAATTAACTTTGGGATTTCTATCCTATCAGGAATTGATCTTTTATTTATTTTTGTAATGAGTTAGTCTATGGTCAATGCAATAAAAATGTTCTATCTTGTAAACATTTTGGCATTGCTTTATTTTCTCTTATTTATTTTTTGTAAAAAGCAGAGCGAATGTACGTGTGAGTAACAGGACCACGCTGGAAAAGAGATCTGAGCTGCTTGAAACAATATATGATAAATACGGCAGTACAAAATAACTATGATAAATCTTCACCCTTCCCTTGGTGACTTTCAAGCAGAGTAGGGATTATCATTTTTGCAATGGTTAGCATAAATATTGCACTAGTCTCTTATTTCCACATATTCTTGAAGGAAGAGTAAGAAAGTAAGTTTTGCTATTTGTTCAGCAAATATAGGCTGTTCATTGAACATTTGCTATTGCAGAAGTTTCTCTTCTGGGACATTGTGAGGTGTGGGAATGAAGGAGACATGGTTTTTGACCTATGGGGGCTATGGCTTAATGGGAAAACTGGCATCATTAAATGACTTTGCTGCAGCAAGAAGCAGTTAAACGCATGTCTTGACAGTTAGAGGTTCAGCATTGAAGGGGTCAAAAGAATAAAGCCTTTATTTCTGACTGAGAAATTTAGGGGATGTGTCACAGAGTGGTGGCATTTTTTCTGAGCCTGGAAATATTCAAGGTCTTTAGTTAGAAAGCAGAAGGCAAGACATTTCAGAGTGAAAAAAAAATAAACACCACAAACAGCCCATGGTTTTATGAAGTACCTGGCAATGTGTTTCTAGGAAAGCTGGGTTTGTAGATAATATCTGTGACAAAAATTAAACAGATACTTGGAGGTAGACTGACAAATAAAATGGTAGCCAATCATGAAGATGGATGCCTTGAAGGGGATGTCAAGAAGTTTCTCTTCATTCTATAGAGAATAGGATACAATGAAAGAGTTTGGGAAACTGAAGGAGAGAACCTCACTTCTACTTTAGAAAAATAACCACAAAGTACCAATAAGGGGTCATTAGTGAAAGAGATTCAGGTGCAGGGAAATAGGTTGAAAGGCTGTTGTGAAGGTCGGAACAAGGAGGGGAGTAAAGTTGGGTGACCACCATGGCGACACAATGATTTGTAGATTCTTGAAAATGTATTATGCAATAAAACAACTAAATGTTGTTAGCTTCAAGAACATATCAAAAAGATTCTAAGATCCCTTAGCCATTCTAAAGAATAAAGTTGTCATAAAGATAGATATCCCAGTAGAAGGGACATATCTGGAACAGAAAAATTCAGCAGGCAGGTGGAAAAGATGGTCTGCAGCTTAGCCAGGGATTAGGGATAGACTGGAGAAACATTTGCTTAGTAGCAATAAGCTAATCATCCAAGTCAAGGTACCCCCATTGCTATGATTATGCACTGAGAAGAAAAGTTTAGGATACAAGCTTGAAAGAAATGCATGTCATGGCAGAACAGGAGTCAAAGATTGACTTGGTGAAGTCCCAGATCCACCAAGAAAGCTGAGGATCTTAGAAGAAAAATATCCAAAGGATTTGCATATCTATCAAAACCACTTCTATCTTCTGTCTCTCTGTGTGGCCTTTTCTATTATGAAATGTAGAAAGAAGCAGGTATTTCAGAGAGAAAACTGAGATCAGATCGTAGCCCCAGGCAACTTATTTAATCTTCCTTAGACTCAAATATCTCCCATTCAATAAGTAGATAATTAAGCTTTTACCCACTTCACAAATTCCCAGTAAGGATCAGGAGAGACAAATTTATTGTAAATTAAAGGTTGCTACTCAGCCATGACCCATCGGCAATAAAAAAGGAGAATGCAGTAAGTATGGTAAACATTTTCTCTAAAAAATATTTTTTGAAAATCAGCGACTTTGACCATATATAAATATGCTTTTTAAAAATTATTCAACTCCATCCATCTAAATCTTTGATGACTTTAAAATTTTTCTAAACCAGGCTTACCGTGAATTAAGATCCAAATGAAAGAGGAGTTGAAATTCAGCCATGTCACCAGCATGTATCAAACATTATTTGCATTTTGTGTTTGCACATTTTCCAGTTTCTTCTGCGTTTAAACTTACAAAATAGAAGAAGAAATCAAGCATTGTTAAATAGCCTTTCAAATGAGTTTTCAGTGCTTTCAGCAAATGACCATTGTGGACAGAAAATGATATTAATGGTAATTGGTGTTCTTGTTGTTGATGGCATTCACCATCATGGTGACATAGATTCTATCTTATTGAGTTAGTTTTGCATATTCTATTAGTATTACCAATTTCTTAACAAATTCCCTTTCGGAAATGTCTGCTATTTTGAACTGTGGTTCTTCAATATATCAATTACCAGACAACTTGCATGTACAGAAGGTGAGTAAGAAATCAGAATGATTAACTACTTTAAAATGAGACATCTATGAGAAACTTTTGGAGCAGTGCACTCACTCATGCAAAATCCAAACATTATAAATTCATTATTTTCCATTAAGACTATGGTGGAGTGCTTGAGCAGTCATTGCAGAATCTAAAAGACTTGAGCTTTGAAAATCACTCAGGAGATTTCACATGAAGAGATTTCACTTTGCAGTGTTTTCTTTCCTTAAATGGAAAACTCCCTGAGAAAGAAGGAAGATTAAATCTGGAAACCATGTTATAATGACCTTAGAATGTATCAGTAGACACAGAGCATATTAAAAAATGGGAAAATGACTTGAAATGCTTTATAGTGATCTCATAGTGTGAATTCCATGTTAACCTCAAGTGAAACAACCTTGTAACATGATTTATTCAGAAGAATGCACATGAAATGACTGTGTAGAGATTACCAAGGAATAAATCACTTGTTCAGAATCAGGAATCAGTTTATACTCTCTAAAAAAAAAAAAAAAAAGAAAAGTTAAAACAAAAAGGAGCAAATAGCTGAATGGAGTGTCAGAAGACTTCAGAAGTGAAACCCTGTATGAGTATGAAGAGGCCACTTTTATGAAAGGAAATCTCAGTTGTCATCAGATCGGATTCATCTCTTCCAGATTTGTTCTTCCTCAGCTTATACTTTGAGTCACATGCAGATTGTTTTAATTGATATTGTCCTGTTTCAGGTGTCCCCCTGAAGCCCAGAGAAGGGTTACAATTTACAGAATTGCCGTCTGGACAGCTGGAGGTAAGTGGTCCTCCAAATTCCATATTCCTATTGAGCCTGTGATGTTTGTGGTACAAAGAAGGTGGAATTATGGAATCCATCCTAGAGAAGACAATGTCACTCATTGGCAGACAGTGGTACAGGTAAAAGCTTCATATAGACTTTGATTTTCATCCTGGAGGTAGTGTCTGCTACATACCTCCGCACATAAAATTAACTTGCTATGCCTCAAAATAGCTTGACTACAGAAATTACTTACTCATATACGGAATAAACAATATAAAGGTCTGCTAAAGAGAGGATGAGGTTCACAGATACAAATGAATATGCTCAGAGGCTCAACCATTGGAATAATTTCTCTGAAATATACATAGAAGGTAGATAATTTTATAATCTGTTCACATGTATTTTCTCCAAGAACCACATTTCCCTCAGCCAAACTCAAAGCCAATTAGAGTAAGGGAAATGAAACTTTATGAGGACTAATTTGATATTTAATCATCTAAATGCCTTCTCTTCTGTTTCTCCTGCCTTTATTCCTTTATCCCACCCAGACTTAAGGAGCATGAGGTAAGATTTGTATTACAAAATTACTTATTGGGACATAGCCAGCAGCCCATAAACCTTCACCAGTGATTTCTTCTTTGTCTTAGTCAGCTTAAAAACTGATACACCATCTGCATGGCAACACTCCCAGAGTTTATCTTAACACTGAGTCTTCATCTTCTGTCTTGTTGATGAGAAAAGCGAAATGTTATCTTCTTTCTTTTTACGAGCCGTTAAAAGCACAACCAGCTGCTACTTGCTGCCTCCCACCACATGCACACACACACACACACACACAGAGACACATACACACACACAAGAAACCATACATGGATGTAAAAAGTAACAGATTCTGAATATGAAACTGTTCCATGCATTTAGACAATGAAAATGCCTTCCCACATTTATGTCTATAGGAAAAAATTGTCACCTTAAGTTGATTAGGTCATTTTTTTACAAGGACTAGATTCCTATATTTTTGTTAGTAAATGAAAAATAAATGTCATTATTTAGGTGTTTGCAAGAAGAATATTTTCTAAATAGCACTATCTCAAAGGGGTTAAGCACTAAAATAAAACAATGTAAAAACCCCAAAATAAGAAGTTTGATGTAAAACAACAACAACATTAAATTAGAAAAAAAAAAAAAAACTGGTCAAATCAATTCAGTAATTCTATTCTATACTTATTTTATAAAAAAACTTTGCTTCAATAAAACATAAAGCCACTCAGAATACAGCCTGAAATTCCATTTGATTTACATGCCATACTTTCCTAAATCATGGTACAGATTCATTTGAAATTTTTCCAAATTAGTTGAAGATTTATGAAAATAACTGAAAATAAGATAATCTCTTTTGTCTTCAAAAGATTTTTGGAAAGACAAAAGCTCTTTTATTGTTGTTGTTGTTATTATTTTATCCTGTTAATGCTACATATAATACCTCCTTGTCTGCTAAACACTGTAGATACCATGCCGACTTTAAGCTTTTTAAATTCACAGCTGAAACTCTAAATGATGAAGTTGAAACTGTTTTCTCAAAGTCTGCCAAAGCAGGTAGAAAGTTACATGTAAGAGTTCATATTCTTCCTTTGTTCTCAGAAATGTTATTTTAGATATTGATGTAAACATGACAGTCGTTTTCATGTTCTTATAAGCTGAGGTTGTTATAACCTCAGTTATTATAAACAAGTGTAGGAATGTTTAAATCCAATCCTGTTTCCCTAGTTTCATCCAAAGAGCAAGTTGAGTTCAGCACCTGGTGTAGATGAAGGCACAGACTGTAGGTGGTTATTTTTTGGAATTCAAGGCAAAGGTTTTCAAGATCCTACCAATGGAAATTAAACACAGAACATTGTTGAAAGCAGGTATATAGTATGAAGACTATTAAAGTTATTTGATATCTTAAAATTGTAGCACTAGAGACAGCAAAACCTACTGATCTTCCCCAGTGTCATTTTTCCCCTTTTGGGCATTTTATTGAACAAATACATGCTAACACATTTCACCCTTTATGATCAAGACTGGTTCTTCACAGACGTTACGTGATTTACTCAAAGGTTTTTTTAAACAGTGGCTCAGGTTATAATTTACTTCCAGAAATTGTTAGTGGTCTTTAAGCATGTGGGTTGTTATAGCTATTTTTATAATTATATTTGGCATGTGAGTTAAAATATTTTCTTTCTGTAACCTGGAGGTGATTTCATCTTCTTGTCTGTAATGTAACAATGGCTACTCATAAATATTCTCTGTTGATTGAATCGCTCAAATGCTGTAATTAATCACCAGATTTACAAATAGCCCGAGCTCTTGTCATGAGATTTTGACTTCAAGAGATGTTTAATTCTTTGGGGTGAAATATAAGTGATTCCTTGATCCCTGACAGCTCTCTTCATAACTGGGCATGATAAGCAGCACTTATCAGAAGGAAGACAGGCTCAGCTGCACTGGCTGATAGGTTAGTGTATTTTTCTAAACAGATCCAACCAACATGTGAGAATAAAAGGTGACATGTTCCCTGTGCTCTGTGAGTTCAACTGACTGACATAAGACCCAACTGACGGTACCAGTTTCGAGTGGCTGCTGTGAATGTGCATGGAACTCGACGCTTCACTGCCCCCAGCAAACACTTCTGTTCTTCCAAAGGTTAGTCTTAAATACATACATACATGAATATAGATTCACTGTCACCATGTTCATATTTATGAACCCTGTCTTAAGACTCAACAGGTGGCTTTGCTGTTTTAAAGAATGGGACCAGATGTGTTTGAAGGTACTGTGCACATTTATGGTTAAGGACAACTTGAAATTTTGCCTGCAGTATGTCACAGAAGATAACATAAGGGAGTTTTTTTAAAAAACTTTGAAGTGGCGGGGGGTTTTCATTATCAACATCTGTTGAGTTTTTGGTTAAAGATATTTTGCATTAAGCACTATTCAGTTGATTTTCAAAGAGAAAGACTGAATTTAAGCTACTCTAGACAAAATAGTCTTCCTTGAAATGATTGTTAAATTGAGAGCGAATTTGACTCCTCCCTTTGCTTCATAACATTTAGAATTTAAACCCCTCCCTAGTAATTTAATCATTGCTATAATTTTGTTCAGTTCTGACAGCAATGATATTTTAAAATCTCTGTGGAAACAAATGAACAGTATGTTACATTTGCAGTTAATCTGTGACAGTTGAAGCAGGTTTATTTTCTAGTTGCGTCCATATGGCTGTGTACCTTCCAAATTTAGACATCTGCTTGACTAATTTCTAAGGATCTGGTTTCACAAATATAGATTAGTTACCTTGTTCTCCCACTAATCACAAGTTATCTTCTTATGCAGAAACTAAATTTGTTTTATTTTACATAAATTTATTGATTGTGACATTAATAAATAATGTAACTGTTTACATTTAAAAGCCTTTTAAAATGTGTGTGGGGGGGGGGCTTCTTTTTCTTTTCTTTTCTTTTTTTTCCCTCCTAAGGAGGCAAATTCATGAACTAAGCAAACTTTAAAGTGAAATTGTAAATGAAGACATCAAACCCTGTCTTAAGACTCTGTCTCCAACTGATCTGAAAATTTAATGAGGCATGTGAAATAATTAATTGTGGGTTAGTAGGCAGTGATCAATAAAAAGTTTCAGAATGCATCACCTTAAGTTTTATGGTTCAAATGGGATTCAGACGTGTTGTGGTCAAAAATGTGTTACCATCTGTTCAGTTGCCTGCAGGGTTTGGGCTGGTGCTCTATGAACAAGACTGCAAATTCAGACATCGGATGGAAGCTGTTCCCAGCCTCTAGAGACAGATGCTTAAATAATTTCCTGTAAGAGTTGTGGTGGCACCTCTTGTCTAATGAAGGTGGTTTTGCTCCCATGATTTATTATACAGCCTTGCTATTCTCATGATCTGGGCAGAGATCTTTTGGCAGGGCCAGGATCTGGGGGAGAGTAGGAAGGTCAAGCTGTTCTGACGCTTTCTGGTATATCGGAGCAACTTAATAATCTAGAATGCGAACTCTATCTCCCAAATTTAAGTGGACTTTTATTTAAGGAAAATGCAACTATTGTAGTTATCATTAAAATGTTGTTCTGTCACTGTTACAAATACACCTAAAATTCACACGTCCATGTATCTCATTGTGAGGAACATTCCAAGCTTTAGTTCTTCAAATCTTACAAACCAAAAATGTCTGCACAGAATTAACAGAAGATTCCATTATATTTTAAATATAGAAAATCCCAGAATGACAGGTTTAACATATCAGACAAAAGGTGGTAGACATTCCCTCTATGATCTCTAAAGCCAACTTAATCACTAACAAGGTGGGGCCACATCTGTTTCTCATTCTCACCAAATGTCGAAAGATCCTTACTGGGAAAAATGCTTTAAATAACTTTACTGAAATATAATTTTTATGTCATAAAATTCACTTATCTTCTGTTGTGGGAAGTCAGGGACCCCAAACGGAGGGACCAGCTGAAGCCATGACAGAAGAACATGGATTATGAAGATTTTATGGACATTTATTAGTTCCCCAAATTAATACTTTTGTAATTTCTTATGCCTGTCTTTACTGCAATCTCTAAACATAAATTGTAAAGATTTCATGGACACTTATCACTTCCCTGATCAATACCCTTGTGATTTCCTGTGCCTGTCTTTACTTTAATCTCTTAATCCTGTCAGCTGAAGAGGATGTATGTTGCCTCAGGACTATGTGATAATTGCATTAACTGCACAAATTGTACAGCATGTGTGTTTGAGCAATATGAAATGTGGGCACCTTGAAAAAAAAACAGGATAACAGCAATTGTTCAGGGAATAAGAGAGATAACCTTAAACTCTGACCGCCGGTGAGCTGGGCAGAACAGAGCCATATTTCTCTTCTTTCAAAAGCAAATGGGAGAAATATCGCTGAATTCTTTTTCTCAGCATGGAACATCCCTGAGAAAGAGAATGTGTACCTGGGGGTGGGTCTCTGAACTGCCCTCCCGGGTGTGGTTGTCTCTTTTGGTCGAGACTGCAGAGGTGAAATAGAGTCCAGTATCCCATAGTGCTCCCAGGCTTATTAGGAAGAGGAAATTCCCACCTAATAAATTTTGGTCAGACTGGTTGATCTCAAAACCCTGTCTCCTGATAAGATGTTATCAGTGGCAATGGTGCCTGAATCTTCATTAGCAATTTTAATTTCGCCTCAGTCCTGTGGTCCTATCATCTCACCCTGCCTCCACTTGCCTTGTGATATTCTGTTACCTTGTGAAGTACTTGATGTCTGTGACCCACACCTATTTGCACACTCCCTCCCCTTTTGAAACTCCCTAATAAAAACTTGCTGGTTTTTGTGGCTTGTGGGGCATCACGGATCCTACCAACGTGTGATGTCTCCCCCAGACGCCCAGCTTTAAAATTTCTCTCTTTTGTACTCTGTCCCTTGATTTCTCAAGCCAGCCGACGCTTAGGAAAATAGAAAAGAACCTACGTGATTATCGGGGCAGGTCCCCCGATAATCTTCAAGTGTACAGTTCAGTGACTTTTAGTATTTACTGACTTGTGCAACCATCACCATCATCTAATTTCTGTTTTTTCTATTTCTTTTTTTTTTTTGAGACGGAGTCTCGCTCTGTCGTCCAGGCTGGAGTGCAGTGTCGCCATCTCAGCTCACTGCAAGCTCCGCCTCCTGGGTTCACGCCATTCTCCTCCCTCAGCCACCTGAGTAGCTGGGACTACAGGAGCCCACGACCACGGCTAGCTAATTTTTTGTATTTTTAGTAGGGATGGGGTTGTACTGTGTTAGCCGGGGTGGTCTTGATCTCCTGACCTCGTTGTCCGCCCGCCTCGGCCTCCATCATCTAGTTTTAGAATGAGTCCATCACCCCAATAATGTCCTTTATACCTTACTGGGAAAATTTAAAGTTAGAAATAAAGTTAATTTTGTGTCTTTAGCTTCCTTTATTACCCATGTATCTGAACTGCAATCCCATGGAACGGGGAGTATCCTGCAGTTTGGTGCTTAATCTATTTCTTAGAAAAACCTATTTTTTTTTTTTTAAAAGGCCAAAAGCATAACAGTCACAGTGATCGATAAATGATTACTCTCTTTCTGGAAATACGAGCATCCCCAAGGAAATTAAGGACTTTTCCCTTAAGCACTCTTTCTCTCAATAGCCTCCATTTGAGTAATCGGCAATGCTGCTCTTGCAGCAGTTTGTGGCAAAAGAGGCCTGCAGTCATTCTCGACTCTAAACATTTTCTGCAAGCCACCGCAAATCCTCAGATCTGCCTTGATTCACCTTTCCCTGTGTTTCCCCTAATCCGCTCAGTTCTGTCTTTAACTGGGAATTGTATTAGCTTCCTAATCACATCCCCACTTCTGCCTCCTGGCTTCTGCCTTAAGGCTTCTGGATTCCTGTTTCCTGATCGTGGCACCTCATTCCTGCTTTCGGATCCCCACTTCCGGATCCTGGGTTTCAGACCCAGGCCTCTCATCCCTGCTTCCGGATTTCCACTTCTGGATCCCCTCCTTTTTAGTCCTCTCTCAACACAGCCACCTGAGTGATCCTACTAAAATCTGAGCCACTTCCCGTCAGTTTTTTGCTCAACGTGTCCCAGCAGCTTCCCCCATCTGATTCAGAGAAGCCATGTTCTTTACAATGGATTTTAAGACCCAGTTGACCCCCCTTTCTCCTTCCTCTTAGACTTCATCGGTAACCTCCCTGTTTTCCTGCTCATCCTGCTAGGCTCCTCTGTGTTTTCTGAATACTATAATCTTTCCCTTGCTTCAGGATATTGACATTTGCTTGGTCCTGGACCGGGGATATGCTCTTCCTTCAGCTTGTTGAAAGGCTGTCTGGCTCACCTTCTTTATACAAATACCTCTTTTCCAGCAAAAGCATCTTTAGCCATGCTACATATATGTATAAACAAACAAGCAAACAAATCCATTTTCCTGTGTTGTATTTTTGTTCTTATTTTCTGTTATGACTGTCTACCCTGCCTTAGTATTTTGCTTATTAATCTTGTGCACTGTTTATCCTTGCATTCAATTAGGATGAATGTGTGTGTCTGTTTCTGTGTTTCATAAGACCAGATGTGTTTTCTTTTTTACTTCTTATTCCCACTGCCTAGAACAGTACCTGACACATAGTAGCTGCCCAACAAATCCTTGTTCAATATATGAGGAAATGAAACATGAGTAATAAAAAGAGAAGGTAAAGACAGAAAATGTTGTGTTGTTGTTTCTACCTTTAAATTTTCTCAGTAAGGGATGAAGGATCAATCTTTGTGGGTTGATGGACTCATTCGAGAACCCAGTGATGGTGATAGTTACACAACACAGTAAGTATAAGAATGTCAGTGAGCACTTAAGATGAGACAATTTTATGGTATGAAAATTACATATTTCAAAAAAGTTGTTAAAGACATTTTTTTTCCCAGTGAGGCTGTTTTCTACATTTGATGAGCTTGAGGAAGGTAGGAAGAGGTGCCACCATCTTGTTAGTGAAGTGGTTAAGTCTCCTTTAGACATATACTGGAGGGAGTGTCTTCCACCATTTTATTGATTCATTAAATTCCTATCATTCTGTGATGCATCTTTACTGAAAACGGAATCTACTATGAATTCAGTGCTTACATTTTTGATATATAAGAGTACAAGAACTAACACTTGGGATACACCTCAAATTGAGACACATGGAAATGTAAATTTTGAGTATTTGTCCACCTGAAGAGCTAGAACATTTTAATGATGACTGCAATGACTGCTATGTTTCAAAAAATGGTGCATTTTCATCCAATAAATGCCCATTTATACCTGTTTGCTCCAGACCTAAAACTGTACCAGTCTTCCAGTGGTTTATAATTACTTTAAAAAAACAATGACCACTTCCAATGTAGCTGTCTGTGCAAAGCCTAAGCAATTTTCTGTTGTATTTGATTTAGATAGAGAGCCAGGTTTGACAACTTCAGGCTGTGTCAAGGAAAGGGGGAAGGGTTTTTTTGTGTGTGTGTTGTTCGTTTGTTTGTTTTCATCGGCTATGAATACCTCAGGAAATAAAAGTATAATTAAACAAAAAAAAAATAGATAAAATGAGTTCCATTTAGTTTAGATTCACTGCTTGGGATTCATGAGCTATAAAGCTGATTTTCAGAGAAAAGCCAGACTTTTTGTCCTTATCTTTCTTATAGTTATTTTAAAATACAAAATTAGTCTATGTTTGCCAAAATGGATTGACTATTTAATTTTTTCTTAACCCATTTATTTGCACATAACTTAGACCTAACTCATCTGTTTTTATAGTAAATTCTAAGTTATTCATAGGTTGGTAAATTAGTTTCATGCTTTTCCTCTTCTTGGTGAATAACATTTCTGAATATTTTTATTGCTAACTCTCTACCAGAAGAAATGCATGAATATAGAATGGGCAAAATCATTAACTTTTGTAAGAGTTTCAGATAA
Source organism: Homo sapiens (assembly GCF_000001405.40). NCBI lineage: Eukaryota > Metazoa > Chordata > Mammalia > Primates > Hominidae > Homo > Homo sapiens. The sequence continues at coordinate 13,877,601 of NC_000024.10, forward strand.
TTTTTATATTTGCTTATTTAAATTAACTATACTGTATTTCCTCCTGGTACTTGAGAAGGGAAACTGGCTTCAAAATTAAAAATGAATAATAGTTTAATAGATTAATGCCTAGTTCTCATTTCTACTTTTCATCTCTTTATTAAGAATGTGGGACTGCTTCCTTGTACCAAGTAAGTTACCTTCACAGGTCATTCCTGAGCCATCAGTCCTGCCAGATCCTAAGGTCTACCTAAACTTTTCTGTCCCATTCCATTTGGAACAAACACCATAAATCCTCTGAGCACAAGGTGTTAATGTGTCTGCATATTCCTATGTAAGTTGATATTTGCCGCTTTGAAATGCATGTCTGACAAATAAATATTGCCCACCAAAGTTAAGACACCTTCAAAAGCTGATCCAAGTGAAGGCTTTGAGTGTGAGCAGGTTAGTTAGGAGGTGAACCAGGAATGTGGTAGGTAAGAAGGGAAGCAGAGCAGGGTGTAGAAGTTTTGCTGGAATGAAGGAGGTCCAAAGAGACCATGGGGTGAAACAGGATAATTTAATCGAATGCGCTCAGACCCAGCGGATTAACATCCAAAAACTGGGCCTAGAGCAAAGACAGTGCTTGACTTTTATACACACTTCAAAAAGTGGCTGGGCTAGCTTGAAACAAGCTTACAGTGGCATGAAGTGTAGTGACATGAAAGCAAGGATACAGAGGCAGAACAAAGGCAGTTAATCAAATAGTAACAGGTTCATAACTCAGAATTACATGTGACTCTTGCTGTGCAGTCCATATGGCTGTTACCTAGGCTTGCTCTAGTGCCTTGTGTGGGTTTGTCTCATAAACTTCAATATGGTGCCTAGATGACTGCAGCCCAGGCCTGCTGAGGCACGTCTTATAACCTTCACCTTGCTGCTTAGATAAAACAGAATACTTGAAGTTACTAGTTACAGAAAACAGGAATGTATAAACTCATACGTTTACTCATATCATAGGGGAAAGGAAAATTTATTTTCTTCTCCCTATATTGAGGGAGTGCTGGGAGAGTCTCCACAACACAATCCTTTGAGCCCTGGCTTCTTTGATAATGTTATCAAGACTTTGCCTGGGTCTGGGCTTTGCCTGTTACTGCCTTTGGGATGTGTCAGCCTAATATAGAAAGCTTGTTTGTGAAGCACAAACACCTCAGAGCTCCTCACTGGAGGGGATTAATAGTGTTATGGTGTTCTAACACCAGTGCAGTCCGTCACTGTCTGCAGCTGTTCCTAGTGTATCCTGTTTGCATGCTGGCAGATCTTGCCCTGAGCCCAGACACAATGTTAGTTAAGGAGGTACAGAGGTAATCAAACAGGCATCCCTTTCTAGTTTCTTTTTTTTGTTTTTCACCTTTCTCATTTCCCCACATTTGACAAGCTTTACATTATTGCCCACTTCTTGGAATGAGAAGACCGCTAATGTCTAAACAATAGAGAGCTCAAACTTTATGAATAACCAGTTTGGAGTCAGGGTTACACATACAAAAATACTGTGCGCTTCATGTTGCAGTTGCTTATCTTTTTTCAGTAAATTGGTGTTTAACCTTTCCTTGATGTTGTTGTTACTTATTAAATGAGTAAAAAAATACATACATTGCATGCTTAGTATTGGAAGTATATATTGTGAAGTAGCTGCTACCTAGTAAAAAATAGTATTTACTTGTTTGCTGAATTTGGGAAACAATGTGTTTGTTTCTGGCTACCATGATCACATATCTGTGTCAATATGGGTAGTAAAAGAAGGAAGAGTTCCAATTTTGTGGATTGTACAAGGGAAAATCCAAATTCATTTTTTTGGGTGTGTTGCCAAAAGCAGGCAAAGATGTTTGTTCATTTGAAATTAGTTATCAATTTGACATAACAAAATAACACACTTTTAAGGGATCTTATGAAGAAACATGTAAAAATCTAACTTAAATTTTCTTTAACCTAGCATAATATCTTAGTCATCATATTCATTTCTCTTCAAATCCCAAGTTCTTCATCTATCTTTTTCTCCTTATTTCCCTATGTATGTAGGATACATTACAAAGGAAAATGAAGCAGACAGCATTGTTTTCACAGCATATAAGTATCACATGGATGTTACTCCACACATGCGTTACTGTGTCAGCAAAACTAGAGCAGACGTCACTGGTGGTAATAAAGTTCCCTGTTGCCCTGTGGGGGCACATGACTTTTTACTCTGTTCCACAGCGGCTTGGGATGTACTGTTTCTGATGGGCAAAAGGCTTGGCTGTACATATGTCTTGAAACTATTTAATAGTTGGAAATTTGCCTGCAGTGTAGCTTCAGCAGTTTTGCTAAGTTTTTTTTTTTTTTTTTTTTTTTTAATGGAGAAGGAATACTACCCCAACTGCTAAGTCTGGAAAGAAAAAAGAAAAGGTTAAATATTATTAGAACAAAACTTGTATTTAGTTTAAAACTATGTGACACAGTTATATTATTGTTTTTAAAATATAACTACACTTAACAAAAGTTATATACCTTGCAAGGTATTCTTATGATGCATTTCAGTGGGAAGTTTAATCTATAGACATTATTGGTAGAAATGAAATAAGTAAAGTCCACATTCATTTTTTGAAATGGGTATTGTTCTCCGTGTGTGCATGTGCATGTTTCTGTTTGATGATCTGTAATCGTTGCCCTCTTTATAGCCTCGTTTGCATGCTACTTAGTTGTTTTTTTAATATGCAGGCATGGGTTCCTGTATTTAACAAATAGTGTTATCTCAAAAATCCAGAGGAGCCTGCCTCAGAAAAAGTGATGGCATTTCTCCTGGGACAAGCAGAAGTGGTCTTCTCCCATGAGATTCCATGTCAGTGCACTAATACGCCTGCATTTCTCCAAGGGTGATAAGTGATTTTATTATCACTTTTATGCAACATAGACTTATAGTCCTTCCATCGTGTCAAACCTTCATGCTCATTACTTTGCCTGTTTGTGTCATGAAACACAAGAGGTTAAGTGATGAAACCTGAAATTTATCTTTCTGAAATCCAATGTTTTATCCTCCGGTGCTGAAAGCACCACAAATGATCATCAATAAAAGGAACTATTTTTCTTCAAGGCTGAAATTGGGTATACATGCTAAATATGTAGCATATTTTACATTGGTAATCACACAAATTGTATAGCATAGAAGGAGCTAATACAGCCTTTCTATTTCAGTTATCTCTGAAAATATTCTTGCTCTCTGCAGTGTGTTTCTGCAGATAATTGTGAGGTTCATAAGGAGGGAGTTGGCATCAAACAGAAAGAGAAGTGAGATGGGGGAAAATGCCCATATTTGAGACTCAGAGGAAGGGTTAGGAGAGCACTGGTCTTGTGGTGTGACTCCCATCCTCTCACTTGAAGATGTAGTAAATCAAACTCTGTTCTTGAAGTAGTGAATCAAACTATGATCCTCAATTTCACCATCTCTAAAATGAGGACAATAATGTTAACATTTAATAGACAAAATACAACTGTATGTTTGTAAAATTAGGAATAAACAGTGCTCACATTGTTTCCTAAACCTAACGTTATCACACTCTGAAATTTTCCTAATCAGGGGAGAGCAGTCGGTGGCCCAGGGTCTAAATTTGGCCTGCAACCTAGTTTTGCAAATCAAGTTTTATGGGAACATAGCCACCCTCATTTGTTTACATATTGTCTGTGGCTGCTTTTGAGCTGTGAGGGCAGAGTTGAGTGATTGTAATGGAGACCATATGGTCCACAAAGCCTAAACTCTTTACTATCTGGCCCTTTCTGGAAAAAGCCTATATCAATGCCTGCACTAGACTATTGTAACAGACACTTTTCCCATTAAAAGGCTTAGAATTTTTACATTCTATAGGGACATTGTTCCTCATTATGACAGTGGAATATAACATATGTAGAGTGTGGCACCTAGAGTTGTGTATTGTTATACCCTCCACCCCATCTTTCTCTCATTTTTGTTGTCACACTCCTTGTTCTGCCATCAATGATGTGAATGATCTTGGACATATCTGTTTACCTCTCTGACCCCTAAAGCCCTCACCAGTTAAAAACATGTGAAATAAGTTGTAAAATTTCTTAGGGCTTTATAATAACATAGAATATAGCGTTTCCCTCCCTGGCTCTCTGGCTCTCATCAGCCACTGTCTATTTATGCATATGTATATGTATATATGTGTATGTGTGTATATGTGTGTGTGTGTATATATATATATATATATAAATTTCACATGGAAATCTCCAACTACATTTCAAAATTCTAAAACAATTAAAAATAATGCATAATGAAAGAAAACATTCTGTATAATTTAGTCAAATGAATATACCTTGTTTCATAATGTAGGGAACCAATTTTTAAGGCAGAGAATGGCTTAAATATAGAAACTTGTTAGGATTGAGTAAAATGCTTCTGATTAGAGAAACTGGATTGACCCTGTCTCACCTGAACCCCATAGTGAATAAGTGGATAAATGAATGGCTGGTTTACAGAGGAGGATAGCAGCAATAAACAGCTGATCTCTACCATTCTTTTTTGGTTTTGTTTTCTTTTTGTTCTTTTTTTTTTAAGAGTCAGAATCTCATCTGTTATCCAGGATGGTGGGCAGTGGTGCAGTCATAGCTCACTGTAGCCTTGAACTCCCAGACTAAAGCAATTCTCCTGCTTCAGCCTCCTGCATAGCTAGGACCACAGGCACATGACACCAAGCCCAGCTAATTTTATTTTTTCTGTAGAGACAGGGTCTTTTGCTATTGCCTAAGCTGGTCTTGAGCTCCTGCCCTCAAATAGTCCTCCTGCCTCAGCTTCCCAAAGCACTAAGATTACAGGCATAAGTCACCATGCCTGGCCTGATTTTATAATTTTATAGTGATTATTTTGAGGGAGAAAGAGATGGGAGTGCATCATCTTGGTAATGGAAGTGTGCCATTTTGGTATTGTCAACTCAAAATGGGCCTTCCTTTTGAGAAAATGACAAGAAAATATTATTAATTCATATCTTTGAAAGCATTGTTTTCTCAAAAGTTGCTTTCATAAATTGCGTTGTTTCGTGTTTTACAATGTTTCATAAACTAGATGACATTATTCTGGGTTATTACAATGAGCAAAATTTTCCAGGGCAGGAAATGATGTAATGAATGAAATAAATTAAAGAAGATGATTAAATTCCTAGTACCAGTGACCCTCTTAAATATTGGAGTTTCTTTAGAAGAGGATGTGATTCTGAGGTTTTCCTTATGAACCTAGAATATCTGGAAAAATCATGTGACTACTTATTTTCAGCATGTAGATATTCAGACACATTGCTGAGAACACAAACGGCTGTTATTATCTTTATACATTTTAATTCTTCTCTTGCCTTGAAGTGATGATTCACTTGTAAGTTCGTTCCCTCCCGGGAAGGTTGGTAGCTCCCTTTTGTAGATTAAAGATTAACTCCTACACCAGTGGAAGGGGCGTTGATTTAATTATTTTATTTCAAACTGGGAAGAACACTCCTTTGATTTTGCAATTCACTTTAGGATCTTGTGATTTAGCAATGCTAATTGACATTGAACCTGAAACTGAAATATCACATTACAAGTCAAAAGTAACATTTAGAAGCTTGTCCTTCGTTTATTCACTCAGCAATTGCTTACTGAGCACATACTGTGTGCTAGGTGCTCTTCTGGACTCTGGAGAGAGATACAGATGTGAAAAAACAAGCAAACACTCCTCCTCTCAGGGAGCTTTCATTATCGTGAGTAGAAGCAGACAGCAAACAAGGTACCTAATAAGTCAGTTTGTGTATTAGTCATGGTTCTCTAGAGGGATAGAACTAATAGGATAGAGTATATAAAAAGGGGAGTTTACTAAGGAGTATTGACTCACACAATCATAAGGTGAGGTCCCACAATAGGCCATCTGCAAGCTAAGGAGCAAGGAAGCCAGTCAAAGTCCCCAAACCTCAAAAGTAGGGAAGCCGACAGTGCAGCCTTCAGTCTGCATTCAAAGGTCCGAGTCCCAAAGCTGAAGAACGTGGAGTCTGATGTTCGAGGGCAGGAAGCATCCAGCATGGGAGGAAGATGTAGGCCAGAAGACTAAACCAGTCTAAAGTTTCCACCTCTTCTTCCTGCTTTTATTCTGGCCACACTGGCAGCTGATTAGAATGGTGCCCACCCAGATTGAGGGAGGGTCTGTCTTTTCCAGTCCAGTGACTCAAATGTTAATCTCCATGGCACCATCCTCACAGACATACCCAGGATCAACACTTTGGATCCTTCAATCCAATCAAGTTGACACTCAATATTTACCGTAACAGTTAGTAATAAGGGCTTGGAGAATAATGAAGCAAGGCATCATCATGGTGACTTTTTTTTTGTAAATGGAACAAAGCATATATAGCTATTTTAAATAGGGTCACATTTAGTAGACCTTCAACAGGAAAAGGAGCCAGCCATGGAGACACCAGGGAAAGCATTTAGGCAAATAGACAGGAAAACGTCAGCAGCATCATGGTTTTCCTTTCCAAGAACCAGTGTGACTGGGCTGAGGGGTGGAGGTGATAAAATGAAAGGTGCTCTGGGAGGTAACTGAGGCACAGGTTGTAGGGCATTCAGGAGACTCCTAGTGGTTTTACTCCAAGTAAGGAACTTCTGCGCACAGGAATGAGATGGTCTCTTGCAGTATAGAATCATCAGGCTGTTGTATTCAGAAAAACCTCTAGGGAGGCAGTGGGGAGCTTTTGGCAGTAATCAGGGAGAGGTGATGTTGGCTTGGCCCAGGGCATTGGCAGTGGTGAAAGGCAGTTAAATTCCTGTTACACTTTGAAGGTAGTGCTAACACAATTTGTTCAAGGGATGTGTCTGCAAAATAAATGTATGACTTCAAGGGTTGGGGCCAGAGCAACTGGAAGAGCAATTCCCATGTACTGAGTTGGTGTCAGTAGTGGGCTGTGTGTGGTGGGCTATGTATTAGTGGTGGGCTATGTATAGGGATCATGATTTTGCTTTGGGACACATTAGTTTTGAGATGCCTCTGAGACCTCCAAATAGAGCTGCTGGAAGATATTTTTTGAGTATTGATATTTGAATGATTAGATCTGCATTCAGGGGCATGGTCAATAGTGAAGATATCAGTTTGAAAGTCATCAGCACAAAGATGTTTTTAAAAGTGTGACATCTGATGAGATCCCTAGAGAATGAGTGTAGATGAGAAGAGAGAGATCCCTGAATTCAGACGCAGAACACTCTCCTATCTAGAGAAGATGGGAGCTAAAGATCATGGAGCGTGGGGCTGAGAAGTAGCTTCCATTGAAACTGAATGAAAATCTATTAGTGTCCTGAAAACCAAGTGAAGCCTGCATTTTTAAGAGAAGAAAGTGATCAGTGTTGTCAATATTGATGACTGAGGGAGTCCTCAGATGGCACTGCCAAACTTCCAGGTTGGGGTGCTTCCTGTCCTAATAAGAATAGGAACAAATATTTCATCCTTACACATTGTGATGTTCAGACCTCATGGTTTGTAGCCACTTGATGTAGTACTTGTCTACTTTTGACCCTACTAGATGAGTTTTCTTAGGTCATCTACCTCAGTATTACCTGTGTGTTTCATATGAAATATTCCTGGATCCCACCTGCACTCAGGGAATCAGCATATCTCAGTATAAGTGTTGGACATTCCAGAGATTCCTGTTATTGAATAAGAACAGGTTGATTCAGAAATACCATTTGATCCAGCAATCCCATTAATGGGTATATACCCAAAGGAATGTAAATCATTCTTCTACAAAGATGCAAGCACATGTGTGTTCATTGCAGCACTATTCACAATAGCAGAGATATGGAATTTACCCAAATGTCCATCAACAGTAGACTGGATAAAAAAAAAATGTGGTGCATAGACACATAGAATACTATGCAGCCATAAAAAGGAATGAGATCATGTCCTTTGCAGGGACATGGATAGAGCTGGAGGCCATTATCCTCAGCAAACTAATGCAGGAAAAGAAAATGAAACACTGCATGTTCTCCCTCATAAATGGGAACTGAACAGCTAAACGATGATAACACCTGGACACATGGAGGGGAGAAACACACAGTAGGGCCCGCTGGGGATGGGGGTGGGAGAAGAAGAGCATCAGGAAGAGCTAATGAGTGCCGGGCTTAACATCTATGTCATAGGTTGATCTGTGCAGCACACCACCGTGGCATATATTTACCTCCATAAAAAACATGCATAGACTGCAAATATACCTTGGAATTTAAAAGTTAATTAAAAGAGAAAGAGAGAGAATGACTTGACTAACAGTATCACATAATATGCTTTCAGTTAACCTCTTACCTAAAAAAATACTATGAAGCTTTCTTTTCTAGAAAATAAAAGAAGTAACCTAACTAAATGTCCACACATTATATTTCATAGAGGAAAGCAAGAACTTTCAAAAAATAACTTATGTTTCCATCATTTCAAAACTACTAACTACTGAAAGTAAAAACATGGGATATTTTTTCTCCAGTCTTCTTCATTTATATCAAGTTAGATATGACTTTTTTGAATCCCCAACACACATGCTGTTATAGTGAGAATTATTGACAGCATCTTCCTGTGACAGTGTCTTGAAATGAAACCCTCTGTAAATCACTGGTGGTGAGAAGCATCTCCACTTGCTCAATTTTTAACAGAAAATGAAGTAAAAACCCTCCAGCTTTGCTATATTTAGTCTTATTCAAATACGTATTTTCAATGGAGATTTGTGAGGTGGTAATTCCAGCACCTCACCTTTCTCTTGACATCTGAAAATGTTTTCATTTATGAGACAAACCAGAAATGGTACAATCAGAAAAATGAATGCTACTGGTAAGTCATCCAGTGTGCAGTGTGGATAAAAAATGGTGCAGTTTTTTTTTCTGATCTCTATTACTCTTAGCTGATGCAAAAATCACTAGCTACAGGGCCACTAAGGTGAAAACAACTATTTGTGTGAGCTGAATTTCTTTTCCTTTTTAGAGTATTCAAAGGTGATTCTCTGTTGCTTACCTATTTAATGTCAATTCACCCACATTGAATTTTACTGTATTTTACCAAAAGATATCAATTTCAGCATATTAAAAATTTGGCTGGGTTGTCTTGGTATGGAAACGCTTAAAATGATCCTTCTGGATTACAAATTTGGACCAAACAAATTTATCTTACCATTTTTTAGATTTTTTATTTGAGGCTGAACAAGAAGATCTTAATAACTTGTTTTCAGCTTCACTTCTCTTTTACTCTTTTTTGGAGACTGTGTCTCACTCTCTTGCCCAGGCTGGCATGCAGTGGTGCTAATCACAGTTCACTGCGGCCTCAACCTTTTCAGATCAAATGATCCTCCTGCCTCAGCTTCCTGAGTAGCTGGGACCACAGGCATGCACCAACCTGCCCAGCTAATTTTTTATATTTTGTGGAGACAGAGTTTCACTGTGTTGCCCAGGTTGGTCTCAAACTCCTAGACTCAAAAGATTGTGCCCGCCTCTGCCTTGCAAAGTGCTGGGATTATAGACATAAGCCATCCTGCCCCCTGCTGTTTTCAGCTTTTCTATTTATAAAAATCAATGCTTCACATGTTGACCATGTAGTCATTACATGTCCAAAGACGTTAGTTTTGTGGAGTCATATGATGTGTCTTTGTTCTGGGATTTCAGATCCATCTGCCCCACCAGTGCCAGCTAACCTCCGGCTGGCCAACTCCACCGTCAACAGTGATGGGAGTGTGACCGTCACTATAGTTTGGGGTCTCCCCGAGGAGCCGGACATCCTTGTGCATCACTACAATGTCTTTTGGAGCTGGACAATCAGCAGTAAGTCTCTTGTACCAACAAAGAAGAAGCAGAGAAAGACTACGGATGGGGTGAGTGGGAACTGGAGGAAGGAATGCTCTTCTCACAAAGGGTATTTCCACTCAAGGCAACTGGCCTGAAAAGAGGCCTCTGCTAAACTGAGAGATGCCATGGATACAGAAAAGGTTCCCTCCCATTCATTTCTACCGAGGAAGTTCACAGAATGCAGGGGGCATGCCACCTATTTCACCTTTTATATTTTAGGTAGAAGCAACTGCATTTAGACTGAGGGGTGACAGCATGCTGGCAGCCCTCACAACCCTCGCTTGCTCTGGGCACCTCCTCGGCCTTGGCGCCCACTCTGGCCATGCTTAAGGAGCCCTTCAGCCCCCTGCTGCACTGTGGGAGCCCCTTTCTGGGCTGGCCAAGGCCAGAGCCGGCTCCCTCAGATTGCAGGGAGGTGTGGAGGGAGAGTCGTGGGTGGGAACCAGGGCTGCCCAGGGCGCTTGTGGGCCAGCGCAAGTTCAGGGTGGGCGTGGGCTCGGTGGGCCAGATACTTGGAGCGGCCTGCCCCTGCCTGCAAGCCCCAGGCAGTGAGAGGCTTAGCACCTGTGCCAGCAGCTGCTGTGCCCAATTTCTTGCCGGGCCTTAGCTGCCTCCCCGTGGGGCAGGGCTTGGGACTTGCAGCCCACCATGTCTGAGCCTCCCCAGTGAGCACCGCTCCCTGCTCCATGGTGCCCAGTCCCATGACTGCCCAAGGGCTGAGTGTGGGCGCATGCGCAGGACTGGCAGGCAGCACCACCTGCGACTGGGTGCAGGATCCACTGGGTGAAGCCAGCTGTGCTCCTGAGTCTGGTGGGAACTTGGAGAACCTTTATGTCTAGCCAAGGGATTGTAAATACACCAGTCAGCACTCTGCATCTAGCTCAAGGTTTGTAAACACACCAATCAGTACCCTGTGTCTAGCTCAGGATACGTGAATGCACCAATTGACGCTCTGTATCTAGCTACTCTGGTGGGGACTTGGAGAAACTTTATGTCTAGCTAAGGGATTGTAAATACAGCAATCAGCACTGTATCTAGCTCAAGGTTTGTAAACATACCAATCAGCACCCTGTGTCTAGCTCAGGGTTTGTGAATGCAGCAATCAACACTCTATCTAGCTACTCTGGTGGGGACTTGGAGAAACTTTATGTCTAGCTAAGAGATTGTAAATACACTAATCAGCACTCTGTGTCTAGCTCAAGGTTTGTAAACATACCAATCAGCACCCTGTGTCTAGCTCAGGGTTTGTGATGCACCAATCAACACTCTGTATCTAGCTACTCTGGTGGGGACATGGAGAACTTTTGTGTTGACACTCTGTATCTAGCTAATCTAGTGGGGACATGGAGAACTTTTGTGTCTAGCTCAGGGATTGTAAACGCACCAATCAGCACCCTGTCAAAACAGACCAATCAGCTCTCTGTAAAATGGACCAATCACCAGGATGTGGGTGGGGCCAGATAAGGGAATAAAAGCAGGCTGCTTGAACCAGCAGTGGCAACCCGCTTGGGTCCCCTTCCACGCTGTGGAAGCTTTGTTCTTTAGCTCTTTGCAATAAATCTTGCTGCTGCTCACTCTTTGGGTCCGCACTGCCTTTATGAGCTGTAACACTCACTGTGAAGGTCTGCAGCTTCGCTCCTGAAGCCAGTGAGACCACAAACCCACCAGGAGGAATGAACAACTCCAGATGTGCCACCTTAAGAGCTGTAACACTCACTGCGAAGGTCTGCAGCTTCACTCCTGAGCCAGCAAGACCATGAACCCACCAGAAGGAAGAAACTCCGAACACATCTGAAAATCAGAAGGAACAAATTCCAGACACACTGCCTTTAAGAACTGTGACACTCAACATGTGGGTCTGTGGCTTCTTTCTTGGTCAGTGAGACCAAGAACCCACCAATTCTGGACAGATTTTGGTGACCACGAAGGGACCATCACCAATCGCCAAGCGGTGAGACTATCACAGAGCAGTGAGACCATCACCTGTTGCTGAGCAGTGAGACAATCGCCTTTCGCCACGCAGTGAGTACTGTAAGACCCCTTTCGCTTGCTATTCTGTCCTATTTTTCCTTAGAGTTCAGGGACTAAATACCAGGCACCTGTCGGCCAGTTAAAAGCGACTAGCATGGCCGCTGGACTAAAGACACAGGTGTCATGCTTTCTGGGAAAGGGCTCTCTAATGACCCCCGGACTGTTCGGCGTTGGGACCGTTGGTTTGCTCAGAACCAGCTTCTGCTCTTCTTGTACTTCTGGGCTGCGCTGAGGGTTGACAGAGAGGAAAGTCATGCAGCTCCAGGGTCCTGACAACAAGTTGGTTGACCCTGCGGCCATGAGCGGAACTCTCAAAGCATGTCGCCCAAGCGAGACTCACCCATCTATCCTATGTATCCTGACCCTTGCCCCCTGGGTCCTAATGCCTGCCAGACAAACTTCCTCTTGCCTCTCTTCTCCGAGGTTAGTCCTGCTTCTAAAAATTGTTACCTGTCTCTGGTGCTTTTCTAGTTTCTCCTATAAGAATGATTTCTAGTATAAACTCCAGGACTCTGTTACCTTCTTTAGGCACCCAGGCTTACCAGTCAGAAGACATAATTTTTGCCCAAAGCCCCATCATAGTGGGGACTACCTGGAATTTTAGGATCCCTCCTCAGACTAACAGGCCTAACGAAAGCTATTCCTGAAGCTAGGATATGGGGAGCCTCAGAAATTGTATCCTTCCTATTCATACAAGTGAAGACAAAAGGTGTCACTCTTCCAACCCTGGAGATCCCTTCCCTCCCTCAAGGTATGGCCCTCCACTTCATTTTGGGGGCATAACATCTTTATAGGACAGGGGTAAAGTCCCAATACTAACAGGAGAACACTTAGGACTCTAACAGGTTTTTGAGAATATGTCGGTAAGGGCGACTAAATCCGATTTTTCTCGGTTGGTCCTCCTTGTGGTCTAGGAGGACAGGCAAGGGTGCAGGTTTTCAAGAATGTGTCAGTAAGTGCTGCTAAATCCGACCTTCCCTGGTCCTCCATCTGGTCTGGGAGGAAAACTAGTGTTTCTGCTGCTGCGTCGGTGAGTGCAACTATTCCAATCAGCATGGTCAGGGACCGTTGCAGATTCTTGGGCAGGGGTTGTTTCTGCTGCTGCATCGGTGAACACAGCTATTCCAATCAGCGGGGTCCAGGGACTGTTGTGTGTTCTTGGTCAGGGGGAGAAACAAAACAAACCAAAACCATGGGCGGTTTTGTCTTTCAGATGGGAAACACTCAGGCAGCAACAGGCTGTCCCTTGAAATGCATCCTAAGCCATTGGACCAATTTGACCCACAAACCTTGAAAAAGAGGTGACTCATTTTTTTCTGCACTACAGCTTGGCCCCAATATTCTCTCTCTGATGTGGAAAAATGGCCACCTGAGGGAAGTACAAATTAGAATACTATCCTGCAGCTTGACCTTTTGTGTAAGAGGGAAGGCAAATGGAGGGAAATACCTTATGTCTGAGCTTTCTTTTCATTGAGGGAGAATACACAACTATGCAGAGCTTACAATTTACATCCCACAGGAGGACCTCTCAGCTTACCCCCATATCCTAGTCTCCCTATAGCTCCCCTTCCTATGAATGATAATCCTCCTCTAATCTCTCCCACCCAGAAGGAAATAAGCAAAGAAATCTCCAAAGGTCCACAAAAACCCCTGGGCTATCAGTTTTGTCCCCTTCAAGCTGTTAGGAGGAGGAGAATTTGGCCCAACCCGGATACATATCCCCTTCTCCCTCTCTGATTTAAAGCAGATCAAGGCAGGCCTGGGGAGATTTTCAGATGATCCTGATAGGTACATAGTTGTCCTACAGGGTCTAGGGCAAACCTTCGACCTCGCTTGGAGAGATGTCATACTACTGTTAGATCAAACCCTGGCCTTTAATGAAAAGTATGTGGCTTTAGCTGCAGCCTGAGAGTTTGGAGATACCTGGTATCTTAGTCAAGTAAATGATAGAATGACAGCTGAAGAAAGGGACAAATTCCCTACTGGTCAGCAAGCCATCCCCAGTATGGATCCCCACTGGGACCTTGACTCAGATCATGGGGACTGGAGTCATAAATATCTGTTGACCTGTGTTCTAGAAGGACTGAGGAGAATTAGAAAAAGCCCATGAATTATTCATTGATGTCCATCATAACCCAGGGAAAGGAAGAAAATCCTTCTGCCTTCCTTGAGCGGCTATGAGAGGCCTTAAGAAAATATACTTCCATGTCACCCAAATCATTCAAGGGTCAAATGATTCTAAAAGATAAGTTTATTACCCAATCAGCTGCAGATATCAGGAGAAAGCTCCAAAAGCAAGCCCTGGGCCCTGAACAAAATCTAGAGACATTATTAAACCTGGCAACCTTGGTGTTCTATAATAGGGACCAAGAGGAACAGGCCCAAAAGGAAAAGCGAGATCAGAGAAAGGCTGCAGCCTTAGTCATGGCCCTCAGACAAACAAACCTTGGTGGTTCAGAGAGGACAGAAAATGGAGCAGGCCAGTCACCTGGTAGGGATTTTTATCACTGTGGTTTGCAAGGACACTTTTAAATAGATTATTCAGTGAGAAACAAGCTGCCCCCTCGTCCATGTCTACTATGCCTAGGCAATCACTGGAAGGTGCACTAACCCAGAGGATGAAGGTTCCCTGGGTCAGAAGCCCCCAACCAGATGATCCAACAACAGGACTGCGGGTGCCCAGGGCAAGCGCCAGCTCATGTCATCACCCTCACTGAGCCCCAGGTGTGTTTAACTATAGAGGGCCAGGAAATTGACTTCCTCCTGGACACTGGCGTGGCTTTTTCAATGTTAATCTCCTGTCCTGGATGACTGTCTTCAAGGTCCATTACCATCTGAGTAATCCTGGGACAGCCTTTAAACAGGTATTTCTCCCACCTCCTCAGTTGTAATTGGGAGACTTTGCTCTTTTCACATGCCTTTCTTGTTATGCCTGAAAGTCCCACACCCTTATTAGGGAGAGATATATTAGCCAAGGTGGGAGCTATTATCTACATGAGTATGGGGAACAAGTTACACATTTGTTGTCCCCTACTTGAGGAGGGAATCAACCCTGAAGTCTGGGCATTGGAAGGACAATTTGGAAGGGCAAAAAATGCCCAGCCAGTCCAAATCAGGTTAAAAGGCAATATCTCTTTTGGCCTGAAGCTCATAAAGGATTACAGAATATTGTTAAATATTTGAAAGCTCAAGGCTTGGTAAGGAAATGCAGCAGTCCCTGCAACATCCCAATTCTAGTAGTACAAAAACTGAATGGTCAGTGGAGACTAGTGCAAGATCTTAGACTCAATAATGAGGCAGTAATTCCTCTATATCCAGTTGTACCAAACCCCTATATCTTGCTCTCTCAAATACCAGAGGAAGCAGAATGGTTGATGGTTCTGGACCTCAAGGATGCCTTCTTCTGTATTCCCCTGCACTCTTTGCTTTGACTCCCAGTTCCTCTTTGCTTTTAAGGATCCCACAGACCACACACCCCAACTTACATGGACGATCTTACCCCAAGGATTTAAGGATAGCCCTCATCTGTTTGGTCAGGCACTGGCCCAAGATCTAGGCCACCTCTCAAGTCCAGGCACTCTGGTCCTTCAATATATCGATGATTTGCTTTTGGCTACCATTTCGGAAGCCTCATGCCAGCAGGCTACTCTAGATCTCTTGAACTTTCTAGCTAATCAAGGGTACAATGTGTTTGGGTCGAAGGCCCAGCTTTGCCTACGGCAGGTCAAATATCTAGGCCTAATCTTAGCCAGAGGGACCAGGACCCTCAGCATGGAATGAATACAGCCTCTATTGGCTTATCCTCACCCTAAAACATTAAAACAGTTGCGGGGGTTCCTTGGAATTACCGGCTTTTGCTGACTAGGGATCCCTGGATACAGCAAGATAGCCAGGCCCCTCAATACTGTAAGTAAGGAAACCCAGAGGGCATCTTGTAGAATGGTAACCAGGGGCAGAAACAGCCTTCAAAACCTTAAAGCAGGCCTTAGTACAATCTCCAGCTTTAAGCCTTCCCACAGGACAAAACTTCTCTTTATACATCACAGAGAGAGCAGGGATAGCTCTTGGAGACCTTATTCAGACTCGTGGGAAAACCCCACAACCAGTGGCATACCTAAGTAAGGAAATAGATGCAGTAGCAAAAGTCTGGCCTCACTGTTTAAAGTTAGTTGCTGCAGTGGCCGTCTTTGTGTCAGAGGCTATCAAAATAATACAAGGAAAGGATCTCACTGTCTGGACTACTCATGAGGTAAATGGCATACTAGGTGCCAAAGGAAGTTTATGGCTATAAGACAACTGCCTCCTTAGATACCAGGTGCTACTCCTTGAGGGACCAGTGCTTCAAATATGCACGTGCATGGTCCTCAACCCTGCCACTTTTCTCCCAGAGGATGGGGAAATGATTATGCATGACTGTGAACAAAATAGTCCAGACGTATGCTGCCCAAGATGATCTTTTAGAAGTTCCCTTAACTAATCCTGATCTTAACCTATACACTGAGGAAAGTTCATTTGTGGAGAATGGGGTATGAAGGGCAGGTTATGCCATAGTTAGCGATGTAACCATACTTGAAAGTAAGCCTCTTCCCCTAGGGACCAGTGCCCAGTTAGCAGAACTAGTGGCACTTACCTGAGCCTTATAACTGGGAAAGGGAAAAAGAATAAATGTGTATATAGATAGCAAGTATGCTTATCTAATCCTACATGCTCATGATGCAATATGAAAAAGGAGGGAGTTCCCAACCTCTGGGGGAACCCCCGTTAAATACCACAAGGAAATTATAGAGTTATTGCACACAGTGCAAAAACCCAAGGAAGTGGCAGTCTTACACTGCCAAAGCCATCAGAAAGGTGAAGGAAAGAAAGCAGAAGGAAACTGTCGGGCAGATGCTGAGGCAAAATTGCTACCAGGTGGAACCCCTTATTAGAAATACCTACAGAAGGACCTTTGGTATGGAACAACCCCCTCCAAGAAATTAAGCCCCAGTATTCCCTGACTGAAACAGAATGGGGACTTTCACAGGGGCATAATTTTCTTCCTTCAGGGTGGTTGGTAACAGAAGAAGGAAAGGTACTTATAACTGAAGCCAGCCAGTGGAAAATACTTAAAACCCTCCACCAAACTTTTCATATAGGTATTGAAAACACTAATCAAATGGCCAAATCCCTATTTACAGGGCCAAATCTCCTCCAGACCATCCAACAGGTAGTCAAAGCCTGTGAGGTGTGCCAAAAGAATAATCCCTTGGTTCATCATAAGGACCCATTGAGGGAACAAAGAATAGGTCACTATCCTGGAAAGGACTGGCAGTTAGACTTCTCCCATATGCCTAAGTCAAAGGGATTTCAATACTTGTTGGTCTGTGTTGATACCTTTACAAATTGGATAGAAGCTTTCGCCTGCAAGACAGAGAAGGCTCAGGAAGTGATTAAAGTCCTAATTCATGAAATAATTCCTAGATTTGGGCTTCCCCAAAGCTTACAGAGTGACAATGGTCCAGCTTTTAAAGCCATGATAACTCAGGGAATCTCCAGGCCACTAGGGATACAATATCATCTTCACTGCTTATGGAGGCCACAATCCTCAGGGAAAGTCGAGAAGGCAAATGAAACGCTCAAGAGGCACTTAAGGAAACTAACACAAGAAACTCACCTCCCATGGCTTACTCTTTTGCCTATGGCCCTGTTGAGGATCTGAAATTCTCCTCACAAAATAGGGCTTAGTCCATATGAAATGCTGTATGGGCGACCTTTTCTCCCAGATGACCTCCTACTTGATCAGGAAATGGCCAACTTGGTGAAAGATATAACTTCTTTGGCAAAATATCAACAAAACCTTAAAAACCTACCTGAAGGTTGTCACAGAGAAAAGGGAGCAGAGTTGTTTCAACCAGGAGATCTAGTGTTGGTCAAATCTCTTCCCTCTACCTCCCCATCTCTGGACTCTTTGTGGGAAGGACCATACTTGGTAATCCTCTCTACTCCCACTGCAGTTAACATGGCAGGAATCGAATCTTTGATTCACCACTCCTGAGTTAAACTTTGGACATCCCCTGAGGAACCTGTGGGATCATCAGCTCAGCAGTCCCAACATCAGCCAGACCAGCCTCGATACACCTGTAAACTGTTGGAGGACTTGCACCTCCTATTTCGGAAAGAAATATCCCAGACGAAAAAGGCTCCTATCCTTTTTGATCCTGTGATCAAAAGAGAAAAGTAGCAGGGTTGAGGGCCATGCACATGCGTATTTGATCCTGAGGAAAGACCTCATCCTCCTTAAAAAAGGTAGGGGAAAACAGCACACTAACCATACTCTTTGTGATAGGACTACATACTCTAGCTCCTGACAGAATGAAAATCCTAATCACATCAACCTTCTTTCTATCTTCCTTCCTCTTGACAGTAATTTACTCCTACCTGTAACTCAGACTAGATAAAATGATCTCGTTTTCCCTGCAGCAGTGCCGCCACCACTAGTGAATGCCTTCTCATCCCCTTTCAATCACTCTCTCGAATGGATCCTAGTGGATAAAAAACTTTTTTTTCTCCAATGGGAAATTAGAACGCAGGGAGCCACTCAGTTTTCTCCCAACACCCCTTTCCAGCTGCTCACTGGAGGTATCTTGGCCAGTACTCTAGGAGTATGGGAAAATGAAAAGAAACTCACACACCTTTTTAGCATACATAACCAGTTCTGTCTACCCAGCCAAGGCATATTCTTCTTATGTGGAATGTTGACCTATATGTGCCTCCCCACTAACTGGACAGGCACCTGCACCTTAGTCTTCCTAAGTCCCAACATTAACATTGCCCCAGGAAATCAGAACTTATCAGTACCCCTCAAAGCTCAAGTCCATCAGCACAGAGCCATACAACCAATACCCCTGCTTATAGGGTTAGGAATGGCTACTGCTACCGGAACTGAAATAGCTGGTTTATCTACTTCATTATTCTACTACCACACACTCTCAAAGGATTTCTCAGAGTTTGCAAGAAATAACAAAATCTATTCTTACTTTACAATCCCAAATAGACTCTTTGGCAGCAGTGACTCTCCAAAACTGCTGAGGCCTATACCTCCTCACTACTGAGAAAGCAGGACTCTGCACCTTCTTAGGGGAAGAGTGTTGTTTTTACACTAACCATTCAGGGATAGTACGAGATGCCACCTGGTGTTTACAGGAAAAGTTTTCTGAAATCAAACAACATCTTTCAAACTCTTATACGAACCTCTGGAGTTGGGCATTATGATTTCTCCCCTTTCTAGTTCCCATGGCAGCCATCTTGCTATTACTTGCCTTTGGACCCTGTATTTTTAACCTGCTTGTCAAATTTGTTTCCTCTAGAATTGAGGCCATCAAGCTACAGATGGTCTTACAAATGGAACCCCAAAGGAGTTCAACTAACAACTTCTACCAAGGACCCCTGGACTGACCCCCTGGCACTTTTACTGGCCTGGAGAGCTCCCCTCAGGAGGACACTACAACTACAGGGCCCCTTCATCACTCCTGTCCAGCAGGAAGTAGCTAGAATGGTCATCAGCCAAATTCCCAACAGCAGTTGGGGTGTCCTGTTTAGAGGGGGGATGGAGAGGTGACAGAGTGCTGGCACCCCTCACAGCCCTCGCTCACTCTTGGCACCTCCTCGACCTTGGTGCCCACTCTGGCTGTGCTTAAGGAGCACTTCAGCCCACCGCTGCACTGTGGGAGCCCCTTTCTGGGCTGATGAAGGCCAGAGCCAGCTCCCTTAGCTTGCAGGGAAGTGTGGAGGCAGAGGCGCGGCTGGGAACCAGGGCTGCATGGGGCACTTGTGGGCCAGCGCAAGTTCCCGGTGGGCGTGCACTCAGCAAGCCCTGCACTTGGAGTGGCCAGCCCACCCACAAGCCCCAGGCAGTGAGGGGCTTAGCACCTGGGCCAGCAGCTGCTGTGCTCAATTTCTTACCAGGCCTTAGCTTCCTCTCTGTGGGGCAGGGCTTGGGACCTGCAGCCCACCAAGCCTGAGCCTCTTGGATGAGTGCTGCTCCCTGCTCCATGGTGCTGAGTCCCATCGATCAGCCAAGGGCTGAGGAGTGTGACCGTGTGGCGCGCCACTGGCAGGCAGCTCCACCTGTGGTCCTGGTGCAGGATCCACTGGGTGAAGCCAGCTGAGCTCCTGAGTCTGGTGGGGACTTGAAGAACCTTTATGTCTAGCTAAGGGATTATAAATACACCTATCAGCACTCTGTATCTAGCTCAAGGTTTGTAAACACACCAATCAGTACCCTGTGTCTAGCTCAGGGTATGTGAATGCACCAATTGACACTCTGTATCTAGCTACTCTGGTGGGCATGTGGAGAACTTTTGTGTCAACACTCTGTATCTAGCTAATCTAGTGGGGACACGGAGAACTTTTGTGTCTAGCTCAGGGATTGTAAACGCACCAATCAGCACCCTGTCAAAACAGACCAATCAGCTCTCTGTAAAATGGACCAATCAGCAGGATTTGGGTGGGGCCAGACAAGGGAATAAAAGCAGGCTGCCTGAGCCACTGCATCTTGATGGTTTTCTGGCTCTAGACTTTGTGTCTCTACAACGTAAATGTGAAAAGTTAGCTCAGACATAGAGGAAACATTCATGCTTCTATTTTAAGTAGAAATGCCTATGTGATACTCAAAAATTCTTATTTTAGTTGTACATCAGAAAGTTCTGTTTCACCAGATCATGTTTACAGATAGAGTATGAGGCATTGATCCATGAGAGGACTTCATTCAACTAACCTTTACTGAGCACCTACTGTATGCAATGCACCATTTCCGATGCTAAAACACTGCAAAGAGGCAGACAGAAATCCCTACCCTGATGGAATTGGCGTTCTGTGACACCTCTCTAAGTGTGTGCCCCCTTCCCTAGTGCTGTGACTTACAATTCTTTTTAAAGCCATTATTATTCTGGAGAACCCAAGGATTGCCTCTTTCTCAGAGCTCTAATGTCAATAACCCTATCATTCTTTGTCATTAGACTTTTGCGAACTGAGGAATTCACATTTAATGAAAAATTTTAGAGCCCTTTATTTATGCCAGACACTGTGAGTTACATCTATTTGAAAAGAAAATTAGACCCATCTAATTTTTGAACCATAGTTGAAGCATATTACAGGTAAATTTTTTATCACTTAAAAATACTTTTCAGGTACTTTCTTTGTAATGTCATTTGTTTGTGGAAGGAATTAAGCTAAGGAACCAGATCAATTGGGTATTTAGCACAGAATTTTCAGATACACCCTTTCAGGAAGTGTTTGGCTATTTATTTTATTTTATTATTATTTTTTTAAGACAGAGTTTTACTGTTGTTGCCCAGGCTGGAGTGCAATGGCACGATCTCAGCTCACTGCAACATCCACTTCCCGGGTTCAAGCGATTCTCCTGCCTCAGCCTCCCGAGTAGCTGGGATTACAAGCATGTGCCACCATACCTGGCTAATTTTTGTATTTTTAGTAGCGACAGGGTTTCACCATGCTGGCCAGGCTGCTCTTGAGCTCCTGACCTCAGACAATCCACCCACCTCAGCCTCCCAAAGTGCTGGGATTACAGGCATGAGCCACCACGCCCGGCCTGAACTATGCTATTTTTAATATTCTAGTTACAGATTGAGACCTGCAGTCATAACCTAAAATACAAGCTCTTAGGATTTTAGTCATTGGCAAGATAAAGCTAAGGACATGATGTTTGTATAAATGACTTCCATCAAAGCAAATATCTATGAATTGATCTGTTAAAATTGAGCTCAACTCACATAAATGAGTGTGGGCATTGTTAGTCCCCATACTGGTCATTTGGGGGTGCCATTTACAATACTTTCAGGGCATTTTTAATCTAAGTTTAATTTATATTTTACTTTCTCAGATTGCTTTTAAATACCTTATGTAATATCATGTCTTTTCACACTTTCTTCCATGTCTTAGATTATAAGGAATTATTTTCACTGTTGCCAGAATGAGTAGAGAAATAAAAGTGAATTTGAACTGGTATACCTTTGTTCACTTATTTATTCATTAAATGTTTACTGTCTGTTTATCACCTGCCAGGCACCATGCTCATCTTTGTTTATGCAACAGTGACAGCAAATAGGCATTATCTTTATAGTTATGGAGCTCTAACCAAATGGGGTTGACAGGGATTCATGAAGTAACCACAGAATCAAACAAAACATTGGGAAAGAGAGGAGTGTCTGCATGAGATAAATATGTAGAGGCAGTGGAGACCTGGAAGCCAGGCTGAGTATTAGTGTCTTTATTCAGAGGGCAGAGAAAAGCCATTCAATGACTCAAAGCCAACCTTGAGATGGGGATATTACCCTTAATTATTTGGGTGGAAACGAATACAATCACAAAAGTCCTTAAAAGTAGAATAGGGAAGCAGAGTGCAAGAATCAGAGAGATGGCATGGTGTGAAGGACTCAGCCCAGTGTTGTTGACTTTGAAGCTGGTGGAAGGGCACCACCAGCCAAAGAATGCCAGAAGCCTCTAGAAACCTGAAAAGTCATGAAAATACATTCTTCCCTGGAGCCTCCAGAAAGGAGTACAGGCCTGCCTTGATTTTAGACCAGTGACACCCATTTCAGACCTCCAGAAGAGAAGACATTTATATTGTTTTAAGCATCTACACTCAAGGTAATTTGTCACAGCAGCTGTAGAAAACCAGTACATGAACTGATTTAAAACACACCAAACCTATTGCATTGGCTGAATTAGTATCCTTATTCTCAGATACAGGGAATGAGGCTCACTGAGGCTGTTGGAGTTGCTTGCTGAAGCCCACCTTCCTTGAAGGTTATGTGTGGGGTCAAAATTCTGCATCCTACAGCCAGAAAGAAAAGTGTGAATGCAAGGAGCAGTTGAGGTGCAGAAATCAACATGGTAGCTACAGCAAAGTTGAATTTGGAAGGCCTCCACATGGGAGAGGAAGGAGGGAGCATCAGCTCTTCAAGGGACTAGCTCAGGTGAAAGTAGATATTTGGGAGCTGTCAGCAGAAAAATTTTTCAAACCATGGGAATCAATGAAGTGATTCATGGAGGTGACACAGAGAGAAGATGAAAGTGCAGTGAACTCAGACATGGCAAGATTTAGGGCTAACAAAAGGGAGGGAACCCAAAAGGAGTGCCCCATGTGTCACTCTTGATGCTGCCTCCTATGAAAATATAATTGCATTGTAAAATATGTAAAGGATTTTTAGGATATGGAGGATCCCCAGGGCAGCCAAGCCTCCTTGTATTGCTGTAATGTAGCCACCCCAAGTCCCCTGACTGCTCTTCACCAAAGACCTTCAGTCATCCGTCATGCTCCGTTCTCATGTCAGCACTTTGGCACGTGCTGTGTATTCCCTGCTGGTAGAGCATTTAAGCTGCCCAATATTGTAACCATGGCCATCTTCAGCTGTTTAAATTTAAATTAATTAAAATGAAACAGAATAAAGAATTAAATTCCTCTGTTAAACAGAGGACATGTGAAATGCTTTATAGGCACAGGTGACTAGTGTTTACCACAGACAGAACATTTCCATCACACCCGCCAGTTCTGTTGGACAGGGCTGGCTGAGAACACCCTCCCACAGGTCTCTGCAGTGCCACTACCCACTGCTACACCTTCTTCAAGTCCTGACTCAGAATTGAACACACGCCAGTCGCCTTATATAAAATCAGCACTTTTTGTCAATCCACCCTACTGCCCTTACCTTCTGTTTTTTTTGTTGTTTTTGTTTTTTTGTTTTTGAGGGGGGGTGGTGGGGGACGGAGTTTTGCTCTTGTTGCCCAGGCTGGAGTGCAGTGGCGTGATCTCGGCTCACTGAAACATCCGCCTTCCGGTTTCAAGAGATTCTCTGGCCTCAGCCTCCCGAGTAGCTGGGATTACAGGCGCCTGCCACCACGCCTGGCTAATTTTTGTATTTTTAGTAGAGAGGGGGTTTCACCATGTTGGCCAGGCTGGTCTCAAACTCCTGACCTAGTGATCTGCCTGCCTCGGCCTCCCAAAGTGCTGGGATTACAGGCGTGAACCACCGTGCCCAGCCACCTTCTGTATTTATATGTGGACTTACTACGTTCTAACATAATATCTATCTTATCTATGTATTGTATTTATTCTCTGTTATTATTGGCCCCATTACTATGTAAAATTCAGGAGGGCAGCAGCCACTCCTGTGTGATTATTTCATTGCTGTTGAATGGAAGAACATGAACACACTCAGTGATTGACTTCAGCGTTGTGCATAGCCTATAATTCTTTTTTTAAAAAATAAACTCTTGATGTCTGCTATGTAAAAATTAAAACCTCTAGTACATGATTTCTCTTTTTGCTAAATGCCCGGAGTGCCCACTTTTATATCTGTTTGCTTTCTCGGATTTAAAGTTCTTCTTTTCTGGTTCCAAAGTGCTCAAAGCGACGTTCCCACTAGATCAACCCAATTTCATCAAAGAGTTTTCTCCTCTGAAAACCCCCATCAAACACTTGGCATGATGTTGGGGGACAAGATGTTAAATCACCTGCAAAATGGTGCCGTTTGGTGCCATTTCACACTCCTCGGACACACTGGGGTGATTAATAAACCCGAGACTGTCAAGGTCTGCTTTCCCACACTCATTGAGTTGCTTGCCGTTATTTTATCTTTTTTTCCCCCCACTTTATTGTCCAAAGTAAAGAAATGTACAGAAAATATTCCTCTTGCCCTGGGAATAAACGTGTTCAAAGGGTCAGTCTTCTGGCCTGTGTTTGAGAACACCAAGTCATATTTCAGTAGGGATCAGCCATACAGAAATGCCACGATGCGCTTGGTTAAGGGAAAGTGGGAAGCATACGTCCCTATCCTTTTGACAAAAGAACTTCTTTATGGCAATACATAACAGGAAATAAACGTGGATAGCCAATTCTGCAAGTGTGAAGGCAATGTTTTTGTTCTTGTGTGGATTCAATAGTATCTCATCTTTATCAAAAAAAAGGTAGGATTGAGAAACTTCTGATGATTCTCTTTTACAACAGGAATTACGAGAGATGTTGCTAGGTGTTGCCTTTCATTGTAGGGCTTTGCTTACTGTAAAAACCATGGCTAGGTTATTCTCAAGACATCTTTGGAATCATTTTGCTATGACTTTACTAATTTTTTTTTCTACTTAGTACTTGCACTTCAACACAGGTTTTCCCTTGGCAGTATATTACTTTTTTCCCTTACTTTGTTCTTAATGATTAAGTATTCAGAATTACTAATTATTATAATTATTAAGTAATCAGAATCTCACCTCCTTTGGCTCACTGTGCATTTATTGGTCACCTGTAGAGTTTCATTTCCTCTCCTTTTCTCCTCTCAAGTTCAAGAACCCCAGGCTACCTGGAATGTAACATCCGGCCTATTATTTTTGTTTGCGTGTTTTGGCATTATAGATCCCACTGTCAACCGATATCATGTGCGGTGGTTTCCTGAAGTGTGTGCCCACAACAGAACAACCGGATCAGAGGCATCATCTGGCATGACCCACGTAAGGACATGATCTCTAGGCCAACTTGATCTGTGAACATAATTAGACAGGAGGATGTACAAACTAGACATGTCAAACAGATAACTCATTCTCACAAATCAGCTATTGAGTAATGACTTGATAGAAGCGGAAAGCAGAATGGTCATTATATTCACTCATTCTTTTATCCATTCACACCATTGCACTGGGAGCTTACTCTGTTATCCACATGGAGCAAAACCTAAAGTGCAGAGACTAAAGACACAGTTCTTAAAGAACTCCCATATTTCAGGGGGAAATATGTCTGAGTATGTGTGTGCTTCATCTTAACTGGACAAAAGCTTTGAATTATTTTCTGAATTTTGACATGTCACCGTGATCTAAAGGTGTAATGGTACAAGTGGATTTCTATGTGACTCTATCATTTAGCACCATGTCCCTAACTGCCATCAGCTCAGTTAGTGAAATAATCTCCCTGTCCTGTATAGCATGCACCAATATTTTGACTTTCAACTTTAAGAGAACATTAAACTCTCTGAGGATAGCAACTCTGTCAATATTGCCCAAAATGTTATTCCAAATATTTTGGGGTTCATTCATGAATTATAGATTAGAATCAACAAACCAACACAAAATGTTTAAGAGGCCATTGTATTATACAAAGTGTATAATACACTTTTATGGAAATTTATATGTAATACCTCAGGACAGTTTAAAAAATCCAAAAACATGGCCCCAAACAGAATGTTTTGGTTTGTGACATATAACTAGAATATTTTTTTTTGAACATTTTCTAAAGCAAGCACAATATTTTAAGAACCATACCTGCTGGCATAATTTTAAGAGAGTGAGATAAAACAAGTCACTGGATTTTCAGAAATACACAGATTCTTTTTCTTTTTTACTGGACTTAATTTGTCTCATGTTCAGCAATGTTTCTCCTTTTATTTATCCTTAAATTAGCTCCAATGTTTGTGACCTTCAGTAAAATAATTAAACAGACATTCTAAATAAGGAAGTTGATTTGAAAAGCAGAGAAAGCAATAAACAGAAGCAGGAATTATTAATATTTTTGTGGGCAGAGGGGTGAGGTTTTTGTTTTACTTATATGTGTGTGCCTCAGAACCTTACAGAACTGGGCTTATGTCAATGCAATTCCCCAATCCTAGGCTTATCATCTTTAGGAACTCTGAAAGTGGTAACAACTATTTGCTGAGCAGATGTAATGTATCCGGCAGAAATAAAAATCAAACTCCAGAAAAATTATCCTTCTAGGGGTGTAGAACTTATCTGTATTTAGTTTTAAGCCTTTAGATCCAATTATTATAATTTGTTTTTATGCTACAATGGAGCATCCACTAATTCACTTACTGCTGCAGATGTCTGTCTCCTATGCAACATGAAAGCAATCTTGAAATATCTGTGAAACAGGATCCTTAATAGCTAACCTTGGATTCCAATACAGTCCCATGTAAAGAGCAGATTTATTTCCAAAGAAAAGCAATTCAGACTTCCAAAGAGACATGGAGGCCTTGGCTTGGGCTTGGGTTGGGCTTGGGTTGGTCTTGCGTTGTCCAGATTGATTTGTTTCCTATTCACTGTTTGTGCTAACTGGCTGCAGAGTTGGGTGCACCCCATCTCCTGTCACCATCTGGATGAAGGGCCAGCACACCTGGAGGTCACTCCTGGTCTCTTTTGATCATTCAGTGCTCTGTCACCTGCAGCCACTTCCACTCCTCACTTAAGTAAATCACTCAAGCCTCAGTTTTGATTTTAATTCTTGTCTCATGTTTTTCCCGTCAACCCTGCTGCTTTCTAGCAAGATCCCCTACCCATCATCCAATGAGTACCAGAGATGTTCCATCTGTACCTTTTTTTCTCTCTTAAAATAATTACACACACACACACACACACACACACACACACACATAAAAACCATGGAGTCTCACTATGTTGCCTAAACTCATCACAAACTCCT
Source organism: Homo sapiens (assembly GCF_000001405.40). Taxonomy (NCBI): domain Eukaryota; kingdom Metazoa; phylum Chordata; class Mammalia; order Primates; family Hominidae; genus Homo; species Homo sapiens. The sequence goes on from NC_000024.10 coordinate 13,904,926, forward strand.
GAGTTCAAGCAATCCTCCCACCTCAGCCTCTCAAGTAGCTAGGACTATGACACGAGTCACTATGCCCAGCTATCCATCTGCACTTTTAACATATTCATTAAGAATTGGTAAATACAAAACAGAATGGATAGGTGCCACTTAGCCAGATATAAAAGAAACAGAGATACACACCTGTTATCACAGGAAATGTCATCTTTTGACATTATCATAAAGTTATATTCTTAGCCCCTGACTTGTTACCATTTAGCCTCTTTCTTTTATTTACATTTAATCACAAATTATGGCAGAAAACTGTAACAGCACTCCAAAAAAGGGAAAAATTATATTGCTAAAGAGTATCATCATTTTTTAACAGAAAAACTTACATATAAACTAATTCTATGTCTCAGAGAAGCCTGCATTAGTTTTTTTTAACTGAAAAAAGTTAGATTTGTATTTACAGCTTTACACCACTACCTGCACTGCTACCAACTGAAAAATGCTGATTGTGACCTTAGAAGTAGCCTGCTTTGATAAGGAATTATTACAATTCTGTTTAATTCTAGAAGGCATATCCTGCAGCCATGGGAGTGTTTCACAATTGTCATTAATCAAAATGTGGACAGTATGTGCTTTGTACTTTTTATAAAAGCCATATTGCACACACTATATAGGAAAACATCCTTATTGGATGGAATATTATTTCAATTCTTGCCAGTGTTTTTTAATCCCTAATGAGATTTATTCCTAGCATAATTCTCTTTCTCTTGCTCTACGAAAGTTATATAATGCTTCAACATGTGTCATTTTCCTGCAAGTATAAGGTGACTGTCCAACCAATATGGCCAAAAGTCACTCCAAGGCAGAAGCTGTTTTCTTCACTACTCCACCATGCTCTGCTCTTAAGGGGAACAGCCACAAGCCTGTTGGCTGCCTGGGCGAAGCAGGCACATTATCACCTGAAGGACTTCTACATCTAGGTCTACGGTGTCAGCAGCGCTTTGCAAACCTTGCCAAACTGTGTTTCACAAGACCGTGAATACCAAAAGTGCCTCTCTTTCTAAGTTGTGTTATGTTGGCCCAATGTGGAGGGAAGAGATGTAGGAATGAATGTGTTACTTTAAAGCCTAACAGCCTTGGAAAGATGTCCTTTGATAGCAATGTTATCCCTTTGGAAATGAAGGCAAACATTTAGATACTGCTTGTGTTTTGGGAAAGTTTGATATAATTATTTCATTTTTCCCCACCCTTTTGCTGTGTGGGTTATACTCACACACCTTCCATGCCAACCTAGCAAACCTCACATCTGTACCTTCCATCCCCTCTCCTAGCCAAAGTCCCTGTCTTGCAGTGGGAGAAACTCTTTTAAATGCACTGGATTTGGCCAGGCATAGTAGCTCATGCCTGAAATCCCAGTACTTTGAGAGGCTGAGATGGGAGAATCACTTGAGCCCTGGAGTTCCAGACCAGCATGGGCAACATAGCAAGATCTCACCTCTAAAAAAAAAACAAAAAACAAAAAACAAAACAAAACAAAAAAAACCCTTGGATTTAATAACTCTTCTAACAGCTTTAATATTTGCCTTCTCACTGCAGTCAACGCTATTCTTTAAGAAATAGTTAAGTCTTGCCAGGGTCTAAACTGCTCTCCTGCTTCCATCTTCAAAAAAGCATTCTAAAAATGATCCCCAAAAGACTGGAAGGAGCATTTAGTACCAAGTTAAGAGTGAGGAGATTCCTACTCAACCTATCCCCATATGTCAAAGGGGGTGATTGTCTGAACCCATGTTTAAAGAACAAGATCACGTTGCTTCTATTAATATCATCCCATAGACTGGCTGCCGAAAATTCCTACAATGGATCCCATGGTGACACCTTCTTCAGTTGCCTAATCCTGGTTTTCCTTCTTGCATTGCTGCAGGTCATGTTCTTTCTAAGGTGCTAGCTAAGCCTGAGAACCTTTCTGCTTCATTCATCTTCCAGGATGTGAACACCACCAGTCACTTTACTTGGAAGATGGCCAAGGCCAATCTCTATCAGCCCATGACTGGGTTTCAAGTGACTTGGGCTGAGGTCACTACGGAAAGCAGACAGAACAGCCTACCCAACAGCATTATTTCACAGCCCCAGATCCTGCCTTCCGTACATCCCACCTCTTGTACTATGTCCGTGTCATTGGTATCTACTGCTCCTTTTTACTGACCTTCAGAGGTGGCTACCTCTGTCATTCTGTGTGCTGTACTATTGAGTCTTATTTTTGCATTTTCTTCTTCTGAGTGTATCTTTTGCAAGTATTAACACAACACAAATGTGACTGCATAGCTAAGAAGTAGCATAAGCTGCCATCTAGATAAAGTTTGATGGCTAGAGCTAACTCATGAAAAGACCTTACCCTATCTTGTATATAAGTGATTAAGCCATTTTCTTATATCTTTGTTAACCTCATGTCTCTCTGGTCCCAGTGGACATGGCCTGTTTGAAGTGTTGAGTTGGGGAGGGCGGGAATAGCTAAAAGAAGCTTGTTGTTTGTCTGTCTTCCCCCCAACTTCAAATTTGGCTCGAGGCTGTAATGAGTTGGCCTGTCTCTCAGTCCACTTAATTCCCTGGCTTCAGAAAAAAAAAATCATCTGTGGGATTTTACCTTCTCTGAAAATGCCCTTAGAATAGCCAGCTACCATTACAAAATCCAAAAAGGGGTGGTGGGGAGGGAAAGAAACACAACTTAAATCTCAGAAGGAAAAACTCCATGGAATTAGAGAGTAGTTATCCTATAAATATACTTGGTATTTTTGCATTTTGAAAAGAATGTGTTGGCATAAAAATAAACATTTTCAGTTATGGGCATTGACAGATATTGTGTTTTAAGAAAAACAGTTGGCTCATTCACTGAAATTTGGATTATCAAGAGTTCACATCACAAGATGTGCAGCTGAAGACTTTAAACCATGGGAAAGTCTTATGTTAAGGAATTAAAAAAATAAATAAAACACCAGGAGTGAGCCCTAAGAACTGGCACCTCAGCATATTTTAACTCTGCCAAGTGTCTTAGTCTGCCAAGAATTGAGTGAGGTGCTAAGAAACCATATGGCAGAGAACCCCTACAAATGAGAAATTGTCTATAAATTAAACTATGCCTGTAGAAAGCAACCAAACTTGCCTCTGTATGATATTCTCCAGTGGAGGAAAAACTGTTCTAAGCTCTCTGTGCATTGTGCATTGTCTCTGAAAGGTTGTCGGTGAGCATCCTCTTTCATATTGTCCCCTTAGGATCACTATGTCCCAACAGTGCCCAATCGGAGACCATCTACTCTTTATTGACTGGAAGTGCAAGTACTGACCCCAGGAGGGGAGGGGCCTGCCACCCTCAAGATATTCCAGATGTGGAAGCTCCCACCCTCTTCAGCACACAGTGAGTGGGGTGCCAGGGCATTAAGCCATCCTGTCAGGTCTTGTGGACATAGAGAAAAATCTTGCTGGAAAATGAAAACAAATAAATACACTATTACAGGTTTCTATGAGATAGGGAAATTGTCATCATCTGAAATTCTTTCTCCCTGTTTGTACCGACTTACTAGATTCTATTCCAGGCACCTGTAGTATACATTGCATAGTTGATGCTTAATTTTTCTTTTTTCTCCCTCCCTTCCTCTTTCCCCATTTTCTCCCTTCTTTATTCCTCCCTTGTTTCCTTCTCCACCCTCTCTCCCTCCCTTTTTCCTTCCCTCTCCTTTTCTCCTTTCCTCTATCCTTCATTTTTTTTCCTTCCTTGCACTTTTCCCTATATAATGCATGCTTTTTTCCTTGTCTTTTAAACCGTAAGCACATATGGGAAAAAAATCTGTAGTCTCATATCAATCTGAAATATTTTTAAATCAAGATTCTCAAATATCACAATATAGGAAATAATATTTTACTAAGGAACTTATGTTCTTGTTACATAGATATTACTGTAATAAATGTCATGAATTTTCTTCATGATGTGACCCAAGTCCACCTTTTTATTGCTAAATCAAGTAAAATTTAAAAAGAAAACTGTCACCTAGATTTTCAAAACAGCCTCTTGCTGATTTTTAAATTATGTACTTCTTTTACTTTACTTTCTAGCTTAAATTTTTTAAAAAAGTGTCTGATGATTAGTGTGTGGATAAAACATTGAGAATTAGTCACAGTTTTAACTCTGGTTTTTTTAAATGATAGGTTAGTATGCTTATAATTGATAACTTGTTATGCTTATAATTTGAAGAAAAACAAAAACTATCACAATGGAAGAGCTTGATAGCCTCTAAAATTTTTGTTGGATAAATGCTTTTCTGATATTCCTTCATAGAAATTCCATTTAACAGGGCTTTAAGATTCTTCTCCGGAAATAGAAGATGGCCAAATAGGAACAGCTCTGGTCTACAGCTCCCAGCGTGAGAGATGCAGAAGATGGGTGATTTCTGCATTTCCATCTGAGGTACCAGGTTCATTTCACTAGGGAGTGCCAGACAGTGGGTGCAGGACAGTGGGTACAGCACACAGTACATGAGCCAAAGCAGGGCGAGGTATTGCCTCACTTGGGAAGTGCAAAGGGTCAGGGAGTTCGCTTTCCTAGTCAAAGAAACGGGTGACAGACGGCACCTGGAAAATTGGGTCACTCCTAGCTGAATACTGCACTTTCCCGAGGGGCTTAGGAAACAGCGCACCAGGAGATTATATCCCGCACATGGCTTGGAGGGGCCTATGCCCATGAAGTCTCACTGATTGCTAGCGCAGCAGTCTGAGATCAAACTGCAAGGTGGCAGCAAGGCTGGGGAGGGGCACCTGCCATTGCCCAGGCTTGCTTTGGTAAACAAAGCAGCAGGGAACCTTGAACTGGGTGGAGTCCACCACAGCTCAAGGAGGCCTGCCTGCCTCTGTAGCCTCCACCTCTGGGAGCAGGGCACAGACAAACAAAAAGACAGAAGTTACCTCTGCAGACTTAAATGTCCCTGTCTGAAAGATTTGAAGATAGCAGTGATTCTCCCAGCACGCAGCTGGAGATCTGAGAATGGGCAGACTGCTTCCTCAAGTGGGTCCCTGACCCCTGACCCCTGAGCAGCCTAACTGGGAGATATCCCCAGTAGGGGCAGACTGACACCTCACACAGCTGGGTACTCCCCTGAGACAAAACTTCCAGAGGAACGATCAGACAGCAGCATTCACGGTTCACAAAAATCCACTGTTGTGCAGCCACCGCTGCTGATACCCAGGCAAACAGGGTCTGGAGTGGACCTCCAGCCAACTCCAACAGACCTGCAGCTGAAGATCCTGTCTGTTAGAAGGAAAACTAACAAACAGAAAGGACATCCACACCAAAAACCCATCCGTACATCACCATCATCAAAGACCAAAAGTAGATAAAACCACAAAGATGGGGAAAAAACAGAGCAGAAAAACTGGAAACTCTAGAAAGCAGAGCACCTCTCCTCCTCCAAAGGAATGCAGTTCCTCACCAGCAATGGAACAAAGCTGGATGGAGAATGACTTTGACCAGTTGAGAGAAGAAAGCTTCAGATGATCAAACTACTCCGAGCTACAGGAGGAAATTCAAACCAAAGGCAAAGAAGTTAAAAACTTAGAAAAAAAATTAGACAAACTTATAACTAGAATAACCAATACAGAGAAATGCTTAAAGGAGCTGATAGAGCTGAAAGCCAAGGCTTGAGAACCACATGAAGAATGCAGAAGCCTCAGGAGCCAATGTGATCAACTGGAAGAAAGGGTATCAGTGATGGAAGATGAAATGCATGAAATGAAGTGAGAAGGGAAGTTTAGAGAAAAAAGAGTAAAAATAAACGAACAAAGCCTCCAAGAAATATGGGACTATGTGAAAAGACCAAAAGTATGTCTGATTGCTGTACTTGAAAGTGACAGGGAGAATGGAACCAAGTTGGAAAACACTTTGCAGGATATTATCCAGGAAAAGTTCCCCAATCTAGCAAGGCAGGCCAACATTCAGATTCAGGAAATACAGTGAATCCCACAAAGATATTCCTTCACAAGAGCACCTCCAAGACACATAATTGTCAGATTCACCAAAGTTGAAATGAAGGAAAAAATGTTAAAGGCAGCCAGAGAGAAAGGTCAGGTTACCCACAAAGGGAAGCCCATCAGACTAACAGCAGATCTCTCGGCAGAAACTCTACAAGCCAGAAGAGAGTGGGGGCTAATATTCAACATTCTTAAAGAAAAGAATTTTCAACCCAGAATTTCATACCCAGACAAACGAACCTTCAAAAGTGAAGGAGAAATAAAATACTTTACAGACAAGCAAATGCTGAGAGATTTTGTCACCACCAGGCCTGCCCTAAAAGAGCTCCTGAAGGAAGCACTAAACATGGAAAGGAACAACCGGTACCAGCCACTGCAAAATCATGCCAAATTGTAAAGACCATCAAGCCTAGGAGGAAACTGCATCAACTAATGAGCAAAATAACCAGCTAACATCATAATGACAGGATCAAATTCATACATAACTATATTAACTTTAAATGTAAATGGACTAAATTCCCCAATTAAAAGACATAGACTGGCAAATTGGATAAAGAGTCAGGACCCATCAGTGTGCTGTATTCAGGAAACCCATCTAACGTGCAGACACACGTAGGCTCAAAATAAAAGGATGGAGGAAGATCTACCAAGCAAATGGAAAAAAAAAGGCAGGGATTGCAATCCTAGTGTCTGATAAAACAGATTTTAAACCAACAAAGACCAAAGGAGACAAAGAAGGCCATTACATAATGGTAAAGGGATCAATTCAACAAGAAGAGCTAACTATCCTAAATATATATGCACCCAATACAGGAGCACCCAGATTCATAAAGCAAGTCCTGCGTGACCTACAAAGAGACTTAGACTCCCACGCAATAATAATGGGAGACTTTAACACCCCACTGACAACATCAGACAGATCAACGAGACAGAAAGTTAACAAGGATACCCAGGAATTGAACTCAGCTCGGCACCAAGTGGACCTAATAGACATCTACAGAACTCTCCACCCCAAATCAACAGAATATACATTTTTTTCAGCACCACATCACACCTATTCCAAAATTGACCACATACTTGGAAGTAAAGCTCTCCTCAGCAAATGTAAAAGAACAGAAATTATAACAAACTGTCTCTCAGACCACAGTGCAATCAAACTAGAACTCAGGATTAAGAAACTCACTCAAAACGGCTCAACTACATGGAAACTGAACAACCTGCTCCTGAATGACTACTGGGTACATAATGAAAAGAAGGCAGAAAGAAAGATGTTCTTTGAAACCAACCAGAACAAAGACACACATACCAGAATCTCTGCGACACATTCAAAGCAGTGTGTAGAGGAAAATTTATAGCACTAAATGCCTACAAGAGAAAGCAGGAAAGATCCAAAATTGACATCCTAATGTCACAATTAAAAGAACTAGAAAAGCAAGAGCAAACACTTTCAAAAGCTAGCAGAAGGCAAGAAATAACTGAAATCAGAGCAGAACTGAAGGAAATAGAGACAAAAAAAAAACCCTTCAAAAAATTAATGAATCCAGGAGCTGGTTTTTTGAAAGGATCAACCAAATTGATAGACCGCTAGCAAGACTAATAAAGAGGAAAAGAGAGAAGAATCAAATAGATGCAATAAAAAATGATAAAGGGCAGATCACCACTGATCCGACAGAAATACAAACTACCTTCAGAGAATACCACAAACACCTCTATGCAAATAAACTAGAGAATCTAGAAGAAATGGGTAAATTCCTGGACACATACACCCTCCTGAGACTAAACCAGGAAGAAGTTGAATCACTGAATAGACCAATAACAGGCTCTGAAATTGGGGCAATGATCAATAGCTTAGCAATCAAAAAGAGTCCAGGACCAGATGGATTCACAGCCCAATTCTACCAGAGGTACAAGGAGGAATGGGTACCATTCCTTCTGAAACTATTCCAATCAATAGAAAAAGAGGGAATCCTCCCTAACTCATTTTATGAGGCCAGCATCATCCTGATGCCAAAGCTGGGCAGAGACACAACCAAAAAAGAGAATTTTAGACCAAATATCCTTGATGAACATTGGTGCAAAAATCATCAATAAAATACTGGCAAACCAAATCCAGCAGCACATCAGAAAGCTTATCCACCATGATCAAGTGGGCTTCATCCCTGGGATGCAAGGCTGGTTCAATATATGCAAATCAATAAATGTAATCCAGCATATAAACAGAACCAAAGACAAAAACCACATGATTATCTCAATAGATGCAGAAAAGGCCTGTGACAAAATTCAACAACGCTTCATGCTAAAAACTCTCAATAAATTAGGTATTGATGGGAAGTATCTCAAAATAATAAGAGCTATCTATGACAAACCCACAGCCAATATCATACTGAATGGGCAAAAACTGGAAGCATTCCCTTTGAAAACTGGCACAAGACAGGGATGCCCTCTCTCACCACTCCTATTCAACATAGTGTTGGAAGTTCTGGCCAGAGCAATTAGGCAGGAGAAGGAAATAAAGGATATTCAATTAGGAAAAGAGGAAGTCAAATTGTCCCTGTGTGCAGACAAAATGATTGTGTATCTAGAAAACCCCATTGTCTCAGCCCAAAATCTCCTTAAGCTGATAAGCAACTTCAGCAAAGTCTCAGGATACAAAATCAATGTACAAAAATCACAAGCATTCTTATACACCAATAACAGACAAACAGAGAGCCAAATCATGAGTGAACTCCCATTCACAATTGCTTCAAAGAGAATAAAATACCTACAAATCCACCAGACAAGGGACGTGAAGGACCTCTTCAAGGAGAACTACAAACCACTGCTCAAGGAAATAAAAGAGGATACAAACAAAGAACATTCCATGCTCATGCGTAGGAAGAATCAATATTGTGAAAATGGCCATACTGCCCAAGGTAATTTATAGATTCAATGCCATCCCCATTAAGCTACCAATGACTTTCTTCACAGAATTGGAAAAAACTACTTTAAAGTTCATATGGAACCAGAAAAGAGCCCGCATCACCAAGTCAATCCTAAGTCAAAAGAACAAAGCTGGAAGCATCATGCTACCTGACTTCAACCTATACTACAAGGCTACAGTATCCAAAACAGCATGGTACTGGTACCAAAACAGAGATATAGATCAATGGAACAGAACAGAGCCCTCAGAAATAACACCGCATATCTACAACTATCTGATCTTTGACAAACCTGAGAAAAACAAGCAATGGGGAAAGGATTCCCTATTTAATAAATGGTGCTGGGAAAACTGGCTAGCCATATGTAGAAAGCTGAAACTGGATCCCCTCCTTACACTTTATACAAAAATTAATTCAAGATGGATTAAAGACTTAAACGTTAGTCCTAAAACCATCAAAACCCTAGAAGAAAACCTAGACATTACCATTCAAGACATAGGCATGGGCAAGGACTTCATGTCTAAAACAGCAAAAGCAATGGCAGCAAAAGCAATGTCAACAAAAGCAAAATTTGGCAAATGGGATCTAATTAAACTAAAGAGCTTCTGCACAGCAAAAGAAACTACCATCAGAGTGAACAGGTAACCTACAAAATGGGAGAACATTTTCACAACCTACTTATCTGACAAAGGGCTCATATCCAGAATCTACAATGAACTCAAACAAATTTACAAGAAAAAAACAAACAACCCCATCAAAAAGTGGGCAAAGGACATGAACAGACACTTCTCAAAAGAAGACATTTATGCAGCCAAAACACACATAAAAAAATGCTCACCATCACTGGCCATCAGAGAAATGCAAATCAAAACCACAATGAGATACCATCTCACACCAGTTAGAATGGCAATCATTAAAAAGTCAGGAAACAACATGTGCAGAGGATGTGGATAAATAGGAACACTTTTACACTGTTGGTGGGACTGTAAACCAGTTCAACCATTGTGGAAGTCAGTGTGGCGATTCCTCATGGATCTAGAACTAGAAATACCATTTGACCCAGCCATCCCATTACTGGGTATATACCCAAAGGACTTTAAATCATGCTGCTATAAAGACACATGCACACGTATGTTTATTGTGGCACTATTCACAATAGCAAAGACTTGGAACCAACCCAAATGTCCAACCATGATAGACTGGATTAACAAAATGTGACACACATACACCATGGAATACTATGCCATAAAAATGATGAGTTCATGTCCTTTGTAGGGACATGGATGAAATTGGAAATCATTATTCTCAGTAAACTATCGCAAGAACAAAAAATCAAACACCGCATGTTCTCACTCATAGGTGGGAATTGAACAATGAGATCACATGGACACAGGAAGGGGAACATCACACTCTGGGGACTGTGGTGGGGTGGGGGGAGGGGAGAGAGATAGCATTAGGTGATATACCTAATGCTGAATGATGAGTTAATAGGTGCAGCACACCAGCATGGCACATATATACATATGTAACTAACCTGCACATTGTGCACATGTACCCTAAAACTTAAAGTATAATAATAATAAAATTAAAAAAAAGAAATTCCATTTAACAAAAGTATTTGATAATTTTTAAAACTTGTTTGAGCAAATAAAAAAGGATTATGGTTTGATTGGATAAGTGTGAGCTTAAGGAAAAGAGCTTTTCTTCTTTTTCTTGTTATTTTATGGTTTGGGAAGGCATCAAAGAGGAAGAGAAAAACAGGAAAAGGAGAGAAGGAGTGTGGTTGTACACTCAGATTGGTAATAGGAAAGACATGGTCATAGGAAGGAACATTTGCCAGGGTCTCGTGCTTTTTCTACAAATAAAAGTAATTCTGTCATTTATTTGATACATATAAATGGATGTGACTGACATATTTTGTCACTTTTTAGGATCTCATCTTATGCATCATCATCCACATCATTACAAGCCTTCTCCAGAAAGATACTAAACTGTTCAAAAAGATTTTTTAAAATTGCACAGATGTGTAAGCTTGTTGAACTTCGGCCACAAGACATGCATACTTCCAGAGGCAGTGGTAACTGCTCAGAGGCCCGGACTCTCCTATGTGACTTTAGTGCAGGAAGAACTTCTGTCAATCACGGACGCATCTGGAGACAAGTGAGAAACAGTAGATTGGTGAAGACAGACACCAGTTCCCTACAAACATGGAGAAAATGAAGAATAGGCCTTTTTAATGCTAAATTTTGTTTTCATGTATGGTGTCGCTCATTTCTATTGAATTACAACAGAGCTCAGTTTTCCCTGAATTTGGAGCACCAAATTCTGCCCCAAAAAGTAGAGTAACAAATACACAATTCACTCATAATGCTAAGCATAAATCTAATCAATAAAATATATTTTGACTAAATTATTGATACGATATGAAAAATCAACTAAGATTATACAGCTTTGTTTATTCAAATCTTTCCTAAGATCATTTTTATCTTAGGTGATTTTTAAATGAAAATGTGTAATCTAAAATATACCAGTGAATTTAAATCTAAAAACGCTCCTACTTTAAGTACCTTATGCTGCTCTTTATGCAAAGGTAAATCAAAGTTCCCTCTATAAATTGTGATTTACAAAAGACAGCCAAGCCAAAGGAACTCAATGAAATAAGCCGCTAACCAGATTTTACCTTGGAGAAATGAAAATTATTTCTTGAGGATGCCTTTTAATATTTGATTCCATTATGTGAGAGATTTTCCTGATATGTTATCTTATTTATATTTTCCCGTATTTTCCTCAATGCTGCTAATAGCTTTTGCTGCACTTTTGTTTCACCATCTGAAAATTCACAAAACTTCTTGCTTCAAATGAAAAAATCCCAACTATTGAGCATGTTTAAATCTTTGCAGAGATTTGCCTTTTCTTAATCAAAGAAAGGTCTTTGTGTGCTAGAATATTATTGGTAATGTTTAAAAAAGGCCTTTGATTGATAGAGAAGGACAGTTATTTGCATTTAATTCACCCATATGCTTTCAAATCTATTATATCTTACTTTTTGGAAATTTTTTATGCTACAGATTAGTGCCTTGTAGCACAAACTTAAGTCAAAACATGTTATCAATATAGACTGTTGCAGTGTATATTATAACAACCTAAAACGCAGAGAAGTTTAATTTGATACTGTTTTTTTTCTTGAAGGAATACTCACATACATGGTTTGAAATGTGCATAGATATGCATGTCTATATAATTATAAATGCATGTGTATATGTATATGCAAATATATGTACATATACATATATATACACACAGACACATGCATATACATAAATATACCTTGAGCATGAATCCCTGCAGAAATCGTTTTCATAGCTCACCAATGGTGAGTAAAGATACAGCTCTTTTAAAGGTTATAAGGATAATATATTTTCCCCATCAATGCTGATTCTGAGAAAAGAGCAATTTATCAAAATTGAACACTGTAAAAGAAAGGTGTCCACATGTCTTTACCTACATAAGTAAAACAGGAAGAAAATCAGTAACATTATCCTTAGGTTTTGACAATGGTACTTGCTTCTTGTTGTTTTATTATTTCCTGAATTCATGCAGATGCCTGGCCATTCCTGGGAAGAGTGGATAACCCAGAAATCACTGTACTCCACAGAGCCTCACTGCAGTGTCTAAAAGCAGATGCAAATTAAAATGCAGGGAAAATAACTTTTCTGATGTTGATGCGTGTCATTAGGAAACACATTTATAAACATGGATACCTGATAATAGATATTGAAACCCATTTCCTGTGTGTTAAAATATTTAAAAAGTGAATATTCCAGGAATGTTTTGCAGCTTTGTACAAGTAACATAAATTGGACACCTCAGAATGAAAGTTCATGTTGGTTCTGAATGGTTCGCTGCAGCTCTTGTCACAGGCTGGGATGGATTTATCACACTGAGTTGTGAAATTACCTGGTTCTAAGAATTTTTGAGTGGCAAAAATAGAAAACAGTCTTCATTTGAAAACATCCCTAAGCTTGAATAAATGGATACCATAGATAGCTTCTCTAAAACTATGTTTTAGTCTGGTGTCATTACCAGCACCTGAATTTCAAGTTCTTAAAATTTCAAAAATTAAAATTTTTCATTATTGGCTATCCATTGATCTTTTGCATGAACTTGTCATGAACAAATCCAAATGTTTATGCCAGCAAATTTCTGTACTATTACATAGTGAAAAATGCTGGGAGTCTATACATAGATACAAAATATTATTAAATTATTACATAAATTTAATTTTATAAATTTAATCATGCTTCTTTTGTCTGGGTAATAGACATTGGACAGATATTTTTAGTTCAGATGGTGATTCTGAAGCTTACATCTCCCTTAAAAGAATCTAAAGCATCTCTTGTGGGCTTCTAATTTTGATATAAATAAATAATTTAAATTTTATTGGTGTTATTGGAAGAAAAATGCTATTAATAGGCTAGTAAAAAATGTGTTTCTCTTATGGATTTTAATAAGCTCCAGTATTATTCAAATGATCAAAAATATAGTTACAATTTTTTGAATTTTAAAAATGTGATGGCTCTAATAAAGGATAAAATCTATGCTTTTTAACAAACATAGTTTTGGTGCCTAATTCTGTAATACATTTTATTGAAATTAGATTCATTTCTCTAATGTGAGAAAAATATATCCAGTAATAGTATTGACTGTTTAAAAAATTGAGCTCATCAAAAATATTGTCATCAAATACAGGTGGTTAATTTGATATACATTGCAGTTACATGTTTTATTTTTATTTACAACATTTGCTCCTTAATGATGAATTTATCTGTGTTACCCTGTTTTTCTACCTGGAACTCCATAGAATGATGTTTGCAAACCAACATGTGCTCTTTTCAGTGTTTTAATATGAGATAGTAGAGAAGATAAGGTTTATGGCAGTAATTTTTTGTAATGTGTATTAAACGAAGTTCAAAGATTAGAAATACATCTGTGTCCTGAAAATCTTAGATACATAGCCGATTGTATACAGAGGTTCATCTCAAACTCAACACTATTGACTTTTGGGGCTGGATAGTTCTCTGTTGTGGGGGTTTGTCTTGTGCACTGTAGGTTTTTAGTAGCATCCACACTTTCTCCTCACCAGATGCCAGTTGCACCCTCCCCCAAGTTGAGACAACCAAAAATGTCTCCAGATATTGCCAGCTACTCCTTGAGGGATGGTACCTCTGGTTGAGAACCATTGCTAGAGAATGATGTTTACTGAATAGATGAGAATTTGCCCTTTATAAGAAACCCAGTAAATTTCTAGAGCAAAAACTAAGGGACAGCTAAGAAGTTATTATGGTTGACTTCAAAAGCCTCAACTGTGTCTTTTATGTCCACTAAACAACTTAATTAAAAGATGGAATTTTGACTCGTGTCTGTATCATACAAGTACAAATAGTAATTTTGCCCTATGTATGTGTAAATGTTATTTGTGATATTGTCTTATTTATTTAATGCCCTTTCTTATGCCGTGGGTTTTCAAGTTTACTCATTTCTATGGTTGCAAATAACTCTAAAACTTATTATATAAACTTTCATATTATAGGCAGAACACAATGGCTAAATATCTGTTTCATGTACTTCAAAGTTTATTATAAGATATATTATAATTATAATATATTATAATATATATATTATATATTATATATATATAATATAATATATTATAAGATATATTATAAACAGATATATAAAGATGTTGACTCTTACCTGTGATTTTGCATGGCCAGACTCGGTGTCAGGTACAGAAAGGATGGTCATGACTGTCTTACCTCTACTGAATATTTTAGCGAGTTATATGATTTACGGAGTGATTAACAGAGGTCTACATAAAGTTACTTTTCCCCTTTACTTAATTATATTGTAGTGTGCAGATAAAAAAACTACTACCTTCTCATCCAAGTGGTCTGTAGAATTCATGTTCCTTACAGTGGTCATTTAAAGTCAATATTTATTTATTTATGTATGTAATAAAAAAAGTTGGATTTTTGTGTATGTCTGTCATGTTATTTAGAGAGAAGTAATCTTGTAAAAATGTTTTGTAAAAAACAAAAAAATTGTAAATAGTCTTGATATTCTGTGACTCATTATTTTTATGTTAGAGTTTGTACAAACTGGTTCAATAATAAAGTATCCATAAACCACACCAAGGAGTCGACTCATTTATTTCTTAAAGAAACATTTTTGCTGGGCAAGTGGCATGCACCTGTAGTCTCAGCTACTCAGGAGACTGAATTAGAAGGATCACTTGAGTCCTGAATGTTTGAGACCAGCCTGGGCAACATAGCAAGGCCCTGTCTCCAAACTTAAAGAAAAAAAAAGAAAAGAAACTTTATTGAATTTAAGAAGAAAAATGGACAGTTCCTGCTGCCAAGGAGATTCAAAAGCTCTCTTTCCATGTCAGTGTTAATGGAATTTGAGGTCTGGTAAATGTTAACAAGACAGCACTTCATCCTAATGAAAGTATATTGGAGTTTGACAACCAACACTTTAGGTTTCTATCATCATGTTTACAATTGTAACTCCTGATGGTTTCAGTGGTATATTAAGTCAAGGATATACAATTTTAAGCTGTTTTTCTTTTGCCACCAATATTTACTCCTAAAATTGTAGGATATGCAATGCCAATAAGCATTCACCTATATTTCAATCCTACTCAATTGTTTTTCAATACTACGTACTACACTATAAGCCTTTAAATCTCCATTATCTAAATAGAGTTTTGAGAGGCTTGTACATCCCCACTTTGACATGCAATTGACCCATAACTGCTGATGAGTTGGAAAAAATGCCTAAGGAAAAAAAGCATAAGAAATAAAGGCTTTTAGGGTATTCACTGAAATTATAAATATTGTACCCATTAAGTAATTTCTTTTTCCTCCCACTCTCCCAGCCTCTGACCCTCCCACTCTTCCAAGTGTTTATTGTCAATTATCCTACATTCTATGTCCATGTGTACACCTTATTTAGTTCCCAATTATAAATGAGAACATGTGGCATTTGTCTTTTTGTGTCTGCGTCATTTCAGTTAAGATAATGGCCTCCATTCCATCCATGTGGCTGCAAAAGACATGACTGCATTCTTGTTTATGGCTGAATAATATTCCATTGTGTATATAGGGACCACTTATATGCTGTTGGTCATAATGTAAATTAACATGACCTCTATGGAAAACAATGTGGAGATTTCTCAAAGAACTAAAAATAGAACTACCATTTGACCTAGCAGTCCCACTACTGGGTATCTACCTAGAGAAAAAGCAATCATTATATGAAAAAGAATACATGTTTATCACAGCACTATTCACAATAGTAGAGATATGGAAGCAGCTTATCAAGGCTCTCAGTGGAGGATTGCTTGACAATTTTATGCCATCTTGAGGTTACAGAAAGAATGGAGGCTTGGATCTTGGCAACACAATTTATGGGAGGGAGAGAAGAGAAGTCCTGACTAGCAAAGGTGGTTTTGTTACGCAGATGAAACCTCCCAGGTCGCAGCCTTTAGAGAGAATCGATGGTGACTGTTTCTTTCAGACCTTAAAGGTGTTAGGCTTTTAGTTAATTTTTCCTAGATCCAGACACGGGGGCAGGGAGTGGGTGTCAGAGAAAGCCTGGCTGCAGAAATGCATCAATGCAGATTTTCTCTACATCTACAGATGCAAATTTCCCCCACAAAAGACGGCTTTGTAGGGCTGTTATTTTCAGGCCCTCTGAACAGCCATCTCTAAATATGTCAAAGAAGGGTTATTTGGGGGTGAAATATTTTGATTTCTTTCAATGGCTGCTGCCACACCTTACAGCATGAGCACCCATGCAAGTGGCCCCAGGCTTGATTCTTCCCAGTCCCTGAGGCCTGAAATTCCTGGGAGTTTTCCTGGGAGTTCTTATCCACTCATTGTTTGAGGCTTCACCCAGCCAATCAGCTGCACAGCTTGGGCACCTCACACTGGTCTCCAACCTCCATTCTTCATCAAAGATCAGAGAAGCTGGGGCTGCTGACCCAGAGATCGGGCTTGAAGTTTGCAATAAGAATCCAACTTCCTTCACATTATTTTACTTCTTGAGCTACACCACAGGGTAAACAGTTTCTCAGGGCCAGTGGAGTGTCCTGGCAGGGACTGAAAACCCAAGAAATATTTTTAGTATTGTTTCCATTGGGGAGGTTTTTTTTTACACAAATGAGTCCTGAGAATACAGCTTTGTTGTAAATTGGAGACAACTTTTACATATACCACCCATTGACGGAGCATGGTATCAAAGGAGGAAAAGCTGTAGGGGGATACAAGAAAAATTTTAAAAAAGAGTAAGAGGCCAAGCATGATGGCTCACACCTGCAATCCCAGCAGTTTGGGAGGCTGAGGTGGGAGGATCACTTGGTGCCTGCCTGGGCAACATAAAGAGACCCCACCTCTGCAAAAAAAAAATGGCAAATTAGCTGGACATGGTAGTGCACACCTGTAGTCCCAGCTACTTGGGTGGCTGAGGAAGGAGAATCGCTTGAGCTCATGAGGTATTGGCTGCAGTGAGCTATGATCACATGATTGAGCTCCAGCCTGGATGACAAAATGAGACCCTGTCTAAAAAAAAAAAATAATAAAAATAGTGCCTTCTCTTGTGCGGAAACACAGAAAGTGTGCCTGCCTATCCTTTCTCTGCCTTGGTATTCCCACCTAATAAGGATTTTGCCACTCACTTCATGGTTACTGTGAAGATGGTCATGTAACAGTGCTTGGAAAAATCCAAGTGTGTGTGTGTGTGTGTGTGTGTGTCTAAAAATGTCAGATGGAAGACACCAAAAGCAATGACAACAAAAGTAAAAGTTGGCAAATAGGATCTAATTAAACTTAAGAGCTTCTTCATAGCAAAAGAAACTGCCAACATAGTAAATAGACAAACTAGAGAATGGGAGAAAATATTTGCAACTTATGCATCTAACAAAGGTCTTATACCCAGCATCCAGCACCGATAAGGAACTTAAACAAACGTACAAGAAAAAAATCTCATTAAAGAGTGGGCAAAGGATATGAACAGACACTTTTCAAAAGAAGACATACATGTGGCCAACAAGCATATACAACAAAGCCCAATATCACTGATCATTAGAGAAATGCAAATCCAAACCTCAATGAAAGATCATCTCACACCAGGCAGAATGGGTGTTTTATTAAAAAGAAAAAAACAACAGGTACTGGCAAGGCTGCAGAGAAAAGGGAATACTTATACACTGTTGGTGGGGGTGTAAATTAGTTCAACCATTGTGAACAACAGTGTGGCAATTCCTCAAAGAGCTAAAAGCAGAAATACCATTTGACCCAGCAATCCCATTACTGGATATATTTCCAAAGAAATATACATCATTCTACCATAAGACACATGCATGTAAATGTTCACTGCAGCACTATTGACAATCACAAAAACATAGAATCAACCTAAATGCTCATCACTTGTAGACTGTATAAAGAAAATACGGTACATACACACCATGGAATACTACGCAGCCACAAAAAAGAAAAAGATTATCTCCTTTGCAGGAACATAGATGGCCCTGGAGGCCATCATCCTTAGGAAACCAACACAGGAACAGAAAAGCCAATACCACATGTTCTCACTTATAAGTGGGAGCTAAATGATGAGAACACATGAACACAAAAAGGGGAAGAACAGATACTGGGACCTACTTGAGGGTGGAAGGTGGGAAGAGGGACAGGATCAGGAAAAATAACTAATGAGTACTAGGCTTAGTACATAGGTGATGGAATAATCTGTACAACAAACCTCTGTGACAAGAGTTTACCCATATAACATACTTGCATATGTACCCCTGAACCTAAAATAAAACTTAAAAGAAGAAAAAGAAAATGGAATTAATCAGATAAAAAAATTAAAATGCCAAATCACTAAGGTGGGGGAGTGGAAGGTTTGTAATCCCTAAAACAATTTAGAGCAAGTAATAGAAAATTGAGTTGGTCGTATTTGTACCAATGCTTCTTGATATTCAATCCCTGGCAGTGACGGAATGAAATTTAGAATAAGATGAGGAAAGTGAGCAGTTTATGTAAGATCTGTGTAATAGAAGGTTCTAATCTACAGAGAACACAGTGAGAAGAATTTGCAAAAGCAAAATCTAAGAATGGAAACAAAATAGAATGAAGAGGGCATTTAGAAAGTAAGGCAAAGAAAGAATAAGATAAGGGTGGGGAGAGAAGGACAGACCATGAAACCAAAGACATAAGTATTGAAGACTACAATTCGTTTGCATCATAACTAAGGGCCAGAGGTCTGATTTAGATGCCACAGCAAATTTTGAAATGGGAACACGATAGAGTTAATATTATTGAGTAAATGTTACATATATTCTATATATGAAATTGAAGTAGTTGGGAGAACTAGAACTGATAAGGAACAATGTGGAGTCCAAGGCTCCCTGCGTTTTGTGAAATTTAAATTCAAATCCAAGCCTTATGTCATTTGCCAATCTTCTTTAAAGGAGTCTCTCCCTCTTTCTTTTTTTTTTTAACTTTGTATTTTGAGAAAATTGTAGACTCACATGCAATTATAAGAAATAATAGAGATTATGAATTATCCTGAACACTTCATTTAGTTTCCCACAATGGTGACATCTTTCAAAACTACAGTATAGTATCACAACCAGGAAATTGACATTGATACAAACCATATCCTTTATTCAGATCTCATAGGTTTGATATACACACAGTATTGTGTGTGTAGGTGTTTGCATGTACCTGGTTCTATTCAATTTTACACGCAAATTATTTGCAATCTGTTTACACAAATGAGTCGTTGTGTTTTAAGTAGATAAACCTCTGAGGGACACAGAATGACTTAAAGAAATTAGTTTTCAGGAGGTATGGCATATTTTTGCACATTTCCCCAGGGCTGAGTGCAACTTACTTTGTGCTGATTTTAACTTTAACATTCTAGGAATGATCTACTCAATATGCATGTGATGCCATCTTCAATTTCTGTCAGTGAATTGTTTTCATAAAGTGGCCGAGCACATAACAAGTCTGTTTAGAAAAATCCATCTTGTCAAAGGAAACAAGATGTTTGAATATGGAAAATCTATAGATTTGAAAAATGAGTTCACTGAGAGAAATCCTGGTGCACATTTGTAGTCTAGACATGGATTTGAGAAAAGAAAAAGAACAGTGAAATCCTTTATTGGTTGGAAAACTAAAGATTGCCCAAAGTAGAAAGAATAATCGAGTTTCAGATTAAGGTAATACTTAAAGATTGAGTTTTGCACAATTGACTCTGATTATTAGCATGACTCTGACCCTGGGTCAGAGGCTTTCAAAACTGGCTGCCTAATAGAACTCCCAGGGGAGATTTTAAGAAGTCCAGTGTCCTCTGGCACCTAAAGATCAGGAAAGAAGTATCGACATTGCACACTAGTGCTAGTTTAAAGGGTCCCCAGGTGATTCTAATATGTGCCCAGTGCCACAAACTACTCTTCCAGACCACGAGAAGCTATTGAATGATAAATGTTAGAAACATTCCTACTTGCAGAGCTGAAGAAGCAAAAAGTCATATTGAAGCATCGCATTTTTATCTCAGTGCACCAGAATATACTGAAGTTTTTCTCCTCAAATTCCCTGGATTAAGTTATATATAAAGATGTAGATGCAGACATGAAAATGCATGCAAATACATACACATGTAGATAAATATAGATAAAGCTATCAAAGGCATCTTCCTTTCAATCTTCTTTTGAGTATAATTCGGAATTTATCCTGAGAAATACTGATAAAATATAGGGCTAGGCAAATATAATTTGGGATGCTGTAGAGTGTTATTAGTAGAAACGACTTCTCTTTTCTGAGCCTTGTGAAATAGCTTTCAAGGGGCAGCTGGTAGTGATTTAAGGGCAGTCACAGAGACAGCCAATTAGAGTTAATCAGTCATTATATTTACAGCATCAGACTATCATGCAATACAAAACGGATGCCGACTTGACCTTTTCATCCCCTATATTTCCTTCCCCATCTCAAACAGCAGCCAATCTTATGCAATTGGCTTCATTATGAATAATGGGAAGCATCTTACATTCCTTTGTAGGGTGGTCCAAGTCAGTATGGCATAGGATGGTTCACAAGGCCCTGTCTTTAGCTTTTTGTAGTTTACTTGAGAGACCACTAATAGAATTAACCTCTACAGCTAATATTTACTGAGGAACCACTAATTGTAAGGTACACTAAGTTTATTACTGACATTCCTTCATTCATTTCTACAGCCACCCTATGGCTGGCCATATTTTAAAGCTGAGGACAGTGAGGCAAAGATCATTTAAACCAATAGCCCAGGCTGGTTGTGGTGGCTCATGCCTGTAATCCCAGACTTTTGGGAGGCCAAGGCAGGTGGATCACCTGAGGTCGGGTGTTCGAGACCAGCCTGGCCAACATGGCAAAACCCCCTCTCTACTAAAAATACAAAAATTAGCCGGGCATAGTGGCATGGCCTGTAATCCCAGCTACTAGGGAAGCAGAGGCAGGAGAATCCCTTGAACCCAGGAGGCAGAGGTTGCAGTGAGCCAAGATTGCACCACTGCAGACTGGGTGACAGGGTGAGACTCCATCAAACAAAACAAAACAAAACAAAACAAAAAAACAGTAGCCCAAAGTCATATAGCTACCTAGTGGCAGAGCCTGAAAATAAGCCCAGGCCATTGAGTTCCGGTGTCCTTGTAGTTAACCGTTAATCTTTTCTGCCTGTCAGACTGTCCTCCAATAAGGGCAAGTAGCAAAAGATACTACATAGTTTGTAGCAAGTAAGCACATGGTTTTATATATGTGTATATAAATGTATGGGTAAATATGCATATGTGTATGAAATATTCTGTATACATGCATAGATGATATATGTGTGAAATATGCTATACTTCTGCATGAAATACTATTTATATGCAGAGTACTATGTATTATATATATGCATGAGATACTATATATATTAGAATATTATATATCATAAAATATGTTGTATGTGTGTATAAATACTGTGTATATATGTATGGAATACTATGCATATAAGTATGAAATTTGATATACATATGAAATGTATATGATAGTAAATGTATAGGATACTAAATATATTATCTATGTAGAGGTAGAGAGTGAGTTAAATGTCAATGTGACTTGATATTTTTGAGGTGTTTTTGGTTCCATTTTGTTTTTGTTTTTTGAGCTACACTTTACTGATTCCATCAGAATCTGAACAGCAGGATGTTCTGAAAGATTTTGAATTGATTCTAATATGCAGCTGGAGAGACAATCACTACCATGTGTTTTTGTTCAGACTCTCCATGCAGAACTGAAGACCTGCAATTTGGCTGCACCTAACTTTCTTGCAAGACTCCTTAGGTTTGACCACTGGCATGTATGTTAAAGAATATAGCTAACCCTGAAGTTCTCTTACAAAAGCTATTCCTTTTTCTCTCTTCTCTTCCTTCTCTAGGTAATGGGATAATTTATAAACATTTTCTTTTTACAAAGAAAGTTAAATGTACTTTTTAATTTCAGAGTACATTTTGAAAACATCAGGAGACACATTTTTCAGGACTTTGTCAAAGGCTTGACAACAATTATTCTATATAGTCATCAGTTTTGTTTGCAGCGATTCACCACCCTGGGGTTTGCAAATATTGGCATTTTTCCCATGTGTGATAACTTCCAGGCAAATAGCTAACTGCATGATGAATTTGTAATGCTAAATGTTTTAAGAAGATAATTAAAAAGAAACCCCTTTTGCAGGTTTGCTATGATGAAATATTCCGGGTTTTGATACAATAAAAGTGGTGAGGTTAGATTTGGCTCAATCCCATGCTTCTGACTGCAAAATGTCTGCCAAGTCAAATTAGGCTATGAATTGAAAACGCATGTTGTGGGTATTTTTCATGGGCAAATGTTTCCCAATATTCTTACCATATTTCATATAGAAATAAGTGATTATCGAATGAACTATCTCAAATGTGAAATATATATATATAATTATTCTCAACATAAGAAATGTTTATTGACTGAGTAGTTTCAAGACATGCTATTATTGCTTTTCCACATGAAGATAATTTTCTGTTTCCCCCAATTAATCTCATGCCATGGTTTAAGACGATAATTATTTACTACTAAATAATTCCCAAAGGTAGTCAGGTTAGAAGTGGAAAACATTCCAATGTGCAAAAAAAAGAAAAGAGAAAGAAAACAACAACAATTTGACAATGGAAGCAAGAGTAAAGGTTTTGTTTGTTTTTGTTTTAAAATCAAACCTTGAAAACAACTTGCAGAGTTTTATGTCTTTCCTTGTCTCATGCATAATTTTTGTAACAGACGAATCATGGTGTTAGATACAAGACATTTTGTTCATATGATCTTTTAATTAGATGTTGTTTAGAAAATATTACATGAGTTGTGGGTGGTGAGATCCCCATGTCTGTTAACCAACAAAACACTCTAAGTTTGTTTAATCAACATAATCACCTATTATTAGCCAGTAATGATGATTTTGTTTTGATTTGCAACTGAAAAATAGTGCATTGAAGTATTATGATTGAGCTATTGAATTACTAATATAGGTGATTATTGTACGCTTTCAAATGATAGCTCATCAGTGTCTGTCTATAGGTCTGCTGTTAACAATTCTCTGTACTGCATCCTTATAAATAGTGGTTAGCTGGCCCATAAGAGGGGAGCACTGGAGAGCCTGGGAAATGGAATTCCCAGCAGTATAACCCTTGGTATCATCTTCGTTTTGGGCACTTCCATAGTTGTTAGAAAACCTCACGGGTTTTCCATGGGGAGCTTCAGGCCCATCTCTCCTCACTGGTCCAAGACTGAACACAACTGAAGCCTCATAGTTCTTCATTGCTTTCTAATTTCCAGCCCCAATGTCATGTCCTCTTGAAGTTTCCCAAAGATTCTTATTTTTAAAAAAGGATAGTGAGACTATGGGGAGAGGCTTTCAGCTTTTATTACTTAGGTCCTGTAGAAAAAACCAAGGTGCATATAAAGAGATGCTGGTCATTGGTCTTTGCTTTTTTTTTTTTTTTTGACAAGAGTCTCACTCTGTCACCCAGGCTGGAGTGCAGTGGCATGATCTCAGCTCACTGCAACGTTCACCTCCCGGGTTAAAGCGATTCTTCCACCTCAGCCTCCTGAGTAGCTGGGATTACAGGCATGCGCCACCATGCCCGACTACATTTTTTTTTTTTTTGTATTTTTAGTAGAGATGGGGTTTCACCATGTTGGCCAGGCTGGTCTCAAACTCCTGACCTCATGATCCACCTGCCTTGGCCTCCCAAAGTGCTGGATTATAGGCATGAGCCTCCATGCCTGACTGTTCATTGCTTTTTGCTTCAAGAATGGATGCATTCTAATTCAGGCATTGGAATGAGTGTGAAGGTCAAATTTAGGTGGCTCTGTATGGGGTAGATGTGTGTATTATGTAATGGAATTGGGATTGCTGTAGTGGGAACAGAGGGAGAGATCTAAGATTGGACAAAGGGAGCTCCTGTTTCTATTTCTATTTCGGGTTGAATAATTTAATTAAATACCTGAAAAATAGAGATCGTCTTTTTAACCATTTTTTCAGCACCTTCCCATTTTCAAAGGAGGCCGGATAGATGTGGGTGAAGGTTCTTAAGGTATCTAAAGCCTAATTTTATTACAAGAGGATGCAAGTTTATGCTCAGATTAGTTTTCCTGTCTAATAGGATGCATTCTTAGCATTGGTAATACTTACGACACCATTACAGGGAATTATTTTGGGGATTTTGGAAAATCTTGGTACAGGATGTTAATAATTATTTTGGTTCATTTGTGGCAATTTATTGGCTTCTACATACCTTTACAAAAAACCCAAAAAGAGCGCTCTCGAAACAAACAATAGTAGCTTCACAGAGCAGGACTGGTGGAGTGCAACACTAAGGGAGGTGGGCTTCCTATGCCCAGACTCTTTCCCAGCAAGCAGATCCTTGGACTCCAAAGTTTTTGTTCATTTACTCCCAACAGTAGAAATGTTTAAGGTATTCATTCTCAATTGGTTGGCATTTCTTACTTTACAAAGTATAGGTATGCATTAGTGTACTCACATATAATTTATACTGTAAAACCAACACAGAAGTAGAAAAAAAGATGAGGTTAAGAGATGAAATTATAATGTGGAAATATTATTTCATATATTTTTATTTACAAATGGTACATATTCCCTTTTGTTTTCATTAAAAATATATATTAGCATTGATATTGTCCAGGAGCGCTGACTTCCAATTGTCTTGCTGATTATGATGGCTCAATAATACAGTTTGAGATGATCTCGAGGTATAAGGTTCATGGCTAACAATCATTGATGCAAATTTCCATTTCAAATAATGCTCTTGATAACTTCAGATTCTGCAGGCAATTGCTCGGCCCATCTCATTACATGGGTGCTTTGTTAACCTCATACTATGGATCGTGAAAATCTGCTATTAGAATTAAATCCAAGAATCAACTGAGCTATTATCTTCCTCTCTTGGACTTGAAATATGGACAAATATTGTGATTCCATAGTTCTTTCCCAGGAAAATTGTAAGCTACATATTCATTTTGTGTGGGCAAGATCAGTTAAACCTAGATGAAATAATGCACAAATCTGCCTAACTATGCATATGTCACAGGACACTGAAAGTTGAGGGCTAAGTAAATTAAAAGCCCAGTCAAGGCTGCTCTGTGGTTCACAGACTACAAGTGTGCCCTTAGGATGCTTTGAATTTCAAGAAAATTATGCATCCTGACTGTCATAGTACCAAATGTGCAGTCAACGTCAAGCCAACTGTTACAAATCAGCATAGCATGTCTTAATCACTCCCTTAACTGTTTAGGTAGAGATAAATACGAGTGGAATTTCAAGAACTATCTTCTTACATCTAATCTGTTTTCTTATAAACCTCACTCTACATTGAAGACCATCAAATGAGACAACAATCACTAGAGTACAGCCAGGTTAGGACTGCCTATGGAATTACCTCCAGGGGGTGATAAAAACAACTCCTGAGCATTTTCCAGCTCACTTTGTGGATAAGTGAGGCCTGTATGAGGAGACACTTCTTTAAGAAGGGAAATATCTCTCAGTAGCATTTCCATTTCCTCGGAATATCCAAACTCCAGTATACAGAGCTGAGAATTATGTAGGGCAGTGTATCTGTTTGTTATGCAATTTTCCAGCCTTTTCTCCAAGGAAATAAGCATTTCAGAAATGTCAGATTCATGAACTAACAAATAAATAATGTTGAATGTCTCAATGATTTATAAGGAGATAAAATAATTTTTCCTGAAATCTTACATAATCCAGATGGGGTGTTCTGACCTTCAAGATAGCAGGCACCAGACCTGCCCTGAGGAATGGAACCAGGTTTGGTTCCTGCTGAGGTTGGTCCTGCTGTAACATTTAGCTGTCTCCTGGACGCTGCATGGCAGCAAAAACTAATGTCCTGTTCAGAAAGCTTTGGATCCTCACTCATCTTTTCCTCCTTTCCTTTTCTTTTCTTTTTTAAACTCTTCTATTCTGCACTATTATGGAGTGCCTGCTAAAGAGATAGATTTCTTAGTGACTGTTGCAGGGGACCTAAAATATAATTCAGAATGGGAGAGACCACCGGCCTTTCCTGCAGTTCTCACTTTGCCTCCTGATGGAATCAGGGCCACATGCATTAATCTATATTGAAGATGCTGATTCTCCCTGTGGCCCAGGAAAGCCAGAGGAGGAGGAAAGACAGAGAGCAAGAATTACGCCAATGTGAAGATGGTCATGCAGGAAGGTTTATGAAACGTGGTGAAAGAACAAGAGACACGCCACTGGAGAATATAATGAGAGCTTATTTTGAATGACAAGTATTTCTCTCTCCCTATTTTTTTTTAACTGTTCATGTAGTAACAGGTATATATGCATGGGCAGTCTCTAAAAACAACCACCACCAACAAAACAACTGTATTTGCTAGTGGACTGTTTTGAACAACATCAGATGGAAATGAAGAGGGCAAGAGGTTGGTCCTGGGAAAAAGTCACCTTTTCTCCATTAATGGCACATTTATTTAAGTGTTATCTGTATATTACAGCAAACTATTTTTTGCATTCATTGTTTAACACAACCAACAACAATAAACAATCTTAATTACCAGTTTGTTTGTTTTTTTAAATTATAAATGGGATTTATTGGTTCATGTAACTGAAAATTTCAGAGGCAAGGTATGATTTAAACATATATTGATAAAAATTCTGGTCATGTTTTTCTGCAATTTTCTATATCTTTCCTCTCTCCATGGACTTCATTCTTCATGATAGTATGGTGGTTGCAATAAACTGTTTGATTGAAAAAGTCAACATTTTTCATTTATCATTGTAAAATTAAAGACAGATTTATAACTTCTTTAGGCACGGTTGTTACTGGGAACAATTTTTATTCAGTAGAAATAAGTCTGTTTTTCCTTGAAAGTGCCTTATTCTTTAAACATGTTACTTTTTATTTTGGAAATAACCATAGAT
Source organism: Homo sapiens (assembly GCF_000001405.40). Lineage (NCBI taxonomy): Eukaryota > Metazoa > Chordata > Mammalia > Primates > Hominidae > Homo > Homo sapiens. Next base: position 13,932,411 of record NC_000024.10, read on the forward strand.
GTAGACAAGAGATATCCAACAAACACAGAGGTTGGAATTAAATGCAAAGTGAATTTGTAGCATGAAAAAGAAAACAAACAAAAAAAGGACTTTTCACCAGCTTTTGTGGAAGAAGGTCGCTGAACACTGGCTCTGTTCTCCTCCTGAAGTTTAGTGGAGTTTCTCACAACAGCATTACTGCCCGGGCCATTATGCAGAACCCACTTTCATCTCATCCCTCAATTCCTGGGAGCCTCTGCATTGGAACAACCCTTACGAAGCTTTGCAGCTAGCAGTATTAGCTTGCACTGTGACCACAGGGGAAGGTTAAACAATGCTCACCAGGATGGATGCCTGAAGGGTTATCATCTGAGATGGACTGGACATCCTGCCTTGCAAAAGGTTATCATCCGAGATGGATTGGATGTCCTGCCTTGGAAGACACTCAGCTTGTTTCAATGGCTCTACATCAAGCAATCTTTCTCAGTCCAACTGATCTTATTTAAGCTCCATCAAAAGGGCATTTGCAACACCAGATGATCAAGACAATGTTCAGGGGCTGTGTAGATGGAAGTCCCTTGAAGTTTGATGGCTTGCCTTTTCATGACTTTAACAAATTTCATCTCATCTTGAAATCATTGGCCAACCATAAATCACTGATTAACCAAGTAAATGAATGAAATAGAACTCATAAAATGCAAACTCTGCACATATTAGCAAAGTGAGAAGTCTTTCTTCAGGATCTTTTTAATCCTGATTTTGGCAGGCATAATTTTTAGGACAGATTTTTTTTTTTTTATTTTCAGAACATAAAACTTATTAACATATAAACTCGGAGGCAATACAGCTTTCTTTTTCTTTTCTTTTCTCTCTCTCTCTCTCTCTTTCTTTCTTTCTTCTTTCCTTCTTTCCTTTTCTTTCTTCTTCTTTCTTTCTTTTTTTATTTTTTGACAGGGTCTCGCTGTGTTGCCCAGATTGGAGTGAAGTGATATAATCATAGATCACTGCAGCCTCAAACTTCTAGGCTCAAGCAATCCTCCCACCTTAGCTTCCCAAGTAGCTAGGGCTACAGGTACATGCCACTGTGCTTGCCTAATTTTCGAATATTTTTGTAGAGACAGGAGTCTCACCATGCTGCCCAGGCTGGTCTTGACCCCTGGCCTCAAGTGATCCTCCTGCCTCAGCATCCCAAAGTAGTGGGATTAAACGAATGAGCCAGCATACCCGGCTACAATATAGTGTAAACCAAAAATAAAAATTTAAGCCCTCCAACCATCTGAAGGGACCCCAGTTCATGGCCCAGGAAATTCCAAAATTTACCTGGAAAACTAGTTCAGGCAATGATAAGAAGGGGGAGTTGGACATGCTTCATTATTCCCTCTTCCCTTCTACAATTCAGACACAGCTGACCTTAAGACTGATAGAACAGACTCTTTAAGTCTGTTGTGAAACATTTACAATCTATTCTCGCTGAAGCCTGCTACCTGGAGACTTCAACTTTATGATAAAACCTCAGTCTCCATAGCCCGTTACCTTAACCCAGACATTCCTTTCTATTGATTCCAGGTCTTTAGTTAATAACTCGTTCAACCAATTGCCAATCAGTACATTTTTGAATCTACCTATGCCCTGGAAGCCCCCCACCTTCTAGTTGTCTTGCCTTTCCAGACTGAGCCAAGGTACCAATATACATATAAGATGTATATATCTTATGTTATGTTATGTTATGATTAATGTCTTATGTCTCCCTAAAATGTGCAAGGCCAAGTTGTAGTCTTGTTGTACAAAACCAAGTTGATCACCTTGGGCACATGTTCTTAGGACCTCCTGAGGGCTGTGTCATGGGACATTGATCACTCATACTTGGCTCAGAATAAATCTCTTCAAATATTTTACAGGGTTTGACTTTTTTTTTCAACAATTGCTTTATGAAGTATCCTGATGTTGTTATAGCAAGTTGACATGAATACTAGAATTGCTAGATGTCAGCTGAAACTGGCTGGTATCAAGGAAGCATTCTCAGACTCTAAGAACATGTCTGTTATACAGATCTTGTGGTTTCCATTCAAACATGAAAAATTATTTAATCAAATGAAGATCTTTCAGTACATTTGCTGTGTGAAAAGTATAGATGCATTTTCTAAGCATGGTTATTTTCCCTTTTTTTAAGGAATCAAAGTATAACTATGATCCTTTGTGCAAATATATAGTTTATTTGAAATCACTGGAATTGTATTAAATTAATAGGTTGCACCACTCTTTTTCATTCCCCCAACAAGGAATATTTTATATTTCTTCATTCATTGAGGATGTGGCTTTGTCCTTCACTATAAGCACAAAGTTCCTGGAAATATATGTTTATACACACACACACACACACACACACACACACACACGACTGACTATGAAAAGAAAAAACATATATAGGTGTGTATGAAATCTATGTATATTAAAGTCTATTTTATTATTCTGTAGTTTTAGCTGCTATTATGAGTAAAAATATAATCTAATTTTAAAATTTATACTATTGGAATAAAATGCAAGACAATTTTGACATATACAGCTTATATCATTCATCTTACTACTCTGCCTGACTGATTCTTAAGTACCTTTAATTTTTTTTTCAATTTTCTAGATATTTAGTGTCAGCATCTGCAAACTAAACATTGTTGTAGCTTTAAAATATATGTTAATAATTTAACAATTGCTTTATCTTTCTGCCTTATCAAGAATCTTCAAAGCCATGTTAAGTAAGAGTGGTACTGGTGGTCATTCTCTATTTTTTCCCTTGATTTTTAAAGAAATATATAATTGCTTTTTTCTTTCCAGTGATATTTGCTGTTAAGTAATGGTCATGTTCTTCTAATCCTATCTTACCTAGAGATTTTTTAGGAATAGCCTCACATTTTTAGGCAATTTACCAAATGTCTTTCCACCATCACCTCCCATGAATATAAGCAGATGGTTTTCTCCTTTAATTTAATAAAATAAATGATCTTAAGCCATTCATTCATGCTTTCATCCTATATTAAAATTATTGGTCATTCTCTTGAATATAGTAGATTCTATCGAGTTGTAATTTAGAATGTTTGCATCTAACCATGCACAGTAAGCATATAGAATTATCCTACAATTTTTTTCACTATTTTCCACTCACCTTGGCAAGTTATAGCTTAAAAGTTACACTAACATCATGAAATCAGGCAATTTTCCAGCTTTTTCTTTAGCCTAGAAAAGTTTATGTTACATAGAAATGATTTGTTCTTTAAAGCTCAAATAGAACACAACTGTGAAACCATCTGGGTCTGATGTATATTATTTTTTACCTGGCATCTCTTTAATTACCTTTTCAACACTTTTCTTTATTTGTAGATTCAGTTTTCTGCCTCTTTGGGAAGCCAGTTTGAATATTTTTGCAAGAAACTAGACATTTACTTCAGAATTCTCATATTTATTGCTGTAGAAGTACATAGACTATGCCTTATTTCTTTTAATCTCTTAAATCTGTGATTTTATTGCCTTTTTATTCATAATCTCATTCATTTCTTTGTGCCATCTTATTTTTTCTTAATCTAATATGCTAGTACTTTTTCTGTTTTGTAGTTATTTTCAGAGAAATGATGTTTGGATATATTTCTGTTGGCTACTATTTATACTATTTTAGTAATTTCCATTTTTATCTTTATTCTCTTTTATTTTAGTATTTTAATTATTTTTTCTAGTTTCTTATATTGAATAATTATTTCACTTATGTTCAGTCTTTTTTCATTTTAATAATGAAAGCTTGTGAGTATAAACAGGTTTATCATAGATTTTGGCATACAGAATCAGCCCTTTACTTCCTAGATAACAGACATACCTGTTATGACGTTCCCTTTAATCTGAATATTGTTTAATACCATGTTTTTATTAAATTTACAAGTAGATCACTCAATTTACAAATGATTGGGGTTTGAGGTCATTTTGTGTTCTTGATACCAAGTTTTTGTTGTTTATGAAAATGTTTTGTAAAATCTGGACATTTTACTTTATAGGATTTTGTTTTGGTTAAGTCACAGCCAGCATGTGTATAAATATACACATACACACATGTATCCATAAATACAAATGCAGGTCAGGCACAGTGGCTCATGCCTGCAATCCTGGCACTTTGAGAGGCTGAGGTGGGAGGATCACTTGAGGTCAGGAGTTTGAGACCAGCCTGGCCAACATGGTGAAACCCCCACTCTACTAAAAAGATATATAAATTAGCTGGGCATGGTGGCATGCGCCTGTAGTCCCAGCTACTTGGGAGGTTGAGGCAGGAGAATTGCTTGAACCCGAGAGGTACAAGCAGCAGTCAATTGAGATCATGCCACTGCACTCCAGCCTGGGAAACAGAGCAAGACTCCATCTAAAAAATAAATAAATGCAAATGCATAGATAGAAATATAACTATAGACATAGATATAGATACAATTATAGTTGTAGAGGTAGATGATATAGATGTATAGATATCCTGCCCATATCTCCTTGATTTGTATAATTTTCATGGACACTGCTCTGGTCTTCCAGTCTTCCACCTCCCAGCACCTGTGTCTTCTTGCCCAAGGGCCTTTTCTGGCCACCCGGTTCAGCTCCGGCAAAACACAAAGCGTACAGGACATGCCGGGAGACACTGCCTCCTACACTGGCCTCCAGCAATGGCTGAAGGGTATTGGTGACCATCAGCTCCAACTCCCCTCTTGTTTTGGGCATGAGAATGCTGAGGTGTGTGCTCTGCTCTATGTCTCGGAGACACTCCTCAGAATGAAGCTACAACTGCCTGCAGCAGTCACTTGTATTATAGGACAGCACACCCTTTCCAAGCTCCTTCCTTTGTCTTCTCTTCTCCCTCTGATGTTTCCTATGCTCACATCCCCTCCTAAAAGTGATCACATTAAAATCTTGGTCTCAATATCTGCTCCTAAGAAACATAAACTAACTTTCTCTCTCCCTCTCTCATATTGAAAAACAAAACACAGTTTTCTCTCCAGCTATTCTAATGGCTAGAGGCAGGTAATTCTATTATATAATTTGGCCAGAATAGAAAAATCTGTACTGTTCTTGTAACAGTCTTTGGTGAGAATTGTGTACATTACAGAACTTGAAATCTGTATTGTGATTCAGGTTGCAACCCATTATCTTGAACAAAGTGACACGATATCCAGCTCGGCTTGCTGTGGGCAAAGAGGCTTTGCCGTACCTGTGAAGTATGCAGCTGCAAATGGCATTACTCAGCTCTTGTTTTTGTCCAATAATGTTTCTCAAGGCTATAGCTGACAGGTATTAGGGATCCTCACCTCCAAGTTGAGTCTTATTCAGACCCAGCTAGAGACTGATGTTAATTCAGGTCAGTATCTTCTTCAACAACAATAACAGAAATCCAACTTGGGACAATCTAAATCAGAACGTAAGACATTTCTATTTTGAGACAGAAAAAATAAGCTGAGAAGTTTGACCCACCTCATGATAGGTGGTATGACTTAGTCTGAATCTACACGTATTTTCGGATTTGAAAAAAATCCAACCAAAACAAAGCAAAGAAAGATACTATGTACTGCTGAATTAGTCTGTAGTAGTTTTAGACTGGATGCAGCTGAGGTTGGAAAGGCTAAGTGGTTCCTATCTCTGTAGCATTCAAGCCGATGGAAATTGGGGGATACCTGGAATGTAATCCTTTTTAAAGTTCATAAATAAGGGTTTAGGGCCCCTGCTGTAATATGCCAAGGCAGTTTAATGAAAGATGGGTAAATTATCCCTCTGCCTCCTCCACATGATCTACTTACACAGATACTAAGTCCTGTAATGCAAGAATTGCCATCAGAGATTAAATGCTTAGAAAGGAAATAGATATGAATTTAGATGAAACCCACATTATACTATCTGGTTTTTTCTCAAATGGTATTTAGAAGAATAACGAGAGCATTTCTATTTAAAATCACCAAAGCCTCTTTCCGGCTTATCTAGTCATCTGGTAGAGATGAGTTTTTTTCAGGAGTTCGTAATCAAGAATGATTTCAGAGGTTGAGTTCACTTGAGTTTCAAAGTGTGTACCAAGACAAATTAATTCAGTTAATTCTTTTGATTTAATAAAAAACTACTCAAAATAATTAATGTCACATTTTGGGATCATGTGGATATAATATTTAAATATTTAAAGTATTTTGCATTTTCAACTGAACACCTCTGTATTCAGTTCATGGTGTAGATAATCTGAAAGACAACCAATTATCTTGGTTTTAAATGCGGGGTAGTCATGATAATGCTACATTTTTTGTTACCAAAATGTTGGTGAAGAAACACACTGGGTACACGTATATGTAAGCAATTATAATTACTTATCTCTATAAAGTGGGATAACAATGTTTTGATTTTTGCCCAATGAAATTTACTTTAACTCAAGACTTTCTCTTTCTTTTTCTTTTCCTTTCTTTCTTTCTTCCTTCTCTTTTTCTTTCTTTCTTTTTCTTTCTCTCCGTCTTTCTCTTTCTTTTCTCTTTCTCTTTCTTTTCTTTTCTCTCTTTCTGCATTTTTTCCTATCCTTCCCTCTCCCCCTCACCCATCTTTCTTTCTTTCTTCCTTCCCTCCCTTCTTTCTTTCTTCCCTCCCTCCTTCCTTCCTTTCTTTCTTTCTTTCTTTCTTTCTTTCTTTCTTTCTTTCTTTTTCTTTTTCTTTCTTTCTCTCTCTCTTTCTTTCTCTTTCTTTCTCTTTCTTTCTTTCTTTCTTTCTTTCTTTCTTTCTTTCTTTCTTTCTTTCTTTCTTTCTTTCTTCTTTTCTTCATTTCTTCCTCTCCTCTCTTTCCTCTTTTCTCTGTCTTTCTTTCCTTTCTTTTTTCTTCCTTTCTTTCCTTCCCCCCTTTCTTCCTTTGTCCCTCCCCTCCCCAAATCTCCCCTCCCCACTCTCCCCTCCACTTCTTTCCTTTCCTTTTCTTTTTTTGTTATGCTCTTCATATACCTGGGGAGAATAAAACAATGAATAAACATATCCCAGAAGTTCTAGAGCAGGGGTGTCCAATCTTTTGGCTTCCCTGGGCCACATTAGAAGAAAAATAATTGTTTTGGGCCACACATAAAATATACAAATGCTAGCAATAGCATATGAGCTAAAAAAATAAAAATAAAAAGCAAAAAAAATCTGGTGATGATTTAAGAAAGTTTACAAATTCATGTTGGGCAGCATGGAAGGCTGTCCTGAGCTGCATGTGGGCAGTAGGTTGGACAAGCTTGCTCTAGAGGCTTATGGAGAACAGAGCTCAGTCATCATTATGGGAAGATTGAATCACTGTTCTCAATTCTTCCAGCCTTCCTGCTCCAAGAATGATGCACCCATGCAGGATAGTGGCTCTGCAATGCTGTCCCCTGCAGCAGGGAGCCGCCTTTGCTTCCTGCCATGGTGGTACTGGGCTTGGTGAGAGGATTTGGATTGGCCAGTGGGAATTGAGTGATGGCATAAGGATCTGGCCTGGGGCCAAAGTCTCAGGGAGCCTCATGTTTCCCCTCCCACTCTGGTATTCCTGTGATCTGCTGTCAGGACAGCATGTCCACAGAGCCATCAATTAAAAAAAAAAGAATGGAATGGCATGTGAACCTTAGGTGAATACCAACTGCTGCTTGAAGGAGAGTGGCCCCAGCTCCCCTGCAGAGCCATGAATATTCAAGTGTTTTATGTTATGAATAGCTGGGTTTTGGGATGATCCCTTTTGCTCAGCATTATTGCAGCAATTGCGGCACAGTAGATGACCTAACTGTGGTCTGTCCATATAATGAAAACTGGCCTGAAGTTCATTTGACTAAAAGCAAAACAGTTCAAACAAAATAAGGATTTTGCAAAATTCCAGGAGTCTGCACACCACCACATCTCATTTTGGGGAAAGCTCCATCACCCACAGTTCCCCACTGACAGAAAAGATATAGGTGGCTTCTTACACATAAATTTCTTATCAATATTTTGAAAAACTTCAACAAAAGGAGAGACACAGCTGGGCGAGGTGGCTCACGCCTGTAATCTCAGCACTTTGGGAGGCCGAGGTGGGCAGATCACCTGAGGTTGGGAGTTCGAGACCAGCCTGACCAACATGGAGAAACCCTGTCTCTACTAAAAACACAAAATTAGCCGGGCATGGTGGTGCACACCTGTAATCCCAGCTACTCAGAAGGCTGAGGCAGAATTTCTTGAACCTGGGAGGCAGAGGTTGTGGTGAGCTGAGATTGTACCATTGCACTCCAGCCTGGGCAACAAGAGCAAAACTCCTTCAAAAATAAATAAATAAATAAATAGATAAATAGATAGATAAATAAATAAATAAATAAATAAATAAATAAATTAAAAAAAGAGAAAGACACTTCCCTGGTGGTAGAAACAGAAGAGAAAATGTAACAGAGAGGAGGAAGTAGTAGTGAAAAATACTAAAGTTCTGAGAATAGGAGAGCAACAAAGTGATGATAGGTGATCAAAGTTGTCATTCAAGCTTTCTTCTCTCCATTATTCTGCCTATACTTGGGTTCGTGTTCTTGCAGGGAGGGCGTCTTAGTGATTCCAGCTGCCTATCTCTTCCGCAAGGTGGCATCTTGATGGTAATTCCCCCGGTTTCTTATTTTCACATGTATCTTCATTGTTTGAGGTAAATGGAATGACTTTCTGGCTTTGAAACTGGGAAAATCCAATACACATGTTTGTCAAGAGGAGGCTGAATTATTTCCTTTGGTAAGGTGCTGCTGGTTTTCCCTGTATTAATGCTTATATTAGAAAATATCTACACTGCAAGTCCAAAACACCACTCCAAATGCTTTAGAGATCTGGGCGTCGTGTGTGCTCTTATTTTTATGGTTGGTGATGGTTTTATGGTGTTTGAACAGCTGGTTGATGCCACTCATTATATTATGTACTAGGGAAGAAAAATGCTGTATCTCTTCCCCTAGGAATCCACTTGGGCATGTAGATATATACAAAGATAGTTTCAATGCAATCTATTAGATGTTTATACTGGGTGCTATGGAACCACAGAGGATAGGCACAGAAACTGATTCCTGAAATTCACATGAGCTTTAAATAACCGGCTTGAAATGCCTGTTTATGAACGAAAGGAAAAAAGAAGAGTGCCCAGGTTTCCTCATTTACTCACTTGTTTACTCTAGTGCATTTATGTGTGCATTCTTAGAGTGAGTGTCCACAAGTTCAAAATCCCTAAAAGGAGCTCAAAGCAACTCTTCCTATGAAACACCCTTCTGTCCATTTCAGAGATGAGGATATCTTGATAAGAAAGAAAGAAATAGGAAGAGCATTGCAGAAAGGGATAGACCAGTAGGATGGAAAATGTCTGCTTGTCTTGAGTCCAGTCTTTACAGCTCCATTTCAGAACTATTTCAATTGTTGTGAAGTTCTCCCATGTTAGGGATGCATACTCAAATCCCCAAACACATTCGGGTTAGATATAAATTCATTTTCATTATCTTGCTTTCAGGATAATCCATGCCACTAGAGTATGCTTTCCGAACAGTGAAAACATAAAAGTTAAGAGGATTCAAATTGAAGTTGGAAAGTTTTCCCTCTAGAAATTAGAAAGACAACATTAGTATTAATAGTGTTTAAACTATTGAGTTAAATATTAACATTTTCCATTTAAAATGAAATTTAATAATGTATAGAAGAGCAACACATACATTAGTATATCAGAAGTACAAATGATGAAAGATAATGAGGCTCTTGTCTTCGTAATGAGACTAAAAATCAGAATATTCTAAAGTTTTATAAGCCTTGATCCTGTCATCATTAGTGTATAGTGTCTAGGCTGATCTTACAGAAAACCTCAAGAGAATGTATTTTAAAACTTTCCAGTCTAACAGTGTCATTCAAAAAAAAGGATGTCTTTATGTGGTTGAAAACAAGGTTTAAATTGTGTAATCCTATTAAGAAAGAAAACTAGGCTCTTTTTCATATTCTATTCTGTGTAAACACATGCACACTTTTCCCCCTTACTTAACGTTTAGAGCTTTCAGAGCTGAAGGCCAAGATTTAGTGCCAGCTCTTTCACACTTTTGATATCTCAAGAGTGCCAGCCAAGAAAACATACACAATGCTCACTTAATTTGCATAATATCCAGGGCTCTAAAGAGGTTATAATAAATGCTACAAAAAAAATCTTGTAAGGAATATGCTTGCCTGATATTTAAAGCATTGATATGATTCTGCTCAGAAAGTGACATTTGATGTTCCCAATTTGGCTGTCAGCTGGAGTTACTATGCCTGAAAAAAATTCACTTAACTCTTTCATATATGGTGAACTGTGATTGTCCTGTTGCAGAAAAACACTTCCAAGGCCTCGCTTCTGTTATTTGTTGCTGTCAGCAGCCTTCTGAGATGGGTACACCGTGATACCTGCTCCCTCATCTTCATGCCTTGCTTAATCGCATCCTGTTGAGAGTGGGCTGGAAAGAGCAAGTGGCTTCTGAGGAATGGAGCACTGCCAAGTGTTGGGATGATGTTACTGAGACTAAGCCACAAAGACTCTAACTTTGTGGTCTTCTTTCACTTTCTGGGCCTTCTCACCTGTTTTCATGAAGGAAGTTGTGAGCTGCCCCATGGAGAGGCCTATATGACAGGGAACTGGTCAACAGCCAACAAAGAATGGAGGGCCTCCGTGCCTCAGCCCATGAGGATCTGAATCCCACCAATCACCTTGCAAGGGAGCTTGGAAAGGGATCCATCTAGGCTTGACACGACTGATGTCCCAGCTGACTGCAGGCTCATAAGAGGGCTCAGCTAAGCAATGCCAAAATTCCTCACCCACAGAAACTGTGAGGTAATACACATAATGTTTCTCACCATTATATTTTGAGATGTTTTGTTACGTGGCAACAGGCACCTACAGTAGTCCCCCTCTTTTCCATGAGAGAGATGTTCCGAGATCCAGAGTGGATGCCTGAAACCGAGTGTAGTACTGAACCCTATATACACTGCTTTTTCTTATACCTACATACATTACATACATATGATAAAGTTTAATTTATAAATAAGGCACAGTAAAAGATGAATGACAATAACTGATAATAAAATTAAACAAGTATAATAGTATCTTGTGAAGTTAAGTGATATCTCCTTCTTTCTATTAAAATATCTTATTGTACTGCACTCACCTGACATGGTTAGGCTTTGTGTCCCCACCCAAATCTCATCTTGAATTGTAATTCCCATAATCCCCACGTGTCAAGGGAGAGACGAGGTGGAGGTAATTGAATCATGGGGGTGGTTTCCCTCATGCTGTTCTCCTGATAGTGAGTTCCCACGAGATCAGATGGTTTTATAAGGGACTATTCCCACTTCACTCAGCACTTCTCCTTCCTGCAGCCTTGTGAAGAAGGTGCCTTGCTTCCCTTTCACCTTCCACCACGATTGTAAGTTTCCTGAGGCCTCCCCAGCCATGTGAAACTGTGAGTCAATTAAACCTCTTTCCTTTATAAATTACCCAGTCTTGGCAGTTCTTTATAGCAGTATGAAAATGGACTAATGCATCACCCTTCTTCTTGTGATGGTATGAGATGATAATATGCCTGCCTCATGAGATGAAACCAGGTGAATGACATAGGCATTGTGGCACAGGCATTGTGATGTAGTAGTGTTAGTCTACTATTGACCTTCTGACAAAGCATCAGAAGGAAGGTCATCTGCTTTGGGTGATCCCAGATCTTTGAGCTATGATGATGTCTTTGGGTGAATGTCAGGAGCAGATGCTGCCTATGAATCTTGGGTGGGTAGCAAGTTATGTGCCCAGCTTTGGTGGGTAGCAAGTTATGTGTCCAGTGTGGAGATGCTGAACAAAGGGATAATTTACATCCCAGGCAGGATGGAGCAGGACAGTGTGAGATTTCATCATGTTATGAAGAATGGCACACAATTGAAAACTTACGAATTGTTTATTTTTGGAAGTTTCCATGCAATATTTTCCAGCTGCAGTTGTCTGCAGGTAACTGAAACTGCAGACAGAGAAACTGTGGATAAGGGGACTGCTGTAATGCATTCACTATACTTCATCTCTAAATGTGAGCAACTCCAGAAAACTACTTGGCCAGGTAATGTCTCAGTAAATAGAAAGCACTGTGTTCTACCTTTTTGGTACCTGGAAATAGCTAACTAGGTATTTACTAAATATTGGCTGAAATTACCTTAATTATAGATTAAGCACAATCAGTTCCTGAGAATACTAAGATTAATACACATGATCTATGGTGATGGTTGAAATGTCTCCAATAGTAATTTTTGGCAGAGTTGGTTTAAAGCCCAAAATTGACCACTTGATCAATTTGACCAACAAATTGATTTGTTATGTGATCTTGAGGGGGTTAATTGGCCTCTTTGAGCCTGTTGTCTGATTAACTAAATTGGGAAATAATAAAACCTATCTTGACCGGGCGCGGTGGCTCACGCCTGTAATCCCAGCACTTTGGGAGGCCGAGGCAGGCAGATCACGAGGTCAGGAGATCGAGACCATCCTGGCTGACACGGTGAAACCCCGTCTCTACTAAAAATACGAAAAAATTAGCCAGGCCTGGTGGTGGGCGCCTGTAGTCCCAGCTACTCGGAAGGCTGAGGCAGGAGAATGGCGTGAACCCGGGAGGCGGAGCTTGCAGTGAGCCGAGATCGCGCCACTGCACTTTAGCCTGGGCAACAGATCAAGAGTCCGTCTCAAAAACAAACAAACAAACAAACAAACAAACACCTATCTTGCAGCACTTTTGTGAGGATAAAATAATGTCTGTGGAAGAGCTGACATTTAGAGGGATCTTAATCCAACACAATATTATTTTTGTGTCACCAGTCACCAAGGTGCTCCTAATTTAAGAAGGAAGACAGAAATGATTGTGGCAAATATGGCAGATGTGGAAACAGAGGTGAATTCAGTGTGCAGCAGGGAGACACACTAAAGAGCATCACTTATTTCTCTAAATAACACTTTCAGTTAGTTGCCTCTTAATAGAGGAAAATAAAAATGAACAGGACGATAGTGATTTTTCCCCCTAGCAAGTCTTCACTAGCTAGTTTTGAAAGCATGGCCAGCCTTATCAACTACTTAGGGGTCTTCTTAAGTCATGTTGGAAGGAAGAGAACATGCAGACTTGATCTTTAATTCAACTACATGCAATGCAAAGAGTTTATTTAAAAAAACATATGTGTATATACATACACCTTACCTAATGAATGGCTGGCTCTACTTCATTGTACAGTGCACAGTCCCTGATAATAAATGCCAGGCCTGCATAATACAGAAAGGCTCATTAAACATTTCTTTGGTCTTACTTTCAAGAAATGAGAATTTATATAAGGCATAAATAGCTCATGAAAATGTCTTATTGCAAACAGCTTTGCTTTAATGTTCAATTACCTTTTTTTTTTTTTTTGAGCTGCATTTCTACAACCACACTAAGCAGTTTGTTTCTCATCTTTTGGTGTTTTCTCTTTCTCTTTCTCTCTCTCTGTCTCCACACACACACACATATTTGCACATGTATATTCCAGCAAAATCCCTTGCATATATACAGTGGAAACATTTACCTTTGTGTTTTTTGTTTTCTTGTCTACTGCTGTACCGCAATCTTAAATAAATGCTAAGCTACTTCAGTGCATGGAGTAGAATCAAATGTAGCTTTTAAACCACTCCTTTACAGCCAGTAGCTTTTTGCAAGACAATAACTGGGCCTCACACTCTGAGTTTTCCAAAAGAAGGGCTGTAGCAACCACCTCCTTGGTGTAAAGCAGCATTATAAGGCCTTCTGGATACTTAGTAAGGCACGTTTTGTCATGCCTTTGACCTGATGTGTTGAAAAAAAGTGTTTTGATATGTGGAAACGGAAGCAATTTTTTTCCCTTTGGCAATGTCTACTGCTATTTTACAGTTTGCCAAAACTTTTCTCTTTTCAAAAGTTATCATTTTAGACTGCAGAACTGCTATGGATATCACTTATTGTACTTTCTGAATAATTTTAAAAGACTTCATAACATCTGTCACACCTGTCTTTAATCAAAATAAACCCCTGAAAGATCTTTTCCATTAGGTTTTACATAGCCTTACGGTTTACTATTTCCTCCCTAAAAATAACTTTTATTCACACAATAAGATGGACAAGCATATAGTAAATGAAAAGTAAATATAAATATAGTTTAGGATAGCAAAACATTGTGAAAAACTGTTAGTGCAGTATAACTGCTTCATGTTTTTAGTTAGGTGAACACAGGTGAAGAATAAATATGGATATACAACTTTTCCTTTGAAAACTTTGATGTAACTCTTTCATGTTTTGAAACATTAAAAATAATTTTTATATGACAAAAGTGAAGTAAGTTCTCACACATTCTGCAGTTCTGTATGAAAATTTTGCTAAAGGTAAATGGCAAGATGACATTTATTTATTTAGTGTCATCTCATTATATATTTTTTTCTTAATTTGTCCAACCAAGAGACTTTCCAAGCCTTCTAGCAATAATAAGATTATACAATAAACCATGATCCCAAAAGCATGTTACAGGAAAAACAAAAATCTTGACATTTTAGTTGACTACAAATTTGTTCTGAGCTAATAATATGATAAATTCTAACTGATTTTAGAAATCAGCATATTAGAATAATTTCTTACAAAATGTCACATGTGTGCTACCCAGGCTAGACCACATCTAACTACTATATCCAAGCCATTGTCTTAATTTACAATATAGGATATCAAATAAACACCACTGTCTACTACAATATCTTTTTTTTTTTTTTTTTTTGAGATAGGGTCTTGCTCTGTCATCTAGGCTGTAATGCAGGGACATAATCATTTCTCACTTCAGCCTCCACTTCATGGATGCAAGAGATCCTCCTGCCTTAGCCTCCTGAGTATCTGGGACTCCAGGCATGCATCACCATCTCTGGATAATTTTTGTAATTTTTTTTTCTTGTAGAAATGGGGTCCCACTATATTGCCCAGGCTTTGAACTCCTGGACTGAAGAGATACTCCTACCTTCACCTCCCAAAATGCTGGGATTAAGGGCACAAGCCACTGTACCCCACTTCCTACAATATTTTGACAGACATCAAATAGCTGCACTCTTTCTGAACAAGGCTGAATATAACCTCTTATTTTCTTCTCAATATGGTAGTTCAAGTCACTATACTAATTAATCAGCATTGTTACCATTTGTGACAGACTCAACAGTATCCAGAGTAGAGCAAATCATCATTGAAAGCACTTTTGAAAAATGGAATTGGGAACTGGTAACATTTAGCAAAGAATGACAGTATCCAACAGAACATGGGAGCTCTCTTCAAATATTTAAAGGAGTGGTGTATGGAAAAGGAAGTAGATTCACTATTTGTTACAGCTCTTGAAGTCGAAACAAAGAACAAGGCAGAGAATTGCAGGATCTCTGCTTATAATAGAAAATGTCAATTAGTGAAATAAGTGCTTTTAAAATGCTATAGTTACTCTCAACCCCTAGAACTATTCAGAAGTGGCTGAGGAATTAATCATTGAGAAGACTTTGGTAACAGCGAAATAGGTGACCTATAAATTAGTACCCAGAGGCTAAATTATGACATTAAAACACCCTCAAATTTTCATAAAAATAATTATTTTGCCACTATTGATACCGACTATGTCTGATTATATTCAAATATTTCAGCACAGCATAATTACTGAGTTTGATTTGCAGACATGATTTATATATTCAAAGAAGACTGTGGACATCTCTCTTGCTGAAAGCTCTTTGGGCAAAAACTAAAGTGGCCTTAGACTCAACATGCTCTGCAATATTATCTGCATTAATTTTGAATGTCACAAACAATTAGAAGCATTATTAGTGATAAAAGTATTTATCATCGTATGTCAATATATTCTCTTAATAAGTTAATATATGGAGATCATCATTCTAGATTTACTTTTATCTTCATTTTGACATCTAAGGAATTATGGTAATGTTATGTCAGAAAGTGCTGAAAAATGCTTCAAAAGTGTCAAAATTACACAGGTGCCATCTTGAAAGTGGTAACTTCAGAAAAGTGCCCTTGTAATATCCAGGAATTCATAGTGATAGTGAATAGAATGATAGAAGACAATGCAAAGCACTTCCTCACAGATAGCCAAGTGAGAAACACAGAAAAAATGATGGAGTTGGGAAATCTCTGTATTGTAACCACCATATTGGCATCAATGCCAACTAGATGACAAAACTAGTTTGATGAACAAGAAATGATACATACATAGTCTGAAATAGCCCATTGATTTCTTACCAATACCACATGTCTTATAAATTGCAGAGGTAAAATTAATGACTCTGTATGGGGATATCCAAGAGACACCATTTTAACCAAGTGATGAAGTTTATCATCACCAACAATGAGACAGAGGCATTATATGCATCTAGACATAAGGTACTAGAGAAAACACACCTTGTGTTGATGGTATTCCTGCCAAAAATAAATAAATTGAATCCAGTTATCAGGAATCGTTAAAAAAGCTCATATCGAAGGATGTTCAACAAAATAACTGGCCTGTGTCCAGATATATCAGCTTCATGAACAAACAAGAAACTGACAGAATGTTCCAGACTGAAGGAAAGTAAAGTTACGAGACAATGTGATGTCATTCATGATTGTGAATTTGATACTGGACCAGAAAGAATATAACTAAAAGAGACAGTATAGCAATAATTAAGAAATTTTCAATATCACTGTGAATCAGATAGTACTGTGCCAATGTTATCAATGATACCAATACTATCAATGAATTAGATAGTATTGTACCAATGTTAAATTTCTTGATTTTGTTAATTGTATCAGGTTCATGCAGTTTTTATCCTTGGGAAATTCATATCAAAATATTTGGTGTTAGGTGAATATGATATCTACAACTTAATTTCAAGTAGTTCAGAAAAGCATATGCATATATAGATATACGTGTATAGATATATAGAAGTGTGTGTGTTATGTGTGTATTTGTGTGCATGAAAACACTTAGAGGAGAGAAGACAGATAGATGATAGGTAGATAGGTAGCTAGAGAGAGAGAGACAGACAGATAGACAGAAAGACAGACAGGTCCCTTAGACAGATTGAGGGACAGACAGACAGATAGACGGACAGAAAGATAGATGGACAGAAAGACAGATAGACAGATGAACGGATGGACAAAAAGACATACAGACAGACGGATGGACAGACAGAAAAACAGAAAGACAGACTGAAAGGTAGACAGACAGGTAGACAAAGAAAGACAGGCAGATAGGTAGATAGGTAGGTAGGTAGGTAGATAGATAGATAGCCAGACAGACAGACAGTCAGAAAAACAGACAGACAGACAGATAGACAGATAGATAAACAGACAGATAGAAAGATAGACAGACAGACAGATCCACAGATAGACAGACAAACAATAGCCAGCCAGCAAGCCAGCCAGCCAAATAGACAAAGAGACAGACACATAGGTAGACAGACAGACAGAGAGACAGATAGACAGATAGATATAGATAGATAGATACGAATAGATGGATAGATAGATAGTCAGATAGAGCAAAGCAGTCGGGTGCGATGGATCATGCCTATAATCCCAGCACTTTGGGAGGCTGAGACGGGTGGACCTGAGGTCAGGAGTTCAAGAGCAGTCTGGCCAACATGGCAAAATCCCGTCTCTAGTAGAAATGTAAAAATTAGCCAGGTATGGTGGTGGGTGCCTGTAATCCCAGCTACTTGGGAGGCTGAGGCAGGGAGAACTGCTTGAACCTGGGAGGCAGAGGTTGCAGTGAGCCAAGATTGTGCCACTGCACTCCAGCCTGAGTAAGACTCTGTCAAAAAGCAAAATATAACAAAACAAAACAAAAAACCACAGTAACATAGATAGAGCAAAGCCACTGTGGCAAATTTTTAACATATCCTAAATCTGGTTGAATGTTTACAGCAAATTTTATACAGTACTTTGATATTTTCTGTGGGCTTGAAAATATATAAAATAAAAATTTATAAAAATAAAAAGAGAACCAGAGATGAAAGTTGGAATAATCAAAAATAAATCTAAACAATGATGCATCTCTGGGTAATCAGTTGTTTTTTAGCTCATTCGGATGAAATTTTTGGCTGAATTGACTTCAGCAGTGGATCTCACTTTCTGAAAGATTTGTGCTGTCCTGTTAGGCTATCTGATACACAGGACTCAGGTTGTGGGAAAGAGAAATGAAATACTGTAACTTATGGTAAATATTTAACAAGAATACAGCCCAGTACACTGCAGCATGAACTGCAGGGAAACTTACCTTAAGTAGAACCATACGTAACAATATTTAGGTTTCTTAAGCTGTTTGCGCTTACACCACTTGTGCCTGCATAATATCTAGGATGCCTTCTTAACAGCAATTGTAAATTTTTTTGCAAAGCCCAATACCAAAATGTAAAAGCTGGAAACTATTATGCTTTTCTCAATTCAAACTTTAATAATATACATTTGACAATGAGCTTATTTATATATGGTGAACTGTAATATAATGTGATGCAAATGTCATTCTGTGGTTATTCCCAATTTTCCATAAAATGTTCACAGAAGTAGCATTATCAAATAAATGAAATGTGATAAAAATAATACATTCAATCTTGGCTTTCAGTAGCAGAATTAAAGTTTAATTGCATGGACATGAGTTGCTCATGTTATTCATCAAGTTCAATGTCATTATTGATTTTTCAGGAATAGTATTGGCATGGCTTACATTTTGAGGAATTTAGGCCAGAAATCCTAGATGCCAATAATCTTTCTCTATATGGGAAAAATGCATCCTTTAGTCCCCCTGTCTGAAGGAAAACCACAGAGGCAGTGGAACTGTTAGAAGCAGGAAATAGGTTTGAATAATATAAATGGCCAATGAGTGAGTTTCTTTCTTTCTTTCTTTCTTTCTTTCTTTCTTTCTTTCTTTCTTTCTTTCTTTCTTTTCTTTCTTTCTTTTTTCTTTCTTTCTTTCTTTTTCTTTCTTTTCTCTCTCTCTTTGTTTGTTTGTTTGTTTCTTCTTTTTTCTTTCTTCCTTTTTATTTATTTATTTTTTTTGAGATGGAGTCTTTCTTTGTCGCCCAGGCTGGAGTGCAATGGCGTGATTTTGGCTCACTGTAACCTCCATCTACCCAGTTTAAGCCATTCTCCTGCCTCAGCCTCCCGAGTAGCTGGGACTACAGGAACCCACCACCATGCCCCGCTAATTTTTTTTTGTATTTTTAGTAGAGATGGGGTTTCACCATCTTACCCAGGCTGGTCTTGAACTCCTGACCTTGTGATATGCCTACCTTGGCCTCCCAAAGTGTTGTGACTACAGGCGTGAGCGATGGCGCCCAGCCAATTTTCTTATTTGTATTTTCAGATGAGGTTTGAGAACATTATGTGCAGTTTCATCTACTCAACAAAAAGATGTCGGTCACGCCAAGATGGCCGAACAGGAACAGATCCGTTCTACAGCTCCCAGTGTCAGTGATGCAGAATATGGGTGATTTCTGCATTTCCATCTGAGGTACCAGGTTCATCTCACTAGGGAGTGCCAGACAGTGGGCGCAGGAGAGTGGGTGCAGCGCACCGTGTGTGAGCCAAAGCACGGCAAGGCATTACCTCACTCGGGAAGCACAAGGGGTGAGGGAGTTCCCTTTCCTAGTCAAAGAAAGGGGTGACCGATGGCACCTGGAAAATCAGGTCACTCCCACCTGAATACTGCACTTTTCCAATGGGCTTAAAAAAACGGCACACCAGCAGATCATATCCTGCACCTGGCTCAGAGGGTCCTATGCCCATGGAGTCTCGCTGATAGCTAGCACAGCACTCTGATATCAAACTGCAAGGTGGCAGCGAGGCTGGGGGAGGGGCACCCGCCATTGCCAGGGCTTGCTTAGGTGAGCAAAGTAGCCAGGAAGCTCAAACTGGGTGGAGCCCACCACAGCTCAAGGAGACCTGCCTGCCTCTGTAGGCTCCACCTCTGGGGGCAGGGCACAGACAAACAAAAAGACAGCAGTAACCTCTGCAGACTTAAATGTCCCTGTCTGACAGCTTTGAAGAGAGCAGTGGTTCTCCCAGCATGCAGCTGGAGATCTGAGAATGGGCAGAGTGCCTCCTCAAGTGGGTCCCTGACCCCTGACCCCTGAGCAGCCTAACTGGAAGGCACCCCCCAGTAGAGGAGACTGACACCTCACATGGCCGGGTGCTCCTCAGAGACAAAACTTGCAGAGGAACAATCAGACAGCAGCATCCGCGGTTCACGAAAATCCGCTGATCTGCAGCCACTGCTGCTGTTACCCAGGCAAACAGGGTCTGAAGAGGATCTCTACTAAACTCCAACAGACCTGCAGCTGAGGGTCCTGTCTGTTAGAAGGAAAATTAGCAAACAGAAAGGACATCCACACCAAAAACCCATCTGTACATTGCCATCATCAAAGAACAAAAGTAGGTAAACCACAAAGATGGGGAAAAAACCGAGCAGAAAAACTGGAAACTCTAGAAAGCAGAGCACACTTCCTCCTCCAAAGGAACACAGTTCCTCACCAGCAACGGAACAAAGCTTGATGGAGAATGACATTGAGGAATTGAGAGAAGAAGACTTCAGATGAGCAAACTACCCTGAGCTACCGGAGGAAATTCAAACCAAAGGCAAAGAAGTTAAAAACCTTGAAAAAAATTTAGACAAATGTATAACTGGAATAACCAATACACAGAAGTGCTTAAAGGAGCTGATGGACCTGAAAGCCAAGGTTTGAGAACTACGTGAAGAATGCAGAAGCCTCAGGAGCCAATTTGATCAACTAGAAGAAAGGGTATCAGTGATGGAAGATGAAATGAATGAAATGAAGTGAGAAGGGAAGTTTGGAGAAAAAAGAGTAAAAAGAAATGAACAAAACCTACAAGAAATATGGGACTATATGAAAAGACCAAATCTATGTCTGATTGATGTACCTGAAAGTGACGGGGAGAATGAAACCAAGTTGGAAAACACTCTGCAGGACATTATCCAGGAGAACTGCCCCAACATAGCAATGCAGGCCAACATTCTCAATCAGGAAATACAGAGAATGCCACAAAGATATACCTCAAGAAGAGCAACTCTAAGACACATAATTGTCAGGTTTAGCAAAATTGAAATGAAGAAAAAAATGTTAAGGGCAGCCAGAGAGAAAGGTCGGGTTTCCCTCAAAGGGAAGCCCATCAGACTAACAGCGGATCTCTCAGCAGAAACTCTACAAGCCAGAAGAGAGTGGGGGCCAATATACAACATTCTTAAACATAAGAATTTTCAACCCAGAATTTCATATCCAGCCAAACCAAGCTTCATAAGTGAAGGAGAAATAAAATACTTTACAAACAAGCAAATGCTGAGAGATTTTGTCACCACCAGGCCTGCCCTAAAAGAGCTCCTGAAAGAAGTACTAAACCTGGAAAGGAACAACCGGTACCAGCCACTGCAAAATCATGCCAAATTGTAAAGACCATCAAGGCTAGGAAGAAACTACATCAACTAATGAGTAAAATCATCAGCTAACATCATAATGACAGGATCAAATTCACACATAACAATATTAACTTTAAATGTAAATGGACTAAATTCTCCAATTAAAAGACACAGACTGGCAAATTGGATAAAGAGTCAACACCCATCAGTGTGCTGTATTCAGGAAACTCATCTCACATGCAGAGACACACATAGGCTCAAAATAAAAGGATGGAAGAAGATCTACCAAGCAAATGGAAAAGAAAAAAAGGCAGGGGTTGCAATCCTAGTCTCTGATAAAACAGACTTTAAACCAACAAAGAACAAAAGAGACAAAGAAGGCCATTACATAATCGTAAAGGGATCAATTCAACAAGAAGAGCTAACTATCCTAAATGTATATGCACCCAATACAGGAGCACCCAAATTCATAAAGCAAGTCCTGAGTGACCTACAAAGAGACTTAGACTCCCACACAATAATAATGGGAGACTTTAACACTCCACTGTCAACATTAGACAGATCAACGAGACAGAAAGTCAACAAAGACACCCAGGAATTGAACTCAGCTCTGCAACAAGCGGACCTAATAGACATCTACAGAACTCTCCACCCCAAATCAACAGAATATATATTTTTTTCAGCACCACACCACACTTATTCCAAAATTGACCACATAGTTGGAAATAAAGCTCTCCTCAGCAAATGTAAAAGAAAAGAAATTATAACAAACTGTCTCTCAGACCACAGTGCAATCAAACTAGAGCTCAGGATTAAGAAACTCACTCAAAATGGCTCAACTACATGGAAACTGAACAACCTGCTCCTGAATGACTACTGAGTACATAACGAAATGAAGACAGAAATAAAGATGTTCTTTGAAACAAATGACAACAAAGACAAAACATACCAGAATCTCTGGGACACATTCAAAGCAGTGTGCAGAGGGAAATTTATAGCACTAAATGCCCACAAGAGAAAGCAGGAAAGATCCAAAATTGACACCCTAACATCACAATTAAAAGAATCAGAAAAGCAAGAGAAAACACATTCAAAAGCTAGCAGAACACAAGAAATAACTAAAATCAGAGCAGAACTGAAGGAAATAGAGACACAAAGAACCCTCCAAAAAATTAATGAATCCAGGAGCTGGTTTTTTGAAAGGAGCAAGAAAATTGAAAGATCGTTAGCAAGACTAATAAAGAAAAAAAGAGAAGAATCAAATAGATGCAATAAAAAATGATAAAGGGGATCTCATCACTGATCCCACAGAAATACAAACCACCATCAGAGAATACTATAAATACCTCTACGCAAATACACTAGAAAATCTAGAAGAAATGTATAAATTCCTTGACACATACACCCACCCAAGACTAAACCAGGAAGAAGTTGAATCTCTGAATAGACCAATAACAGGCTCTGAAATTGTGACAATAATGAATAACTTACCAACTAAAAAGAGTCCAGGACCAGATGGATTAACAGCCGAAGTCTACCAGAGGTAGAAGGAAGAATGGGTACCATTCTTTCTGAAACTATTCCAATCAATAGAAAAAGAGGGAATCCTCCCTAACTCATTTTATGAGGCCAGCATCATCCTGATACCAAAGCCGGGCAGAGACACAACAAAAAGAGAATTTTAGACCAATATCCTTGATGAAAATTGCTGCAAAAATCCTCAATAAAATACTGGCAAACCGAATCCAGCAGCACATCAAAAAGCTTATCCACCATGATCAAGTGGGCTTCATCCCTGGGATGCAAGGCTCATTCAGTACATGCAAATCAATAAATGTAATCCAGCACATAAGCAGAACTAAAGAAAAAATCACATGATTATCTCAATAGATGCAGAAAAGGCCTTTGACAAAATTCAACAACGCTTCATGCTAAAAACTCTCAATAAATTAGGTATTGATGGGACATATCTCAAAATAATAAGAGCTATCTATGACAAACCCACAGCCAATATCATACTGAATGGGCAAAAACTGGAAGCATTCCCTTTGAAAACTGGCACAAGACAGGGATGCCCTCTCTCACCACTCCTATTCAACATAGGTTTGGAAGTTCTGGCCAGGGCAATTAGGCAGGAGAAGGAAATAAAGGGTATTCAATTAGGAAAAGAGGAAGTCAAATTGTCCCTTTTTGCAGACGACATGATTGTATATCTAGAAAACCCCATTGTCTCAGCCCAAAATCTCCTTAAGCTGATAAGCAACTTCAGCAAAGTCTCAGGATACAAAATCAATGTACAAAAATCACAAGCATTCTTATACACCAACAACAGACAGACAGAGAGCCAAGTCATGAGGGAACTCCCATTCACAATTGCTTCAAAGAGAATAAAATACCTAGGAATCCAACTTACAAGGGATGTGAAGGACCTCTTCAAGGAGAACTACAAACCACTGCTCAAGGAAATAAAAGAGGATACAAACAAATGGAAGAACATTCCCTGCTCATGGGTAGGAAGAATCAATATCGTGAAAATGGCCTCACTGCCCAAGGTAATTTGCAGATTCAATGCCATCCCCATCAAGCTACCAATGCCTTTCTTCACAGAATTGGAAAAAAACTACTTTAAAGTTTATATGGAACCAAAAAAGAACCTGCATCGCCAAGTCAATCCTAAGCCAAAAGAACAAAGCTGGAGGCATCACACTACCTGACTTCAAACTATACTACAAGGCTACAGTAACCAAAAGAGCATGGTACTGGTACCAAAACAGAGATATAGATCAATGGAACAGAACAGAGCCCTCAGAAATAACGCCACAGATCTACAACTATCTGATCTTTGACAAACCTGAGAAAAACAAGCAATGGGGAAAGGATTCCCTATTTAATAAATGGTGCTGGGAAAACTGGCTAGCCATATGTAGAAAGCTGAAACTGGATCCCTTCCTTATACCTTATACAAAAATCAATTCAAGATGGATTAAAGTCTTAAATGTTAGACCTAAAACCATAAAAACCCTAGAAGAAAACCTAGGCATTACCATTCAGGACATAGACATGGGCAAGGACTTCATGTCCAAAACACCAAAAGGAATGGCAACAAAAGCCAAAATTGACAAATGGGATCTAATTAAACTAAAGAACTTCTGCACAGCAAAAGAAACTACCATCAGAGTGAACAGGCAACCTACAAAATGGGAGAAAATTTTCGCAACATACTTATCTGATAAAGGGCTAATATCCAGAATCTACAATGAACTCAAACAAATTGACAAGAAAAAAACAAACAACCCCATCAAAAAGTGGGCAAAGGACATGAACAGACTCTTCTCAAAAGAAGACATTTATGCAGCCAAAAAACACGTGAAAAAATGCTGATCATCACTGGCCATCAGAGAAATGCAAATCAAAACCACTATGAGATACCATCTCACACCAGTTAGAATGGCAATCATTAAAAAGTCAGGAAACAACAGGTGCTGGAGAGGATGTGGAGAAATAGGAACACTTTTACGCTGTTGGTGGGACTGTAAACTAGTTCAACCATTGTGGAAGTCAGTGTGGCGATTCCTCAGGGATCTAGAACTGGAAATACCATTTGACCCAGCCATCCCATTACTGTGTATATACCCAAAGGACTATAAATCATGCTGCTATAAAGACACATGCACACGTATGTTCATTGCGGCATTATTCACAATAGCAAAGACTTGGAACCAACCCAAATGCCCATCAATGATAGAGTGGATTAAGAAAATGTGGCACATATACACCATGGAATACTATGCAGCCATAAAAAATGATGAGTTCAGGTCCTTTGTAGGGACATGGATGAAATTGGAAATCATCATTCTCAGTAAACTATCGCAAGAACAAAAAACCAAACACCGCATATTCTCACTCATAGGTGGGAATTGAACAATGAGATCACATGGACACAGGAAGGGGAATATCACACTCTGGGGACTGTTGTGGGGTGGGGGGAGGGGGGAGGGATAGCATTGGGAGATATACCTAATGCTAGATGATGAGTTAGTGGGTGCAGTGCACCAGCATGGCACATGTATATATATGTATCTAACCTGCACAATGTACACATATACCCTAAAACTTAAAGTATAATAAAAAAAATAAAAAAATAAAAATAAAATTAAAAAAAAAAACAATTTAAAGCAAAATTTAATAATTACAAGTTTACCACACACATCAAAGTGAAATGTCTTTTAAAAATAGCACAATGATCATGGTGGGTAGGGATATGGCTGTGTCTTACATCACACATGAAGTGTTATATTACTATTTGAAGATGTTAAAGATTTATTACAAACACTATAATTTTTTTTTTTGAGATGGAGTTTCGCTTCTGTTGCCCAGGCTGGAGTGCAGTGGTGCAATCTCAGCTCACCACAACCTCTGCCTCCCAGGTTCAAGCAATTCTCCTGCCTCAGCCTCCTGAGTAGCTGGGATTACAGGCATGTGCCACCACGCCTGGCTAATTTTGTATTTTTGGTAGAGATGGGGTTTCTCCATGTTGGTCAGGCTGGTCTCGAACTCCTGATCTCAGGTGATCCACCTGCCTTGGCCTCCCAAAGTGCTGGGATTACAGACGTGAGCACTGCGTCTGGCCATAAACACTATACTTTTTTTAATTAAAAGAAGGTATATGAAATAATTCTATGGTGGAGATAAACGGGATTCTACAAAATTAATTTTTATTTTGTATATATACACACAAACTTTTACCTTTATTTCTCTGAAATTACTATTTTAATCCTAATATTAGGTTGGTGCAAAAGTCATTGCGGTTTTGGCCATCATTTTCAATGGCAAAGACCGCAATTACTTTTGCTCCACTCTAATACAAATTGTGATGATGAATTTAATAAGTGACCTTGACCGGGCTAAGGGATGACCAGATGGTTGGAAAGACATTTATTTCTGGCTGTCTCTGTAATGGTATTTCCAGAGGGATTAGCATTTGGATCAGAGGGGTTTTTTTTGGGAGCGGGGGTGAGGGGTCCTGATTAGCATAAGTCCACAGCAACCACCAAAAATGTGAATGCTGCTTGCTTTCCATAGTGACTGCTTGAGTTACCTCCCACATAGGACACCTAGGGTGTGTTGCTCCCAGGCCGTGGGATGGATTCAGAGATAATACCATCAACACCAATGTATCAACACAATGCCTGAACATTCCTAGACAGAGATTTAAGTGGTGTGGTAGACAAGGGATCAAGAAGGATGCCAGAATGAAGGGAAGAAATCTGGAAAAACCAAGAGAATTGCAGAAAACCAGATCCAGGGCTCTAATAATCTGTGAGAGCCTATGTAGACTTCTGTCTAGGATGAGTCAATGACTTACCATTTAAGAGCACAGAGTTGGTGGAGCGCAGTGGCTCATGCCTGTAATTCCAGCACTTTGCGAAGCCGAGGCGGGCAGATCATGAGGTCAGGAGTTTGATACCAGACTTACCAACATGGTGAAACTTTTAGCTGGGCGTAGTGGTGCACGCCTGTAATCCCAGCTACTAAGGAGGCTGAGGCAGGAGAATTGTTTGAACCCAGGAGGTGGAGGTTGCAGTGAGCTGAGATTGTGCCACAGCACTCCAGCCTGGGCAACAGAGCAAGATTCTGTCTCAAAAAAGAAAAGAAAAGAAAACAAAAAAAAAGGACAGAGAGTGGACCCTCTACTACTTTTGATGTCCAGCCTGCAATATTAATGCTCCAGAATAATACAAGTTTTGAAAGGGATATCCTGATAAAAACCAGGAACCAAGTTATTTCAAAAGTAAGTTAATGAATCAAAAATCAACAATGAAATATTGATCCTGAAAATGTGACCAAATTTTGGTGCCTGGTGAAATGGAAATTCTGAGCGAAGAAAAAAGTGTAGTCCTTGCTCTTAACTTGCTTAAAAAACAAACTAGTAGAAGATATACAAACTATTATTATAAATGAGGAGTACAGTAACTAGTGACATATATAAGCTTCATTTGTTATTGTCCATTCCATTTTTTTTTTTTTTTTTGAGACTGAGTCTCACTCTGTTGCCCAGGCTTCAGTGAAGTGGTGCAATCTCAGCTCATGGCAAGCTCCATCTCCCAGGTTCAAGCGATTCTCCTGCTACAGGCACAAGCCACTATACCCAGCTAATTTTTGTATTTCTAGTGGAGACAGGGTTTCACCATGTTGGCCAGGCTGGTCTTGAACTCCTGACCTCAAGTGATTCATCTGTCTCGGCCTCCCAAAGTGCTGGGATTACAGGCATGAGACACCATGCCTGGCCTGTCCATTCCAATTTAAATGATAAAAAATGAGATCTCTATTGTACAGAGTGTGAGTCCAGAAATTTTCTTGGAGAAAGTCGGTCTTCAGTTGGGCTTAACATGATGGAGTTTAGCAGAAAATAAGGAGAGGGAAGAACATCAAGCTGGCAATTATGTGGGAAGGATATAGAGCTAGGTATGCACAGGACATATTTCTAAGAGAGGGAGAGAGAAGGCTGGCATTTTGGGGTAGAGAAACCTATTTGAATCATTTTATACTTTGACCACATATTTTGAAAAATGGATCTCTCCCTCTCATGCCTTCATTTGTTTTTACGTTTGCATTGAAATATCATCCACCTCAACTCATTTTCACCTTGTATTTCAAATAAATAAAGTCATAAATGAAATATTTTAGTAAGTGAGGAAATTTTCACACACAAAAACCCAATATACTGGTAATTGTAAATTTCAGCAATAAAAATTAGTTTATACACACTACCCTAAATAAGCCATAGATACTGAGACATAAGGTACGGTCCTCACCCTGGAATAGGCTATTATCCCTCTAAGAAGTGTAAAAATCCACATGTATGTGTGATTATATCAGGGGCTACTGTCTGGTGATAGTGGTAAGGTAGTTCAAAGAAGGAGAGACCACTTCATGCTGTGGGGATTATCACAGGTAGCAATGGAATGGATGAATTTTGAAAGTTGGATAGAGTTGCTGCAGATGGCCATGGTGGGGTGGGGGATATCAGTGAAAAGAGTCAGAAAGAAATAAAGATGAGAAGGTGAGAACACACACTTGTCTTTGTTTTCATAACCTGTTTGCTATTAAGCCTTTTTCAGAGTGTTGGTAAGGCCAATAGTTACAAATATCATGGCACAAACTAGTGAAGGGGACTCAAGGTGAAAGGCTTTACTTTCCTGATATGTATTAGGGAGCACCTGAAGATAGGGCAGACTCTAAATCAAAGTAAGACTGGAGTTAAATGGGGCCAGGAGAAGAGAAAACTCCATGATCCTGCAGCCTAGCCCAGGTAGCAGTGTGGTAAAACTTGCCATTGGAATGATTGGTGATTGTTACCGTTTTTCATGCCCTTTAATTGGAATTGCTGACAGGATCTTGTTCTCAAAACTGTCGGAAGCATTCTTCTGAGAATAGTTTTTGTGAACCTTGCAAGTTCAGAAGAGGGCAAGGTAGTAGAAATAAAGAAAAAGGGAAAAAGAGAAAGGAAAAAAAGGGAAAATATTCAAGGGTTAAAACAAAATGAACTGGATTCACTTTTAATCCATTTACATGATCTTGTGATGTTTCCATGGACTTGCTTCATGCTTTTAGCTATTTTCTACCAATTACACTGGGAGACATGACGGTGTGCAAGTACAGGGAAGACTATTTTCTGATCATTTCTCATTAAAGTGGAAAAGTACTTTTATTTTGCAAAGAAACTTAAGGTTTGTCAAGTTTTTCTGAGTGATTGAAGCTGACCCTTCTTTTTTAAAAATGTCTTTTGGTCTCATCTGCAATTACTCTAAAGGTCTTTAGAGACACATAGAAGTGCAGGTTACAGATTTTATTCCCACATCTTTGCTCTTTGATGTGGCTCTAAATGGTTAATTGGAATGAGAGAGAACTCCTCTAGGAAGAAAAAGAAAGTAGAGGTCTTTGTAGACAAAGAGATTCTTTTTGTTCCATTTACCAAATTGGAAGCGAGGGGATTGCTGCTAGAGGTCTTGCTCTGGCTCAGATGCAAACATTCTTCTCCTACTAATAAGAACTGCTTGATATCAACTTCACTGCATCCTAGTACTCACTGTAGCCATGTAGCATGATAATTAAGCCCGACACCCCTGTCTCTGCTTCTGGCGCCAAATGTCATGACTTACATGGGATACAAGACATAAATTAATCCTTATTCTTAATGCAGTCTCCTGTACTTCATTTACATAGCCAGAGTATTGTCTCAATCCTGCCCTGTGTCATACTATAGGACTTGATGTAAATCATAGCATTAGATTTGGAAAGAAAACATTTCCCCTGAAGCGTTTAAGGTCTTAAGCTGAGCCCTTGAGTCAGCAAATAAGTAGTGCTACAAAAATGCCTACAAACAGAGGGGAAAAAACACCACAAATAGAGCTGTGTCAAGGACAATGCTAGTTTAGGGAAAGCAGGTGATGACAAAAAACCCAGGAAAGTTTGATTGGCATCTCAATGGGTGGATATCACCTCCATGCTGCAGATAAACTAATACTTTTGAGTATGTGCTTTGAGCTAGGGCCTTTCCAAGCCTCATTTACTTTTCTGAGTTAACTAGTAAGGCAGAAACAATTACTCCCGTGTGATGTACTTGAGGTAGCATAGCATAATGTCATGAGCTGGCGTTTTGTTAAGTCTCAGGAATAGCTGTCTTCTATGTGTGATGTTGGGCATTTAGTAAAAGAGAATTAGCAACTGCATCTGCCCTCTCAGGAGCCTATGAAGATCAAATGTAACCCCACATGTAAAGCATTGAACCTCTAGCTCCTTTCAAATGCTCAAAATATGCTAATTATTATCGTACAAAAATCAGTCATGAGGCTTAAAGAAGCATATTTGGTCCAATTTCGCATAACTAACAAGTTCCATGACTACTCTTGACTATAAATAACTAATCATAGACTAAATAATTCTGAGCAAAAAATCCCTTTCTTATGCACCTCTGCACACCGGTACAGAGGAACTAAAAGAATCGTTGGCAGATTACACCAAACCAGTTTTCTCCACAACGCCTCGTCTTTTTTTTTTTTTTTTTTTTTTTTTTTTTTTTTTTTTTTACTATTTTCATCTGAAGATTAATTGTGCTTCTTGACAGATGCTGTTCAGTCCATGCCCATGGCTAGGAAAGACCAGACCAAAGAATGCTTCTCATCTGAGGCCAAAAGTTGGGCAGGCAACTAGAATCTGCTCTTGCTAAAGACCCAAATAAGCACCCCTCTGATCTTAGGTCCAGCAACCACAGAGAAAAGATAGTTCATCAACCGCATCACAGATCTTTACAGCTGGTTCATCCATGCCTTTTACTGTAAATGTAGCAGGATTATAAAATTCAATTTGTAATTCCTGCTGCTCTAGAGGAAGCCTTTGTGTCCATCCTCAAGGCATGGTGACTTGACAGTACCCAGGAATGGAAAAAGAATAAAAACGCTACACCTTTTTCTATCGAGAAGAGACACCAACCCGAGATGTTATTAAGAGTTCTAAATAGGAAACAGTTTATTTTTTTACATTTCTATTTTATTTTAGATTCAGGGAGCACATGTACAGATTTGTTATAAGGATATTTTGCCTGATGCTGATGTTTGGGCTTCTACCGATCCCATCACCCAGATAGTCAACACAGTACCCTAAAGGAAGGTTTTTCAGCCCATAGCCCACTCCTTCTCTCCCCTGTTTTGAAGTCCTCAGGGTCTATTGTTACCATCTTTATGTCCATGTGGATCCAGGGGTTAGCTCTCACTTATAAGTGAGAAAATGTGATGTTTGATTTTCTGTTCTGTGCTAATTTCTTTAGGACAATGGTCAGCTGCATCCATGTTGCTGCAAAGGACAGGATTTCATTTTTTTTTTTTATGGCGGCACAGTATTCCATGGCGTATATGGATTTCTTTCTTTTTCTATTGCTGCACAGTACCTCAGGGTGTATATGCACCACATTTACAAAAATCCAGTCCACCACTGTTGGGCACCTGGGTTGATTCTGAGTCATGATGTTTGGGACCAGAAGTAGAAAGAGAGGTAGGGGGTAATTGTCATGCTACATGCCTACAATGAGTAATAGGATGCAGTGACGTTGACATCAAGCAGTGCTTATTAGTAGGAGAAGAATTTATGCATCTGGGCAGAGCAAGACCTCTAGCAGCACTGCCCCCAGCTGCCTGCCAATTTTGTAAATGGAACAAAAAGAACCTCTGTGTCTACCAATACCTCTATTTTCTTTTCCTTCCTAGAGGAGTTATCTCATTCCAATTGTCCATTTAGAGTCACATCAAAGAGCAAAACTAGAACTAAAACTAGAACTAAGAATGAAAACTAGAACTCCCATTTGATCCAGAAATCCCATTAATGGGTAGACACCCAAAGGAAACAATTTCTAAGGGCAAGAGTTTCTATGTGACCATTCCTTTACGATGAGCCTTTTTATTGGAGTAAAAAAAAAAATTACTCCTTGCCCTTCCCCACCGCCGCCACAAAAAAAATATAGTGATTTCCAATCAAGATAGCTCAGCATGTCGAACCCCTTCCACTTTAAACAGGCAGCAATGCAGGTAAATGCTATGGAGAAAATTTAGATACAGATAGGACAAAGCCAGGGGTCTGATAACAGGTCTCAACATTCACCAAGAGTTTTCTTCTGCTGAAATAACCAAGACTTCATCTTCCTTACCTAGGCGGGAGAATTGGAATAGATTTACCCAAATAAATCCAGAGGAAAGCAAGCTGAGAGAAACAGGTTTCTTACGCTGCTTGGAGTTTAGCTTATTTTAAGTGTGTAGGCTTAGGGTTGAGACACATAACCAGGAACTAAAATATCTACCTCCCTGGCTTAGTGAGAAGAGGATCAGCCATCTTCCTACTCTCATCATGGGCAGGGAATACTGAGCCTTGATACCTGATGTCCCTTTGGACTGAGGACTCTGGAACGTGGCGAAGGGAGTTAAGGAACCTAAAGACTGGAAGATTTAATGCGTGAAAGTATATTTCCTTCTTTAAGTGAAGCTGAAAATACAAATTCACAAGCATGTAGAGAAATATAAGAATATAAAGGACAACCAATAAAACCAGTGATTGCAGGATAAATATAGTCCACAGGAAGCTAAAAAAAATTGGAAATGTATCTAAGATTTTATAATAACAATTATTGGCTGGGTGCGGTGGCTCACACCTATAATTCCAGCGCTTTGGGAGGCTGAGGCAGATGTATCACTTGAGCTCCTGAGTTGGAGACCAGCCTGGGCAAGATGGCGAAACCCCATCTCTACAAAAAACACAAAAAATAGCCAGGCATGGTGGTATGTGCCTGTAGTTTGAACTTCTCAGGAGTCTGAGTTGGGAGGATGGCTTGAGCCTGGAAGGTGGAGGTTTTAGTGGGCCGAGATCATGCCACTGCACTTAAGCCTGAATGGCAGAGCCAGAACCTGTCTCAAATAAATAACCATTGTTTATGTCCAAATGTATATATGAAAGTAGTACATGATTAAAACAAAAAGACGAGAGGCCTGGCACAGTGGCTCATGCTTGTAATCCCGCACTTTGAGAAGCTGAGGCATGAGGATTGCTTGAGGTCAGGAGTTTGAGACCAGCCTAGATAACATAGGAGACCCCGCCCCTAAATAAAGAAAAGTAAATCAGCCAGATACAGTGGTGCGTGCCTATAGTCCCAGCTACTTGGGAGGCTGAGGTGGGAGGATCACTTGAGCTCAGCAGTTCAAGGCTGCAGTGAGACATGAGACCTGATCATGTCACTGCACTCTAGCCTGGGTGACAAAAGAGTGAGACCCTGTGTCTAAAAAGCAAAAAAAAAAAAAAAAAAAAAAAAAAAAAAAAAAAAGTAACTGGGGGGCCAGACATGGAATAAAGATGGATTTTAAGAAGACACCACTGGAAATATTGAATATAAACAATATATTCTTTATAGCAATAATAATTTTTTTTAAAAAAACTATGCAAGTACTAAACTGGGCAAATCCAAATACAGAATTTGTGACCAGGATAGAAGTGTGCAAAAATTACTCAGAGCCTAGCACTGTGGTAGAATAAAATAAAAAATATGAAAGAGGAGTTAAGCAATCTGGAGAATAGACAGAAAAACTACCACATACATTTAGTTAAAGTTCCAGAAGAAAATAAACATTTTAGGAAATGATAACTGGTTACTATATCAAAATTAAGAAAAGCAAAATCAGTTCAGTCAAAACTGCAATCAACTATCAAGCAGGATAAGTAAAAAACAACTAAATCCTAGACAATCATGGTGAAACTGCACAATATCAAGGATAAAGATCAAATGACTCAATGTACCAGGTAAAAAGCAGTTTACCTGAAATGAATTGCAATTACAGTGCAGCAGATTTCTAATTTGCAAAAATAATGCCAGAAGGTAATGGAAATGGAAAATATACAACTGTCTCCTCTCAGAAATTGTTAGAACAAATATGTGTTTTAAAAAATTACTAAGGGCATACAATATTTGAAAAATATGCTCAAACAACTTAATTGATGACTTAATTGAATACTCTAGCCCAGGGGTCCTCAAACCCCAGGCTGTGGACTGGTCCTGGTCTGTGGCCTGTTACACTGGGCACAGCAGGAGGTGAGCAGCCTGCAAGCAAGACTTACTACCTGAGTTCTGTCTCCTGTCAGATCAGTGGTGGCATTAGATTCCCATAGGAGCACAAACCCTATTGTGAACTATGCACACCAGAGATCTAGGTTGCACACTCTTTATGATAATTTAAGTAATGCCTGATGATCTGAGGTGGAACAGGTTCATCCTGAAACAATTTCCCACCCCACCCAACCTCATCCCTGTCTGTGAAAAAATTGTCTTCCATGAAACTGGTCCCTAGTGCCAAAAAGTTTGAGGACCACTGCTCTACACAATAGTAGAATAGATATTTTTTTCCAAAAAACAAATAAAACATTTATCAAGAGATGCTATGCTCTCAGTAAAAAAGTCTCAATTATTTTAAAATGATTGAAAATATATACAATGTATTCACTGATTTTAAAAAATTAGAAATAAATAACAAAAAGTATCTGGGAAATCCCAATATAAGCAACATGCTGCTAAAAACTTACAAGACAAAATAGGAATGACAAGGGAAATTAGAAAATATTTAAAACTGATGATAAAAGACTCAATCCATCAAAATGTGTGAGGTGCAGCTAAAGCATGCTTAGAGGAAAACTTACAGCATTAATGGCTCAGACTAGAAAATAAGAAACGTCCAAAATCAACAACTGGTGATTTCACTCAAGTAGAAAATAATGACAAATTAAACCCAAATAAAGTGAAAGACAGTAAATAATAAAGATAATATTAAAAATCATAGAAACAGAAAAAGAACAAATAATGTCAAAATCAACCAAACCAAATGTGGTACATTGAAAAAGATTATTAAAATTTATAAACCCTTTAGTTAGACTGATCCAATATGGGGCAAGGGAGGAAGGAAGAGGAAGAGAAGGAGGGAGAGAGAGAAATTGAGTGATTTATGGTATATATTTTTTTATTATTATACTTTAAGTTTTAGGGTACATGTGCAGGTTAGTTACATATGTATACATGTGACATGCTGGTGTGCTGCACTCACTAACTCATCATCTAGCATTAGGTATATCTCCCAATGCTATCCCTACCCCCTCCCCCACCCCACAACAGTTCCCAGAGTGTGATGTTCTCCTTCCTGTGTCCATGTGATCTCATTGTTCAATTCCCACCTATGAGTGAGAATATGCGGTGTTTGGTTTTTTGTTCTTGTGATAGTTTACTGAGAATGATGATTTCCAATTTCATCCATGTTCCTACAAAGGACATGAATTCATCATTTTTTATGGCTGCATAGTATTCCATGGTGTACATGTGCCACATTTTCTTAATCTACTCTGTCATTGATGGGCATTTGGGTTGGTTCCAAGTCTTTGCTATTGTGAATAGTGCTGCAATGAACATACGTGTGCCTGTGTCTTTATAACAGCATGATTTATAGTCCTTTGGGTATATACCCAGTAATGGGATGGCTGGGTCAAATGCTATTTCTAGTTCTAGATCCCTGAGGAATCACCACACTGACTTCCACAATGGTTGAACTAGTTTAGAGTCCCACCAACAGTGTAAAAGTGTTCCTATTTCTCCACATCGTCACCAGCACTTGTTGTTTACTGACTTTTTTATGATTGCCATTCTAACTGGTGTGAGATGATATCTCATTGTGGTTTTGATTTGCATTTCTCTGATGGCCAGTGATGGTGAGCATTTTTTCATGTGTTTTTTGGCTGCATAAATGTCTTCTTTTGAGAAGAGTCTGTTCATGTCCTTTGCCCACTTTTTGATGGGGTTGTTTTTTTCTTGTAAATTTGTTTGAGTTCATTGTAGATTCTGGATATTAGCCCTTTGTCAGATGAGTAGGTTGCGAAAATTTTCTCCCATTTTGTGGGTTGCCTGTTCACTCTGATGGTAGATTCTTTTGTTGTGCAGAAGCTCTTTAGTTTAATTTGATCCCATTTGTCAATTTTTGCTTTTGTTGCCATTGCTGTTGCTGTTTTGGACATGAAGTCCTTGCCCGTGCCTATGTCCTGAATGGTAATGCCTAGGTTTTCTTCTATGGTTTTTATGGTTTTAGGTCTAACGTTTGAGTCTTTAATCCACCTTGAATTCATTTTTGTATAAGGTGTAAGGAAGGGATCCAGTTTCAGCTTTCTACATATGGCTATCCAGTTTTCCCAGCACCATTTATTAAATAGGGAATCCTTTCCCCATTGCTTGTTTTTCTCAGGTTTGTCAAAGATCAAATAGTTGTAGATATGCGGCGTTATTTCTGAGGGCTCTGTTGTGTTCCATTGATCTATATCTCTGTTTTGGTAGCAGTACCATGCTCTTCTGGTTACTGTAGCCTTGTAGTATAGTTTGAAGTCAGGTAGCGTGATGCCTCCAGCTTTGTTCTTTTGGCTTAGGATTGACTTGGTGATGCGGGCTCTTTTTTGGTTCCATATGAACTTCAAAGTAGTTTTTCCAATTCTGTGAAGAAAGCCGTTGGTAGCTTGATGGGGATGGCATTGAATCTGTAAATTACCTTGGGCAGTATGGCCATTTTCATGATATTGATTCTTCCTACCTATGAGCATGGAATATTCTTCCATTTGTTTGTATCCTCTTTTATTTCATTGAGCAGTGGTTTGTAGTTCTCCTTGAAGAGGTCCTTCACATCCCTTGTCAGGTGGAGTCCTAGGTATTTTATTCTCTTTGAAGCAATTTGTGAACGGGAGTTCACTCATGATTTGGCTCTCTGTTTGTCTGTTATTGGTGTATAAGAATGCTTGTGATTTTTGTACATTGATTTTGTATCCTGAGACTTTGCTGAAGTTGCTTATCAGCTTAAGGAGATTTTGAGCTGATACAATGGGGTTTTCTAGATACAGAATCACGTCATCTGCAAACAGGGACAATTTGACTTCCTCTTTTCCTAATTGAATCCTCTTTATTTCCTTCTCCTGCCTAATTGCTCTGACCAGAACTTCCAACACAATGTGGAATAGGAGTGTTCAGAGAAAGCATCCCTCTCTTGTGCCAGTTTTCAAAGGGAATGCTTCCAGTTTTTGCCCATTCAGTATGATATTGGCTGTGGGTTTGTCATAGATAGCTCTTATTATTTTGATATACATCCCATCAATACCTAATTTATTGAGAGTTCTTAGCATGAAGCGTTGTTGAATTTTGTCAAAGGCCTTTTCTGCATCTATTGAGATAATCATGTGGCTTTTGTCTTTGGTTCTGTTTATATGCTGGATTACATTTATTGATTTGCATATATTGAACCAGCCTTGCATCCCAGGGATGAAGCCCACTTGATCATGGTGGATAAGCTTTTTGATGTGCTGCTGGATTCGGTTTGCCAGTATTTTATTGAGGATTTTTGCATCAATGTTCATCAAGGATATTGGTCTAAAATTCTCTTTTTTGGTTGTGTCTCTGCCAGGCTTTGGTATCAGGATGATGCTGGCCTCATAAAATGAGTTAGGGAGGATTCCCTCTATTTCTATTGATTGAAATAGTTTCAGAAGGAATGGTACCAGTTCCTCCTTGTACCTCTGGTAGAATTCAGCTTTGAATGCATCTGGTCCTGGACTCTTTTTGGTTGGTAAGCTATTGATTATTGCCACAATTTCAGCTTCTCTTATTGGTCTATTCAGAGATTCAACTTCTTCCTGGTTTAGTCTTGGGAGGGTGTATGTGTCAAGGAATTTATCCATTTCTTCTAGATTTTCTAGTTTATTTGCATAGAGGTGTTTGTAGTATTCTCTGATGGTAGTTTGTATTTCTGTGGGATCGGTGGTGATATCCCCTTTATCATTTTTTATTGTGTCTATTTGATTCTTCTCTCTTTTTTTCTTTACTAGTCTTGCTAACGGTCTATCTATTTTGTTGATCCTTTCAAAAAACCAGCTCCTGGATTCATTAATTTTTTGAAGGGTTTTTTATGTCTCTGTTTCCTTCAGTTCTGCTCTGATTTCAGTTATTTCTTCCCTTCTGCTAGCTTTTGAATGTGTTTGCTCTTGCTTTTCTAGTTCTTTTAATTGTGATGTTAGGTTGTCAATTTTGGATCTTTCCTGCTTTCTCTTGTGGGCATTTAGTGCTATAAATTTCCCTCTACACACTGCTTTGAATGTGTCCCAGAGATTCTGGTATGTGTGTCTTTGTTCTTGTTGGTTTCAAAGAACATCTTTATTTCTGCCTTCATTTCGTTATGTACCCAGTAGTCAATCAGGAGCAGGTTGTTCTGTTTCCATGTAGTTGAGCCGTTTTGAGTGAGTTTCTTAATCCTGAGTTCTAGATTGATTGCACTGTGGTCTGAGAGACAGTTTGTTATAATTTCTGTTCTTTTACATTTGCTGAGGAGAGCTTTACTTCCAAGTATGTGGTCAATTTTGGAATAGGTGTGGTGTGGTGTGGTGCTGAAAAAAATGTATATTCTGTTGATTTGGGGTGGAGAGTTCTGTAGATGTCTATTAGGTCCGCTTGGTGCAGAGCTGAGTTCAATTCCTGGGTGTCCTTGTTAACTTTCTGTCTCGTTGATCTGTCTAATGTTGACAGTGGAGTGTTAAAGTCTCCCATTATTACTGTGTCGGAGTCTAAATCTCTTTGTAGGTCACTCAGGACTTGCTTTATGAACCTGGGTGCTCCTGTATTGGGTGCATATATATTTAGGATAGTTAGCTCTTCTTGTTGAATTGATCCCTTTACCATTATGTAATGGCCTTCTTTGTCTCTTTTGATCTTTGTTGGTTTAAAGTCTGTTTTATCAGATACTAGGATTGCAACCCCTGCTCTTTTTTGTTTTCCATTGGCTTGATAGATCTTCCTCCATCCTTTTATTTTGAGCCAATGTGTGTCTCTGCACGTGAGATGGGTTTTCTGAATGCAACACACCGATGGGTCTTGACTCTTTATCCAATTTGCCAGTCTATGTCTTTTAATTGGAGCATGTAGTCCATTTACATTTAAAGTTAATATTGTTATGTGTGAATTTGAACCTGTCATTATGATGTTAGCTGGTTATTTTGCTCGTTAGTTGATGCAATTTCTTCCTAGCCTCAATGGTCTTTACATTTTGGCATGATTTTGCAGCGGCTTGTACCGGTTGTTCCTTTCCATGTTTAGTGCTTCCTTCAGGAGCTCTTTTAGGGCAGGCCTGGTGGTGACAAAATCTCTCAGCATTTGCTTCTCTGTAAAGTATTTTATTTCTCCTTCACTTATGAAGCTTAGTTTGGCTGGTTATGAAATTCTGGGTTGAAAACTCTTTTCTTTAAGATTGTTGAATTTTGGCCCCCACTCTCTTCTGGCTTGTAGAGTTTCTGCTGAGAGATCCGCTGTTAGTCTGATGGGCTTCCCTTTGAGGGTAACCCAACCTTTCTCTCTGGCTGCCCTTAACATTTTTTCCTTCATTTCAACTTTGGTGAATCTGACAATTATGTGTCTTGGAGTTGCTCTTCTCCAGGAGTATCTTTGTGGCGTTCTCTGTATTTCCTGAATCTGAATGTTGGCCTGCCTTGCTAGATTGGGGAAGTTCTCCTGGATAATATCCTGCAGAGTGTTTTCCAACTTGGTTCCAACTTGGTTTCCAACTTGGAGGAGGCAGTGTGCCTGTTCTCAGATCTCTAGCTGTGTGCTGGGAGAACCACTGCTCTCTTCAAAGCTGTCAGACAGGGACATTTAAGTCTGCAGAGGTTACTTCTGTCTTTTTGTTTGTCTGTGCCCTGCCCCCAGAGGTGGAGCCTACAGGGGCAGGCAGGCCTCCTTTAGCTGTGGTGGGCTCCACCCAGTTGGAGCTTCCAGGCTGCTTTATCTAAGCCAGCCTGGCCAATGGTGGGCGCCCCTCCCCCAGCCTTGCTGCTGCCTTGCAGTTTGATCTCAGACTGCTGTGCTAGCAATCAGCGAGACTCCATGGGCGTAGGACCCTCCGAGCCATGTGCGGGATATAATCTCGTGGTGTGCCATTTTTTAAGCCCATCAGAAAAGCGCAGTATTTGGGTGGGAGTGACCCGATTTTCCAGGTGCTGTCTGTCACCGCTTTCTTTGACTCGGAAAGGGAACTCCCTGACCCCTTGCACTTCCCGAGTGAGGCAATGCCTTGCCCTGCTTCGGCTCGCAGACGGTGTGCTGCACCCACTGACCCACGCCCACTGTCTGGCACTCCCTAGTGAGATGAACCTGGTGCCTCAGATGGAAATGCAGAAATCATAAGTCTTCTGTGTCACTCACCCTGGGAGCTGTGGACTGGAGGTGTTCCTATTTAGCCATCTTGGCTCCTCCCCGATTTATGGTATTAAGAAAAGAATGGAAGACATATCTAAAGTTATTACATGATATTAAGGGCATAATATGAGAAATTCATGCCAACAAAGTTAAACACTTAGATACAATGGACATT
Organism: Homo sapiens; assembly: GCF_000001405.40. Classification (NCBI taxonomy): domain Eukaryota; kingdom Metazoa; phylum Chordata; class Mammalia; order Primates; family Hominidae; genus Homo; species Homo sapiens. Next base: position 13,972,799 of record NC_000024.10, read on the forward strand.
AGCAAATTACCAAAACAGATGTTACCAAACCAGAAAAGCCCTGAAATTGAATTTGTAATTAGAACCTTCTTCCAAAGAAAATTTAAGACCAAAAACCTCATTGATGCATTCTAAGAAAAATCAAGAGAAGAAATAATATGAAACTTTACAAACTCTTTCAGAAAATAAAAGAGAAAACACTATATCATATATTTTAATAAAAGTGGCATAACTCTAATACCTGAAAAAGACAAGAATTGTTTATGAAATGAAACAAACACCAAAATCCTTAACAAAATTATATTCAGTATTAATTAAGAATAAAGAAGTAATATATTTGGCAAAGTGAGATTTATTCTTTATTCCACAAATGCAAGGTTAGTTCAATACTAACAAGATCAATCTGTTTAATTTGTTGTATTATTAATATAAAAGAGAAAAACATAGTAATTTCAGTAGAGGTAGAAAGGGCTTTTGATAAAATTCAAGACCCAGTTATGATTTTGGAATTTTTATTGTGAAAGACCAAATAGTTTCCAGTAAAACAAGGGATAAAAAGACTATTTGCTCTCATTTTTATCCAATGTTGTATTGGAGGTCACAGTGCAGTAATGCAACAAATTCTATTATGTAAGGTAAGGTGAGAATATTAAATCGATAGAGGTTAAGATTCCATACTTGCAAATCATGTAGAAAATGCTTAGGTATATAAACAGCTATTAGTCTTTGTATTAGTCTGTTCTTGCATTGTATTAGTCTGTTCTTGCATTGCTATAAAGAAATACCTGAGACTGGGTAATTTATAAAGAAAAGAGTTTTAATTGGCTCATGGTTTGGCAGGTTGTACAGGAAGCATGATGCTGACATCTGCTTGGCTTCTGGGGAGGCCTCAGGAAACTTACAATCAGAGCATAAGGTGAAGGGTAAGCAGGCTCATCTGACATGGCCGGAGCAGGAGGAAGAGAGAGAGGGAGGGGAGATGCTATATTCTTCTAAATAACCAGATCTCACAAGAACTCACTATCATGAGAACAGCACCCAGGGGAATGGTGTTAAACCATTAATGAGAACTCTACTCCTATGATTTAATCACCACCCACCAGGCTCCACCTCCAACACTGGGGATTACAGTTTGACACGAGATTTAATGTTTCATGGGAACATAGATCCAAACCATATCAGTCTTTTATTTTTTTATTTTTACATTTAAAATTTTTATTTTTTCATCAGTTTTTGGGGTACAGGTGGTATTTGGTTAAATAAGTAAGCTTTTTAGTGGTTATTTCTGAGCTTAATTAGTGAACTCAGCTTAGATACAGAATACAAGATCAATTACCAGTGTTAGTGCTATCTCAATATACTAGTTATAAACAAACAGAATTCTAAAGACCAACATACTATCTACTGGTTACTACAGTCAATAATAATTTAACTGTACATTTTAAAATAACTTATAGAGTATAATTGGATTGTTTGCAACTCAAAGGATAAATGCTTGAGGGGTGGATATCCCATTCTTCATGATGTGCTTATTTCACATTGCATGCCTATATCAAAACATCTCATATACGCCATGAATATATACACCTACTGTGTACCCACAAAAATAAAAAAAATACCATCTACCATATCTACCATAATATCATAACACATAAAATATTCAGGATAAATTTAATAAAAGTTGAGCAAAACCTCTACTCTGAAACTTTAAAATATTTCTAAAGGAAAATAAAGTATACTTAGGTAAATAAAATGATCTATCATGCTCATGGATTAGAAGACAATTATTAAATCTCATCTTCAACGATTATGCAGAGAGAGACCGCAATTCTAATCATATTTCCAGGAAACGTTGACAACGAATTCCTGAAATTTACATGGAATTGCAAAGGACGTAGGACAGCCAAAACAACCCTTGAAAAACAAGAACAAAGAGAAGTCACATTAGCTGTTTTCAAGAGTTGTTATAAAGCTACAGCCATCAAGACTGAACCAGGACCGCGTGGAGTCAGCGGCAGGACCTGATAATAGACTCCGGGAACAAAACTGAGTGTTCGGAAACAGACTCACACCCACATATGTACATATGGGGAAACGGAACAGTACCAAAGTAATTTTATGGGGAGAAGGAAAGACCTTCCAAAAAAAAATAATAATGGGGCCGAGATGGAGTAAGCCATCTGCAACTGCCGTCTGTCAATTACAGTAAAATTTCTGGACAAAATACAAAAAACCAAAATGCAAGCCCTTTAAGGAGCACACAATAGCAAGCACACTGGGAACTAAAATCAAAACGTCATTAAGGCCCCATAAGAGGACTGAGTTTCCCATTTTTCCATGCTTGGTCTCCCAGCATTGAGCAGAAGGCAGACCCCGGCTTGGAATTGAGCAGTGAGTGCTGACAACATCACCTTAGGAGAAACCCCCTGCTTACAGCCAAAGGAAGGGCCTCCCATGCGCCAGAATGTGGAGGGAATCCATGTTTCTTCCCCCTTTGCTTCTTCTTGCTCTCCTCTCTCTTGGCTAGTCCAAGTTCAGCAGCTGCACAGCGATGGAGGCGGTGGGGCAACTATAGGACCATCAGCTCAACTCCAAGGCAAGATCTCTCCAGCCCTCACTCAGAGGAATGAGGAAAAGGGCCCCATTTCCTATAGAGTCTGAGGGAATACCTGTTGTCATTTTCTCTTTTTTTCCTTTCATTTTCTTTATTTTTAAAATCAAGTTACATTTTTTAAGTTGACAAATAATAATTGCACAGGCATATGGGGTAGGTAGCAGTGTTGACACATACACAACGTGGAGTGATCAGATCAGGGTAATTAGCACATCCATCATCTCAAACAGGTACCATTTCTGTGTATTGGGAACATTCAATATCCTTTCTTCCAACCATTTGAAACTATATAATTTATTATTGTTAACTATAGTCATCCTACAGTGGTACAGAACAGGAGAATGTATTCCTCCTATCTAGCCATAATTTTGTATTCTTTAACAAATCTCTCCCTATCCCTCTACCTCCCCTACCCTTCCCAGCCCCCTCTCTTTTATCTCTTGCTGCTTTACCCCAAAGGTAGCCCTGGTCACACAGAACAACATGTACTAATGGCGAGTGAACCTTTAGGAGAAACCTGTCTTTCTGACCAGAAGGGTCAGGTAAAAGGGCATTTGGGAGCCAGACTGTAGGGTAGGCTTGGCAGATTTTGGAAACAAAAATATAAGATTCTAAGTAAAATCAGAATTTCAGATAAACCTTGTTATATTTTTAAACTTGTTAATGTATTTTCCATGCAATATTTGGAAAAATATATATATATATATAAAACTAAAAATTCATTCATTATTTATCTGAACTGGTCATCTTGTATGTTATCTGGTGATTCCACATGGGGTTAATTCCAGAGAGGAAAGTGCTAGAGAAGGGTGTCCCCCATTTCTGTGGACAAACTCACTGGAGCCTGGTCTCACTCCAGAGCTGTGCATGCCTGGAAAGTCCCAAGGAAGCAGAGTAAAGACTTTGAGAACTTCACTGCCATTCAAGCCATCTCCCACTTCCAGCCTAACCTCCAAAGAATACGTGTGCCAGGCCATCTCAAACAGCCCAGCAGAGCCTTTAGAAACTGATTTGTCATTGGAGCTGCCACACACAGAATGCAGAAACAAATGTAAGTCTGAACCTAACCGATTGTATGGCAATTCAAACATGGATTTAAAATAATTGGTGATCAAATAACAATTGGATATCTACATGGAAAAATAATACACCTGAAAGCATCAGATATGAAAACAGAATATCTGAAGTCATAAAACTTCTAGAGCAAAACAAAAGAATATGATATGATGCTGAGGTTGTCGAAGATTTCTCAGATTGGGTACAAAATGCATTAATTACAATGGAATAGTTAACAAATTCTGTTTTAAAAAATAAAAAACTAAATTGTACTCATTAAAATGTCTCTAAAAATAAAAAATAACACATGAATAGCAGGAAATAACTACACTACATACAACTGACCCACGTCTTGCCTTATAATTATGTATAAACAATTTCTATAACTTAAGAAAAAAATAATGAGATAAGGGCTTACTCAGATACCGCACAGGGAAAGATATCACAATGGTCAAGAGAAAGTACTTACCATTGTTATTAATTAAAGAAGTGCAAATTTAAATACCAGAGAGATGCCACTACAATGACAAAAATTAAAGAGGCCAAGATGATCAAATTTTGGCAAAGCTGTGGAACGTCCACAACTCTCCCATGTTGTTGGTGGGGTTCATACATGGGGTTCATGCTTTCCAAAACATTTTGACAGTTTCCTATAAAGTTAAACATACACACACTATGATCCAGCAATTCCATTCATAAGTAATGATCTAAGAGAAAGAAAAATCTATGTCTACACAAAGACTTGTTCTTGCAAGTCTTTTTCATAACAGCCACACACTGTATAAAATGTAACATCCATCCACAGGAGGATGGATGAGCAAAGGGAGGTACATCTGTGCACTAACTGCTTCTCAGGAGTAGGAAACAATGAACCATGCATGGATACACACCGTGGCATGGGTGAGTCTCAAGATCACTGTGCTTGAGGGAAATAAGGAAAACACAAAAGAGAACCTGCTGTGAGAGTATATTTCCTGGGTATTCAACAACAAGCAAAATTAACCTATGGTGAAAGAATCGATCAATTGTTGCCTCTGGGGCAAAGGGTAAGGAGAAATTAATTAGGCAGGTTCACAAGGGAAGCTTCCGGGTGATGGAGTGTTCTGTGTTTTGACATGGGTATATATGACAGGTATATGAATTTGATGGAATTTCCCAAATGATAGCACTATGTCAATTAAAAAAAATAGAAACATTGAAAATGGGACTGATATGGTTTGGCTGCCTCACCACCCAAATCTCAACTTGAATTGTATCTCCCAGCAGTCCTGCGTGTTGTGGGAGGAGCTCAGGGGGAGGTAATTGAATCATGGTGGCCGGTCTTTCCTGTGCTTTTCTTGTGATAGTGAATAAGTCTCACAGGACCTGATGGTTTTATCAGGGGTTTCTGCTTTTTCTTCTTCCTCATTTTCTCTTGCTGCTACCATGTAAAAAGTGCCTTTTGCCTCTCACCGTGACTCTGAGGCATCCCTAGCCATGTGGAAATGTAAGTCTAAGTAAACTTTTTCTTCCCAGTCTCAAGTATGTCTTTATCAGCAGCATGAAAACGGACTAATAAGGTAAATTGGTACCAACAGAGTGAGGAGTTGCTGAATAGTTACCTGAAAAATGTGGAAGCGACATTGGAACTGGGTAACAGGCAGAGGTTGGAACAGCATTTTCAGCTTCAGTTCCATGATGAAATCATTGTCTGGCTGTACTGTTAAGTGAAGAGCATTAGAGAGCAATAGAAGCTCACATCATTGTGAGGTCAACATTAGCGCATGGACAGGGTGGGACAGAGCTTTTCAGTGGCATATATCACACTGCCAATATAGATCCTCACTGAGGTTACCAAAAATGTTACTCTCTGTGTGCTTCTGTAAGGCTTGAATAATTGTTACTCAATCTTGGATTACTGTTGTCACCAGGAAAAAATTGAAGAATAAAAACCATCTGTCTTGAGGCAAATTGTTAAATATACCCAAGTCAGTTTACTTAAAAAGTAATCTAGGACTTGTTTTAAAATAACTGAGTGGGGCAGGGGACGGGTCAGGTTTGGAGAGGGTAACAGGTGAAATGGAATTAGCTGTCTTTTGTAGTGGTTGGAGCTGCACGATGAAAACATGGTGATCACTATAGTAGTCCCTCCACCTTTGTGCATGTCTCACAAGTTTCAAAACCCTCTCACTTTGTAGGATGTCAGAAACCACTCCTACAGGATAGATGGACCTGAGTACATCATGCTTAAGTGAAACAAGCCAGTCACAGAAGGACAAATGCTGCCAAATTCTACTTTTATGAAATATCTAAAATAGTTAAACTCACAGAAAGTAGAATGGTCATTGCTAGGGGCTGGGGGAGGGGAAAATGGGGAATTGAGGTGCAATGGGCATGGAGTTTCAGTCATACAAGATGAGAAAGTGAATTAGTGTTCTCTAGAGGGACAGAACTAATAGGATAGATGTATACATGAAGGGAGTTTACTAAGGAGTATTGACTCACATGATCACAAGGTGAAGTCCCATGATAGCCCGTCTACAAGCTGAGGAGCCAGGAAGCCAGTCCAAGTCCTAAAACCTCAAAAGTAGGGAAGCCCACAGCACAGCCTTCAGTCTGTCTGTGGCCAAAGGCCAGAGACCCCCTGGCGAAACACTGGTGTAAGTCCAAGAGTCCAAAAGCTGAAGAACTTGGAGTCTGATGTTTGAGGAAGCTTCCGGCAGAGGAGAAACATGGAGGCCAGAAGACTCAGCAAGTCAGCTTCTCCCACCTCCTTCTGCCTGATTTGTTCTAGCCATGCTGGCAGCCAACTGGATGGTGCCCACCCAGACTGAGGGTTGGTCTGCCTCTCCCAGTGCACTGACTCAAATGTTAATCTCCTTTGTCAACACCCTCACAGACACACCTGGGAACAATACTTTACATCCTTCAATCCAATCAAGTTGACAATCTTAACCATCCCAGAAAGTTGTAAGGATCCACTATAGCACAATGGGCATGTAGTTAACAATACCGTACCATGCACCTCAACATTTGTTAAGAGTGTATATGTCGTGTCATGTGGGTTTTACCACAAGTTTAAAAATACTCCTGAGTATCTTATTCCATGTAATCAACACCTTAGCAAACCTTAGTACTTCACTGCCCTTTCCTGGCTGCATGGCGTATCAGAGAACGTGTGGGCTTTGGAGTCAGACAAGCTTCGGTTCAAGTACTAGGTGATCTGGAACAGGTTACTTACCCTGGCTGGTCCTCAGGGTCATCTTTTGTAAACTCAGGATGGAATAAGACAGCCCCATCTATCTTCCAGCACCATTCTAAGGATGACTCATAGGCATTTCTCAGTCCTGGCAGTGATTATTATTTTTTGATTAGCATGTAGCCCACTGCCTGGACCATAGTAGATGCTCAATAAATGTTTGTTGAATGAATAATTTAATTCATTAATGAATTTTTATTTTATTTTACCCTGCTCCTTACCAATTTTTTAGTGCAATTACTCTTATCTAGTTTTGAGTTGTATCCAAATTCTCAGTCTACTTAAGATTCAAAATTACATATCAGCTTGCTGGGCTAGCACTTTTCCTTACATCTCTCCCTGAAGGGTCCTCAGTTCTGTTTCTTTTCTATGTGTCTTTTTTCCCACTTCCATGGACCTGTGTCCAGGGCCCCTTGCCCCCAAAGCCCTTCAACTAGTTATTCTCCAGCAGAACATTTTTCTGCCAGTAAAAATATTTTCTTTCAGGAATTGGCTAAAAGCTGTTTTCACAAAAACTTCCCTATATGAATTGAGCTTATAATTAACTTACTCTTTCTTAGGACTTCTGCAGAACTTATGTACACCTAAAGCATACCAATTCACACTTGGTTCTGGGGTCTAGAGTAGAGTCACAGAAACATGACTCCTGTCATGAATACAAGCTAGGATGTGGTCCCTAAAGTAGGAGATGTGTCTCGAATGCCCCTTCAATCCTCGTGCAGTGTCTACTATGGTGCTTCCACAGCATTGAGCAGCAGTCCTTAGGAGAGTGGAGTTTAGAATTTGATCTTTGCAGACCTGAGTTTTAATCCTGGCTCTATAACCTATAAGCAGTATAAGAAAGGTACCCAAACTGTCTGTTTCATTTGTCCAGTGGGGACACTACACATTTTACAGGGTGTGATGGTTAATTTCAGGTGTCCATATCACTGCCTTAAGGAATATGTCAGGAATTGGTAAAGCATTGTTTCTGGGTGAGCCTGCACACATATTCCTGGGAAGATTGGTGTGAGCTGGTGGACAGAGTGGGGAAGATGTCTTCAATAGACACAGGCCCCATCCAATTCTCTGAGGGCCCAGTTAGAAGAAACAGGGCAGAGGAAAGGCAGTTTCTTCCCTTTCCCTCCGGGAGCTGAGACTCTTCTTTTCCTGCTCTTGGACATCAGAACTTCAGGCTCTTTTTTTTTTGAGACAGAGTCTCGCTCTGTCACCCAGGCTGGAGGTGCAGTGGTGCGATCTCAGCTCACTGCAAGCTCCGCCTCCTGGGTTCCCGCCATTCTCCTGCCTCAGCCTCCCAAGTAGCTGGGACTACAGGTGCCCGCCAACACGCCCAGCTAATATTTTTGTATTTTTAGTAGAGATGGGGTTTCACCGTGTTAGCCTGACCTCGTGATCCACCCACCTCGGCCTCCCAAGTGCTGGGATTACAGGTGTGAGCCACTATGCCCAGCCCAGGCTCTTTTTATACTGAGAGTTACACTATCCACTTCCCTGGTTCTGAAGTTTCTGGGTGTGGACTGAATCACACTCCTGGCATCCCAGGGGCTCCAACTTGCAGACAGCCTGTCCTGAGACTTTTCACCCTCTAATTACCCTAATAAATCCCCTCTCATCTATCTTCACTGATAACCTGTTGGTGGTGTCTCTCGAGAGCTCCCAATTAATTCATAGGAGTAATGTGAGGGAGAAATGAGGTCGTGCATGGGGAGCATTTCACACCCTGCCTGACACATGCCCAGGTCCAATAGGCTGCAGCTGCAGTTATTCTAGACCTTAGCATCAGTGATCAAAACAGCGGAAGGCCTTCCCTCTGGTACCCAGCCATCACGTTGAGCTTCTCCTGTCATTTTTCAATTCCAGAGTGTTTTTTGAGAGCAATTATGTGTCCCGTGTATCACTGACATGGGGGTCAAAAACAATCCGTATGCGTGGGGATCTGAAGCTGGGAATGAGCAAATGTCAGAAATAGGAGTCAGGAGCAGAGGAAGCTGCATGGTCAAGGGGAATCGACATGAGCCTTCCTGCCATGTGCCGTATTTCCTGCGGTCTAATGAGACAGAGACATATGTATGTATACATCATCTCATGCTTAGCTCTTTAATATGTACAAGGTGTTTTCAAATTTTCCCACCAACTGTTTCGACAGTTGAGAATCTCAAGAACACCTGCTGTTCATGACTGTTGTCAAGGGGATCCTCCCTTTAGGGACACAGGAAGATTTGCCTATAATGCCAGGAAGCTTTGATATCTATTATTTTATTACAAAAATCAACTACAGCTTTGCTGCTATATTACTTCGGGTCTTTACTCTTTCCACTGTTTATTTTAAGCCTCAGCTTGTGGATAGTTGGAGAAGGAGGGAAAATATTTAACACTCTTATTAACTAATTTAACTATGTATATAACATGTAGAATGAAGAAAGACTTAAAGGAAGAGGTAGTATTTGTGAATGCTCCAACAAATTAAAAGATTATTTAAATTATTGATTTCTGATTAAACCATTTATTATCTATAATGAATTAAAGCAGTTTGTGAAAATAAATTCAGTGACATTTTTGCATCTGTAACTTCAAAATCATAGTCACTTTTCAAAGCCAAAAATTCCTGAAGCAGAAGTCTGCCAATCATCACAATAAAACATGAAGCCCTAGTCAGGATGGGTTCCCAACAAATAGCAGTTGAAGCTCCAACTGCCATGAAATCATGAAAGAAACACGGTTTAAGTGCCATGGATAATTTTTTTCAATGCCAAAAGAATCATCACAGACTGTTTTGCGTTGCAGAGTTTGAATGGAAACACAGCATTAAAATAAGGTGCACAAAATTAATTCTTGAATATAATTTTAAAATAAAATGCAATGTTGCTCCACAATATTCATCAAATCCAAAAGTGGCCACTGACAAGATTCAGTTTATTTCAGTTTTTATGCTGTCATTATGTAAAAAAACTATAGCAGGAAGTTCACAAATTTCCCTTTGGAAAGAGATACACAACCACAGACAATAGGCTTTCTTAAAAGACAGCAGCTTTTCATTCCGACTTGTTTCCCATCCATAACATGCAAGTATTTATTGTTCAGGGTCAATACAGCCTTGCAAATAAACAGGCTTTGAGTTATACCAAGCATGCTCATTCTTATATGGTATTTCCATATAAGAAATACAAAAGAAATATACCACAAAATGATGGTGCTCAGGCCATGGGGCAACGCCGTTTCTGTGGTACAGCGTCCTAGGTTTCCTAAGATTCCATAGGAGGCAGCTACAAGTTCGACATGCAAAGCTCTGAAATCTCTCCCTAAGCTAATGAAGTGAAGCCATGACTGCACGAAGGAAAGGATGAAACAGAACTAATTTATTGTTTCTCAAATGATGCTACCATCTCTTCTAAGCCGCCATTAATTTAACATCTTTAAAGCTATAAGAACAATCTATGTAATAAGTGAAAACTGCCTATAAAATTAGTGCTTTACATCTCAAACCCTTATTATACGGAAATTCATATTTTCAGAATCACATAAAAGTTTAACGTGCTATTCATTGTAAGATTTAAGGACATGAGTTATTCTGTCCGTGTAATTACTAACAACTGGAAATTAAATCGTGATGATTTTGTACTTTATTCTTCTTAAAATGATAATTTCCTTTCTCCTTTTTCCTGAGAAACATGCTTCAACAATACTAACAGCTTACCTTCCAAAATAAATGATCACATATAGAATAGTTTATATATAATATATATTTATATTTATACATTATATATTTATGTATTATATAAATATAAATATGCTTACATATTTTATAGATGTCTAAATATTTATATAGAATATAAATATTTATATATAAACTATATGTGAAATTTATCTATATAAATATATAAAATAGATATATAAATACATAAATATATATTATATGTATATAATAGAGACAAATATGAATTATATACACATATACACATTAGAAGCGCAACGATCTTTTCTGTATATAGTAAAGACATGTGTGTTTATATAAAAACCTGTGTATTTATATAAATATAAATACAGATTATATATATACACACATTAGGAATACAGTAGTAAATTCTACCATATATAGAAAAGAACTGTGCATTTGTATAATTATATATAAATGTAGATTACATATATGCACAATAGAAATACACCGGTCTCTTCCATAAATAGAAAGTTCTACTATATCATACTCTCATTGCAATTATTGACAGCTGGGTATTCCATCGTGATAATTTTGTACTTTATTCTTCTAAAAGTGATAATTTCCTTTCTCTTTTTGCCTGTGAACCATGCTTCAACAATCATAACACCTTAACTTCTAAAATAAATGATTATATATAATATATACATATAAATATGTTTTATATAGATATTTATATATAAAATATATATCTATATATCAATATTTCTATATACAATCTATATATAAATATAAAAATATGAAAATACATGTTAATATATAAATATATGGTAGGTTCTAGTATACATAGAAAAGACCTGTGTATTACTAAAGTGTGTATATATAATATATATTCATATATATTCATATTTATGTATTTTATATATAAAGATAAATTCCATATTTGTATGTTTGTATTTATATATTTCATATATAAATACATAGGTTTGCCTACAATAAATATAATTGTATATTTTACTTACATATATTTATGTATATTTGTATATAGTAAATTCTACTATATACAGAAAAGTCCTGTGTATTTCTAATATATGGAAATATGAAATCTACTTCTTGTCTCCACAGTTGCAAAAAGGCTTTTTTCAAGTAGATAGATATTGCTCTACTTTGAATTTTTCTTCTTAATTATATTAGATTGTAGGGAGGGGACCCTGAAAGGAAAGAGATGGAAACCATTGTACCATCAGTTTATATTGAGGAAAAGGTATTTTAACAATGAAACCTAAGTAGGTAGAATCCAGATCCTGGTACTTGGTGCTTGTGCTGGCAGGATTGCAAGAAAAAATAAACCCTAAATGAAGCAGAGTCATCCTGTGAGGGGGAAATTTGTCTCCAGTGCTCAGCCATGACGCAAACCTTATGCTCCTGTCTGGCAAACTGTGACCTCTCCCTCTGCCCTCAAGCCCGCAAGACCCCACTTCCCTCCCTCCCCGCACAACACCTCTTCCTTCCTTCTTTCGTTTCTCGCTCCCCACTCACCACCTCTTCCCCCCTTCCTCCCTCCCCACAGGCCACCTCTTCCTCTCTCCCTCCCAACACACCACCTCTTCCTCCCTCCCTCCCTGCATACCACCTTTTTCTCCCTCTCTCCCCACACACCACCTCTTCCACCCTTCCTCCCTCCCCACAGGCCACCTCTTCCTCCCTCCCTCCCTACACACCACCTCTTTCTCCCTCTCTCACTCCCCACCCACCTTCTGTTCCTCCCTGCCTCCCGACCCACCACCTCTTCCTACCTCCCCGCCACACACCTTTTCCTCCCTCCCTCCCTACACACCACGTATTCCTGTCTCCCTCCCCACACACCACGTCTTCCCCCCTGTCTCCCTCCTGACACACCTCTTCTTCCTCCCTCCCTCCCCACACACCTCTTCTTCCTCCATCCCTTCCCACACACCTCTTCCTCCCTCCCTCCCCACACACCTCATCTTCCTCCCTCCCTCCCACCCCACACACCACCTCTTCCTCACTCCCTCCCCACCCACCACCTCTTCCTCCCTCCCCACACACCACCTCTTCCTCACTCCCTCCCCACCCACCCCTTCCTCCCTCCCCACACCACTTCTTCCCTCCCTCCCCACAAACCTCCTCTTCCTCCCTCCCTGCCCACCCACCACCTCTGCCTCCCTCCCTCCCTCCCTACACACCACCTCTTCCCGCCTGCCTCCCTCCTGACACACTTCTTCCCTCCCTCCCCACACACCACCTCTTCCTCCCTCCCTCCCCACACACCACCTCTTCCTTCCTCCCTCCCCACCCACCACCTCTGCCTCCCTCCCTCCCCACACACCACCTCTTCCTCCCTCCCTCCCCACACACCTCTTACCCCCCCCTCCCTCCCTCCTCACCATCAGAGAACACGGAGTCACTCAGATCGGTTTGCAACACATTCATTTTATTGTCATCAACATGGGAAGCACCCTGCTGGTGAGATCTCTGAGGTCTGGCAGCTGGGCCTAAACTTAGTTGCTGCTCAGGGAGATAGGGGAGTAGATGGGCGCCCCTTACTCAGTGGTTCCTCCAGCTCGCTCTCCTGACTCAGGGGGTCGTGCTGGGTCCCCTCGCTCACTGGCTCCTCCGGCGGCAGCTCGTGCTGAGGGAGCTCCTGGCTGGGCTGGTCGCTGGGGCCGGGTGCCGCTGGCCCGCTCTCCGCCTCAGGTGCCGTCACGGCCGCCATCTTTGTCGCAGCCCCTTTCTTCCCGCGTCTCCCTCCACGAACTGCTTCTCCCTTCTCGGCCACCTTGGTAGTCTGGAAGGACAACAGGGAGATCACAGAAGGGCTCTGGTTTAGGGACGAGGATGGAGGAGGCTGGGAACAGGGACGTGTCCTCAGAAGCGGTGGGGGCCGGGTTGGGGGGTTGTGCCAAGTGAGGACAGGAGAGGCTTCTTGTGAGGAAAGAGGCGAGGGGAAGACGAGGAGGAGCTTGGGAGGGTCACTCACCTTCTTCTTCGGGCCACTGGGGCTCGGCTGAGAGGAGGACTTCCTCTTTCCTGTCTCCTTGGCCTTGGCCGGAGGTCCCGAGGCTCTCGGCTTTGGACTCATCTGCCGCAGCTCAACGTCTCGCAACGGTCGACTAACTCCAGGCTGCCTGGCCTCCCTGTGTATACCCCTCTCGCGATCCCAGGACGAGACGATCACGCCCCTGAGCTGTGATTGGTCAACACTCCACTACCCAGCCAATGGTAGCCCTGGGTGGGAAGGAAGGCCTTATACGTCATAAAGCACCATCAGGACATGGCGGATGAAGTCGGGGGCGGGGGGGGGGGGCGGTGACATCTAATGAGGAAGGCAGGGTGCTCTAGTTGGAGAAAGGGAGATTTGGGTTAGCACCCCTAAAGATAGTTCCCAAACTGACATGTCGCCCCTCCTAAACTCCCCATGTTCAGTTTTGGCAGATCATGTGGCAAGGGAGGATATTTCCCCCACATGTTTCCCCCGGAACCCCCATTCAGTGGTACATTCTGTTCCTCCACAACTACCATCATTACCCAGTTTCTGTATGTCCTACCTAAAATCCCTCCATGCTAACTGGGATGGATGGAGGGCTGTACGAAGACGTCAGTCATCCCTCTCTCCTACAAATTCCTCTGCTACACCTTGAGGATCATTCACTTCTTGGCTGCCATGGAACAACTTTTCCATCTCACATGCTTCTCCCAGCATCCACATAGTGCCTCACAATTTTTCATTCTCATGGTTTAAAGCACTGGCTTCCAGAGGTCAAGATTAGCAAACACACTAGCTCAGCTGGGTATCTGTATCGGGCTGGGTTCCTCAGAGAAGGAGAAACTAAACCAAACAGGATACTCTGTGTGTGTGTGTGTGTGTGTGTGTGTGTGTGTGTGTGTGTGTGTGTAATATTATATATCATAAATATGTATTTACTACCATGTAGTATTTATTTATGAATAATATTATATATGAGATACAGTTTATTCTAAACAATTGGCTCACACATTCACACAATGTGGGGGTCTAGGCAGCTGAAATGTATAGGGCAAGTGAGCATCCTGGAAACTAAAAGTTTCTGCACAGCCAACAATCAACACAATGAAAAGGCACGCTATGGTTTGGGAGAAGCTATTTGCGAACCATATATCTAATAATGAGTTAATATCCAAAGTATATAAAGAACTCACATAGCTCAATAGCAAATAAATAGTATGGTTAACAAATAGGCAAAGGACTTGAATAGGCATTTCTAGAAAGAAAACACACAACTGGCCAACAGGTATATGAAAATGTGCTCAACATCGTTAATAATCAGAGAATGCAAATGATAACCACAATGAACTATCACCTCACTGTTACATGCTGTTGACAGACGTGTAATTGGCACAGCCGTTATAAAAAATAGTATAATTGTTCCTTGGAAAATCAAAATAGATCTACCATACGACCCAGCAGCTCATCTGTTGAGTATGTACCCCACCCCTGAAATGAAGTCCACATCTCATACAGATATCTCCAGTACTAATTGTAACTCACTAATTACACAGGAAATTAGAGTTTCTATTTGAAAAGAATGGTTTTTTTTTCACCATTCTGGTATCAAATATTTATTCTAGTCATCTCTTCTTATTTCTTACTTTGTAATAACCTAGGTACTGCTGCCCATTGACAGAACCACCTTATTATTCCAGCAAGAAATGAGAAATATTGAGGAGAATGCAATATTATACTTCTGTCTTCAACCAGTTTTTCCCATTTTAGGGAGGATTCTGTATTTAACTCTTACTCAGGTAACTCTAGTTACCATATCCGTAGTACCTAGTCAACAATCCAAAAAAAGTAAGAACACAGAATTGACTGGAGTGGTTACTAAACTTTCTATGTTCAACCAGTTTCCTAGTAATTGCTAGTTGTTTATTCAACTAGTACTGAGAAGAATTTGTTTATTCCAGGTACTGGCTTCATGTAGTTATCTCTAGTTAATTACTTACTTGGATAAAGTTGAAAGCTACTGTATTAGGTAATACTTCTAACATGAGGTTGGAATTTTGCATTGAGGAAAATGGTTATTGAA
Source organism: Homo sapiens (assembly GCF_000001405.40). Lineage (NCBI taxonomy): Eukaryota > Metazoa > Chordata > Mammalia > Primates > Hominidae > Homo > Homo sapiens. Next base: position 13,988,425 of record NC_000024.10, read on the forward strand.
CTCCCTGGCATAGGCCAGTTATCTTCAGCTTCCTGGGATCAATTACCTGGTCTGGCTAATTCTAGCTATCTTTAGGTTGCTAATTACATGTTTACCACCAGATGTCTGTGGTAATTCATTATTCCAACAAAACGTAGTAGAATGATTAGGAAGGATTTTGCTTTTTCCAGACATCACATAGATATTCAAATTATCTCCTGTTATCCTTTGTACCTTTTTTTCCTGGGTAACACTCAGCACCTATCCTTCTAAGTTCTTATCCCAACTAAAATCAATAATTGAGACTTGCAAAGGATATGATTTTCAGGATCAGGTTCACTTGGTATTGCAATGATTGTTAGCTGTTTCTATGAAATGTGTTTCATGGGAAAGCCCAGTTAAGTAGAACTTACGTATTAACTCAACACCAGCAAAATTTTATCTGACCTGACCAGATTCCCTATGTTCTACATTCCACTGAACTATTCTTGCTGTCTCTATTTTACTACTTACTTAGGTACCTGACTTATCTGTGGTAGTAATTCATTATTCCAACAATAACTCAGCAGGACGTGGTGAGAAGAATGTGATTTTATTTTTAAAATATATTTTTATTGAGGTAAAATATACACATGTAATGTATCTGCTTTACACCTGTAACCGTGCAGTTCAGTGGTAATAAATACATTTATATTCTTTTATTTCCCCTTCATCCCCTGCTTCCCCTTCTGGCCTCTGGTAACCATCACTATAGTCGCTATCTTCATGAGAACCACTTTTTTAGCTCCCATATATGAGTGAAAACATGCAATGTTTGTTTTTCTGTGCCTGGCTTATTTCATTTAACATAATATCCAGTCATTCTTTTCATGCCTGGATAATATTCCATTGTGTACGTATGCCACATTTGCCTAATCCATTCATCCATCAATGGGCACTTAGGCTAAATCCATATTTTGGCTATTGTGACTTGTGCTGCAATACACATGAGTATGCAGATATATCTCTTTGATCTTCAGATAAATTTATTTATCTATCTATCCATCTCTCTCTCTCTCTCTCTCTCTCTCCTCTCTCTCCCCCTCCCTCTCTTTCCCCAGCAGTGGAATACTTGGATCATATACTAGTTCTATTTTTAGGATTTTGAGGAACCCCATACTGTTCTCCATAGGGGCTGTAGTAAATTACATTCCCACCAACAGTGTACACAGGTTCCCCTTTCTCCACCTCCCTGCTCGCATCTGTTCATGCCTGTATTTTGATAAAATCCATTTAACTGGAGTGAGATGATATTGCATTGTGGTTTTGATTTGTATTTCTCTGATGATTCATAATAAGCATGTTTTCATATGCCTGCTGGCCATTTTTGTGTCTTCTTTTGAGAAACATCTATTCAGATTATTTGTCCATTTTTAAGTCAGATTGTTTGTTATTAACTTTTTTGAGCTCCTTCTGTATTCTGGTTATGAATCCCGTATCAGATGGGTAGTTTGCAAATATTTTCTGCCATTCTGTGGGTTGTCTCTTCACTTGGTTGATAATTTCCTTTGCTATGCAGAAGCTTTTTAACTTGATGTAATCCCGATAGTTTATGTTTGCTTTGATTCTTGTGCTTTTGAGGTCTTACTCAAGAAGTCTTTGCCCAGACCAATGTCCTGGAGCATTTCCCCAATGTTTTTTGGTGGTTTCAGTTACAGGTCATGAATTCAAGTCTTTTTTTTTTTTTTTTTTTGGTTTTTGTTTTGTTTTGTTTTGTTTTGTTTTGTTTTTTTGACAGAGTCTCATCTCACTCTGTTGTTCAGGCCCAGGCTGGAGTGCAGTGTCACCATCTCTGCTCACCATAACATCCACCTCCACGGTTCAAGTGATTCTCGTGCCCCAGCCTCCCGAGTAGCTGGGATTACAAGTGTGCACCACCACAGCTGGCTAAGTTTTGTAGTTTTCATAGAGACGGGTTTCACCATACTGGCCAGGCTGGTCTCGAACCCCTGACCTCAAGTGACCCACTCACCTCGGCCACCCAAAGTGCTAGGATTACAGGCGTGAGCCACCACTCCCAGCCAGATTCAAGTCTTTAATCCATTTTTGATTTGCTTTTTGTGTGTGGTGAAAGAGAGGAATCTAGTTTCATTCTTCTGCATATACTCATCCAGCTTTCCTAGTGCTATTTATTGAAATGTTGGTCTTTTCAGCATCATATGTTCTTTTTGTCTTTGTTGAAGTTGAGTTGGTTGTAAGCATGTGGCTTTATATCAGGTTCTCTATTCTGCTCCATTTGTCTCTGTGTCTGTTTTTAAGCCGGTACCATGCTGCTTGGTTCACTATAGCTTTGTCGTAAAATTTTGAAGTCAGGTAGTGTGCTGCTTCCAGCTTTTCACTTTTTGCTCAGGATTGCTTTGGCTATTTGAGGTATTTTATGGTTTCCTATGAATATTATAAGTTTTTTCCTGTTTCTGTGAAGAATGTCTTTGGTAGTTTGGTAGGGCTTGCATTTAATCTGTTAATCGCTTTGGTGAGTATTGTGAATTATACAATATTAATCCTGTCAATCTATAAGCCTGGACTATCTTTCCATGTTTTTGTGTCCTGAGAAGACAGTTGTTTTTTTTTTTTTAATTTCTGTATTTAACTAGTTTTTCTAGCTATTATTACTTATTCCTAGTAAACTAATTACCTGGGTACTGGCAGGTACAGGTCGACCTCATTTTATTGTGATGCACATTTTTGTGTTTATAGATATTGTGTGTTTTTTATAAATTAAAGTTTTCTGGCAACCGTCAAGCATGTCAGTGTCATTTTTCCAACAGCATGTGCCCACTTCATGTCCCTGTGTCACATTTTGGTAATTCTCACAATATTTCCAACTTTTCCATCATGATTATATCTGTTATGATGATTTCTGATCAGTGATCTTTGATGTTATTATTGTAATTGCTTTAGGACTCCAGAAACTGGGCCCATAGAAGAACACACAAGGAGGCATCGCACTACCTGACTTCAAAATATACTACAAAGGTATATTTCAAAATATACTACAGATCTACAGGAGGAGAAAGACGACGGAACAGAATGCTTCACTGATTGTCCCCCTGACCCCCCACCAAGGACACCAATTTAACAACTATCTACACAGAAAAAAACATCTTCATGAGAACCAAAAATCAAGTGAACACCCATAGTACCTGGTTTTAACTTCACGTAGCTTGATATGGTTTGGCTGTGTCCCCACCAAAATCTCAACTTGATTTGTATCTCCCAGAATTCCGACGTGTTATGGGAGGGACCTAGAGGGAGGTAATTGAATCATGGGGGCCGGTCTTTCCTGTGCTAATCTCCTGATAGTGAGTAAGTCTCATGGGATCTGATGGATTTACCAGGGGTTTCTGCTTTTGCTTCTTCTAAGTATTAAGGCGGATATTGCCTGAGTTTGAGTCCCTCCTGAACAATAGACAAACGTCTCCAACTGGTTCACAGGTGTAGGTAGTGCGTTCTTTGTGGGGTGCTGGTGCCACCTTGACCCTGGAGCAGTAAATCCACTTGATGTTTGAGTTGAACAGCTGTCGGGGTCATAAGGAGAACTTGGTATGGTCCAGTCCACGCTGGCTCCAGTGGCTTTTTGTCCTGTGGGAGAGTTTTAAGATATACCTAGTCTTCAGGCATAAGGTTAGGGTGAGTGTTTCCTGAAAAAGAGGGGCCAGGTGTTGGGCTATGAAGACTTTGATAATGATTGATGGCCTTGATGGTTTGTCCCAGGGACATAACATACTGTATGAGATAATGTCTCTTTGGGTCTAACAAAAGGTCAGTTTGGAAGAAAGATCTTCCAAAGAGATTCCAAAGAGAATCTCGAAAGGGCTAGATGGGCTTCACATTTTGCGGTGATACAGGCTCTTAAGAGTACAATGGGGGGCAAAGTTGACCATAACTGTTGGGTTTCATGTGTTAACTTTGTGAGGTGCTTTTTCTGGTTTGATTGGCTGTCTCCGCCTTCCCAGAAGATTGTGGACGTCAAGACGCATGCAGATAATATTTGATCTGGAGAGCTTCACTGATTCTCTGAAAAAAACAAAAAAATTATTTTTTTCTTTTTTCTTTTTTTTTTTTTTTTTTTGACAGATTCTCATCTCACACTGTTGTTCAGGCCCAGGCTGGAGTGCAGTGTCACCATCTCGGTTCACTATAACATCCACCTCCTCGGTTCAAGTGCTTCTCTTGCCCCAGCCTCCCGAGTAGCTGGGATTACAAGTGTGCACCACCAGAGCTGGCTAAGTTTTGTAGTGTTCGTAGAGAAAAAATGAAATGAAATTTCATGAGAACCAAAAATCAAGTGAACACCCATCGTACCTGGTTTTACCTTCACGTAGCTTGATATGGTTTGGCTGTGTCTCCACCGAAATGTCAACTTGACTTGTATCTCTCAGAATTCTGACGCGTTATGGGAGGGACCTAGGGTCCCTCATTTTAAGAAATGAAAGTGGGGCCATTGTCTGACTGTAGGGCATGAGGGAGCCTAAAACAAGGAAGAATGCGGTCTAAAAGGGCTGAGGTGACTTCTGAGGCCCATGCAGTTTTGGCGGGAAGGGCCTTTATCCATCCAGTGAAGGTGTCTACAAAGACTAACAAATACCTGACTAACAAATACACACATTGCATGATGCATGTGTGTAAAATATATTTGCCAGTCTTCTCGGGGTAGGGTTCCTCTCTTAGAATGGGTTGAAGGATTTGGGGAGGTTTGTGTCCTCCCTCTGGGTTTATTTGGCCTCAGGTGGGACATGCCTGTGAGATGGCTCATAGAGCTTGGGCTATCCCCGTGCTGGTGAACAGTGACTTTATTAGATCTTGGAAGGCCTTAGCCCCTAGATGAGTTGATTGGTATACGCTATTTAGAAACTTCAATTGTGAGGCTCCTGGGAGCAAGAGTTTGCCATTAGGACTTTTTAGCCAGCCCTCTGAGGTATGGGAGAAACCTCTTTCTAGAGCTTTTTGGGCTTCCCCCTCTTTATAGTGTGGAGACAGGGAAGTTAGGCTAGGAATGAAGACAGCCTGAAAGGGTGACCTGGCAGCCACTTTTACTTATTTGTCAGCCCAGGTGTTCCCGATAGAGATTTCATCATTGCTTCTCTGATGGGCTTTGCAGTGAATGATAGTGACCTGTGGGGGAAGCATAGCTGCCTCCAACGGGGCCATGATTTCAGGAACACATTTAATGGAAGTATTTCAGGCCATTAAAAGTCCTCTTTCCTGCCAAATGGCTGCATGGGCATGCACTGCATGATAGACATAGGCTGAGTCTGTGTAAATATTAAGCCTCAGGCCTGCCGCTAATTGTAAGGCACAGGTAAGAGCAATGAGCTCAGCCTTTTGGGCTGAGGTGCTACTTCCTGGCAGAGGTCCAGATTCTGTGATTTCAGTTAGGTTAATAGTAGCATACCCTGACAGTTGGGTTCCACCTATCATAAAGCTACTGCCATCTGTGTACCGTGTGGCCTCTGAATCTATAAGGGGAATATCCTGGAGGTCTGGTCTAACATTACAGGTTAGATCTATGGTTTCCAAGCAAGAATGTTAAAGTGGCCTCTCCACATTTGGGTTTGGTAACAGCATGCCAGCATTAAGGGTTGGCAGAGCCTAATACTCAATTCTGGTACCTGTAGAAGGAGTGTTGGAAATTTGCTTATATGGCTCTGTGAGATCCAGTGAAAGGCCTTTGAGTTTAGGACATTCATTACTTGATGTGGGGTGTAGACAGTTATTGCTTGGCCCAGAATTAGCTCGGAGGCCTCCACAACCAGGAGAGCCACACACACTAGCACTCAGAGGCATGGCAGCCATCCCCATGCCTTTTTTTTGACAAGTAACTAGCTGGCCACTGGGAGGGTCCCAGTGGCTGAGTGAGGACTCCAAGGGCTGTATCCCTTCTCTCAACTATGAACAAGTAAAGATGCTTTGTAAGATCTGGCAAGGCCAGGGCGTGGGCTTGTTTGAGGGTTTTTAGAACACTGTCCATTTCAAGGCTCCAATTTAAGAGCTCCCCCCCGCCGATCCTTGCAGTGCCCCATAAAGAGGTTTTGCTATAAGTCCTAACCGGGTTGTCCAAATGTGACAGAAACCTACCATTCGAAGAAAGGACTACAACTGATGTTTAGTGGATGGAATGTCCACGTTTAGCATAAGATTTTTGCGGTGGTCTGAGAGATCCTTGGGCCCTGGGATGAATGTTAGTCTCAAGAATCAAACCTCCTGAGAGAAGATTTGAGCTTTGGAAGGAGACACTTTATACCCACAAGGAGCCAATGTCCAAAGAGTTGTAATAGTATTTAGGTCTGAGGCATTTTTGGTTGGATTGCAAATAAGCGGTTATCAACATATTGAAGGACTGCTTGAAGCTAGGAGTTTGAGACCAGCCTGGACAACCTAGTGAGACCCCTTCACTACAAAAAAAGTATTATAAGCTGCAGGTGGATGCACTTACCTTTGGTCCCAGCTTCTTGGCAGGCTAAGGTGGGAATGTCGCTTGGGCCCAGAAAGTAGAAGCTGCAGTGGGCTATGACCATGCCACTGCTCTCCAGCCTGGATGGCAGAGTGAGAGCTTGTGTCAAAACAAACAAAGAAACAAACAAAAACCTGCAAGCCCTGTGCTAGCCACTTTATGGATATATAAAGGTATATGCATATGCAGAGGGTAGAGAATCTTCACAACAAAGGGAGTAGGTAGGAATTTTTTTTATATTTCAAATAAAGAATAATCTCATTTCACATAAAGATACTTGAATTTCAGGAGCTTAAAGAACTTGCTGAAAGTTACAAATTAATTATGTGACAAGGTTGGAATCTGAACTTCTCTTTCACCACTACTACTATATAGCTTCCCGGGTTTATAGTAGTAATTAAATCACGGAGGGAAATAAGTAAAATTGGCCAATGAAAGGGAAGCAGCACAGGTATAAATAAACTTACCTGTCATAAAGTCCTCCTTCTTATCATGCAATGTCCTGCCTAACATGTTGACGTAAATAAGGTCCATGTCCATTATTAGCTCAACAAGTTAAATGATTCATTTTATTTTCCTTTGACGGCTTTTTCAAAAGGAAAAAAAGTGGGCTAGCACAGAATGTGTTGTAATCATGAGTATAGACTAGGAGATTCTTTGTTTCAGTTTTTTTTTTTTTTTTTTTTTTTTTTTTTTCCTGAGACGGCATCTCGCTCTGTCGCCCAGGCTGGAGTGCAGTGGCATGATCTCGGCTCACTGCAAGCTCTGCCTCCCGGGTAGCTGGGACTACAGGCACCCGCCACCACGCCCGGCTAATATTTTTGTATTTTTAGCAGAGACAGGGTTTCACCCTGTTAGCCAGGATGGTCTGGATCTCCTGACCTCGTGATCCGCCCACCTCGGCCTCCCAAAGTGCTGGGATTACAGGCATGAGCCATTGCGCCCGGCCAGAATAGGAGATTCTTTGTAAATGAGTATATGTGTTTAAGAAATACATTCATATGGTTATGTTGAGGCAGATGCCACATATCCACACAAACCACATTAGCATCTGCAGTTTTCAAATTTCAGAAATAGTTTTCACGCACACATGTAAAAATATAAAAGCATTCATGAACACATTACCTATTTCAGTAATACATATTTCAATACATAAATGATTTAGCTTATCAACAAATTAATTTATAAGTGTGATAAAGAACAGAAGACACAAGAATTTATGCAGCATTGAAAGTCTTTGGTCACTGGGTGTCATGATGTTCCCCTGTAGTGATTAACCTTTCAGCAATAAAAGATCCTGAATTTTTGGAGAGGAACACTTCAGTGTTACATGGATTAGCATTGTCAATAGAAAGTTTTATTAAAATATGCCACAGTTTTTTCTCAGATTATTATGTCATATTTAAACCACATTATTAATGTAGCTTTTTACCTGAAACTGACCAAGAAATATTAGATGTTCAGATATTTAAATAACAAAGGAATACACAATTCTGTCGGTCATCTTCAAGTTTTATTGTATCCAGGTTAAATCTGAAGAATTTGTACAGTGTATTGATGTGTGTGCCTGGGTACATTTTTGGAAGAACTCTTGGTTATACAGAATTTCCACTGTACAGAAGTTAGCCCTAGATATAATTATTGTGTCTTAGTGTCCAGCTGCTTTTACCCATGCCTTGTGTGTGCATACCTGATAGCAGATGTATTCTAAAACTGCAACCACTAATCAGAACCAGATACCTATGTTTTTTTCTCTTTGAATATGCTCCACTCTGCCAAGTTCGATGGAAGTGAGTGGTTGTGACAATTCAAAACAGTTGTGCCTGTTCTACAACACAAATGCTGCTGAACTTGGAGAAAAGACCTGTGCAGACAGAATGAGAAGACTTAGTCAGTTGCTCTAAGAACGTCATTGGAAAGTTTTTCTTTCTTTTCTTTTCTTTTCTTTTCTTTTCTTTTCTTTTCTTTTCTTTTCTTTCTTTTCTTTTCTTTTCTTTTCTTTTCTTTCTATTTATTTTGAAGGCTAGTTATTGACTAAGTTGTAAAGGTGAATCTGATAAACTGGCTGACTAGTTTAGAGGTCAATATTTAAACCATGGAATTGAATCCGTAGAGGGCAAGAGTTGGAAAAGATGAAAATAGGTTCATGGGACAGTTATATTTTATTTTTGTTGTTTTTGAAACTGAATCTGGAAAATATCCAAGTTATGTTTCAATATATGACACTACATCTTTAAATGACAATTTTGGCGTATATTGTTATGGCCATTTCATAAATTGCTTTTTATTAAACTGGTGCAAAGGTAATTGTGGTTTTTGCCGTTACTTTCAGACCTCAATTACTTTTGCAGCAACCTCTTACCAGTCGTAAGAACATCCTTGCTTTTAACATAAAGGGATTGGTGAAGTTACCATGATTCTCACTTAAGAATTACTGAGAAAAATGCAGCAGCAGGGGTTAGCAAAAACTATTTGTTAATTGAAGGCCTGTGTTTATTTGAATGAAAGGATTTTTCATTTAAATTATAAAAACAGAGCAAGTTCCTAGTTATATCAAATCCATGTTCAATTTCATTCACAGAGATGGTGACAAAACAAGAGTAAATGAACAATGTCAGAATCAAAAGATACTCTGCCTGGAAAGAACTTGCAATGGAATTTTTTAAAAACGAGATTAAAACAGATAGAAATATGTTTATAATTCATTAAATATTTTAAAGTACTTGCTGTTTTAATGAAACTGAACAACAAAGACCCTGTCCTTAGTGAGCCTGCAAGCTAGTGGGGGACTCCAATAATAATCAGACTATCACAAAATATGTTTTGTACATGTCACATAAACCAAGAACGAAGCAGTATTTACAAGATTTCCAAATATTCATATGCTGAGAATGTGTAAATGCTGTAAACCGCAATATAAAGGCACACGTTATTTAACAGAATACACTATATTTCCCCTCTTCAATAAATATCTAAATACAAATGTAAATGTTAGAGTCATGTAATCCATGTACATATAATTCCCTTTCCATTTATTCACTCATATTATTGAAGCTTGGGATGCATAACTTTTAAAAACATGGATAATAACATAGGAAGGGTTATTTGATAGCCAGTAACTATGTCTGTTCCTACTTGAACGGAAGTTCAGCAACATTCAGTGGCAAGACATACGCTCAAAAAAATGTACAAATGATTAACAGTGTACATTATGTAGTTGACAAAAATTGAAGAAATAAGGGGGAAGAAAAGAAAAAGAATACCCATCTCTCCTTTCTCCAGTGGTTTTACTGTGGTAGAGTATGTATACCACTTAATTCACTCATTTAAAGTGCACAGTTCTGTGGGTTTGGTATTGTGTTAGTCTTGTTTTCACACTGCTATAAAGAAATACCATAATTTATAAAGAAATGTATAAAATTATAATTTACAAAGGAAAGAGGTTTAATTGACTCACAGTTCTGCATGGCTAGGGAGGCCTCGGGAAATTTACAATCATGGTGGAAGGCAAAGAAGTGTGGACCTTCTCCACATGGTAACAGGAGAGAAAAGACTGAGTGAAGGAGAAACTTGCCAAAATCTTATAAAACCATCAGATCTAGTGATAACTTACTATCATGCAACCAGCATGGGGGAAACTGTCCCCATGATCCAATCACCTCCCACTATGTTCTCCCCTCAACACCTAGGGATTACAATTCAAGATGAGATTTTGGTGAGTACACAAAGACTTACCACATCAGGTGTATTCACAGACATTGTGAATATTACCATGGTCAATGGTAGAATATTTTTATCATGTCAGAAAGAAATCCCATCTCTTTTAGCCAACATCCCCAGTGATCCTAGCCTTCTCGCAGCCCCGGGCAACCACTAATTTACTTTGTTTCTATTGACTTCTCTATTCAAAATATTTCATATGAATGTAATAATACACTATGTGGCCTTTTTGTGCATTGCTTCTATTAGTCTGGATACTGGTTTTAGGTCCATCCATCTTATGGCATCTGTCAGTAGTTCATTCCTTTGTGGCTAAAAAGTGATGATTATATAGTTACACGATATTTTGTTAATGGGCATTTGGGTTGTTTCCAATCATTAGTTATTACGAAGTACCTCCCTTATTCAGTGGTAAGATATCTTTATGGTAATAATTTTAAATGAAAACATTTTATATTAGTGTCTAAACTCTATGGTGTGGATAAATTGAACATCATTTTTTCTTGAGTCATGCGGTTTTATTGGGGTTGACTTGGTACCCCCTTAAAAACATATATGCATAACTTTGAAACAATAATTTTTATATATATATATAATTTGGAGATGACGTGCTACTCATATATTATTTCGAAGCAGTCAAAAACCTACAAAAAATTTCAGTATGGAATGTAAATAGCTTTCTTTTTTCCTAAGACATCTGAGGGTAAGTTTCCAATCGGATACCTCATATCCTGAATATTTTAGCATGCATTTCCCCAGAAGAGGATTATTATACACAGAAACAGTCAAGACCTAAAAATCAAGAAATGGGCACTGATGTATTTCTACCTTCTAATGGTCAGACTGCCTTTAAATGCCTTGAGGCAGAAGGAGCCAGTTAGAATTATGCACTGCCATGAGTTTTCATGTCTCTTAGTCTCCTTCAGTCTGATTCCTCATCTTTCTTTGACTTTCCTGGTTGTAGCACAATTAAAGCGTAGCAGCCAGTTATTTCACAGACTGTCCCTCCATTTGGGTTTGTCTGCTATTTCATCCTGATTATGTCTGGACTGCAAATATTTGCCAGAGTTAGTGCAGGGGTGAGGCCCTCTTCTTGACTTCGCATTCTGTCACATTCTAAGCGAATAATTTTCAATTTGTCCTATTATTGATGAGGATTTGATTAAAATGTTCCCCAGTTTTAACACTCTTATTTTAAACCCTATGAAATCTTTGCTGTATGCTAGCTCAATGAGCAACCAAGACTAGATTCTATGATAAAATAATTCTATCAAAATTTTAGACATGAGAAACATCAGTTCCTCTTTTAACATATGACAAGTACTCCTAATATCTAGAAAGTAGACTGACCCCTTACTCATTTGTCATGTAGATTCCACTATTAATTTTGAAATCCATATGGCATTTTATAGGAAATTGAATAAAACTCAAATGTTTCTGATTAAGTTTTGCTTAACTCTTGAATATTTTCTTTCCTGAAAACTCATTAAACTGAGATGCCTTTGTAAGAACTTCTTGACTGTGTGTTTTGGAAAACAGAAGCCACATACTGGAAAAATGTATAAACAATATTACTTTCTAGAAAACTCTGATTCAGAATATAAACAGTATACCTTCACGTTCATAAATTCTACTGTGTTCAGTTTACTAGTTTTCTGGTTGTTCTTATTCCACATTCAGTTTATTCATATTTATGTAGAATATTTCAGAATAAGTAACATTTAATTTTAAAGAATATACTTCACAAGGTATTTTCTGATGTTTTAAACTTTTTTTAAAAAATTTTTTAGTATCTATTGATCATTCTTGGGTGTTTCTCAGAGAGGGGGATTTGGCAGGGTCATAGGACAATAGTGGAGAGAAGGTCAGCAGATAAACATATGAACAAAGGTCTCTGGTTTTCCTAGGCAGAGGACCCTGCGGGCTTCCGCAGTGTTTGTGCACCTGGGTACTTGAGATTAGGGAGTGGTGATGACTCTTAACGAGCATGCCACCTTCAAGCATCTGTTTAACAAAGCACATCTTGCACCGCCCTTAATCCATTTAACCCTGAGTGGACACAGCACCTGTTTCAGAGAGCACGGGGTTGGGGGTAAGGTCATAGATTAACAGCATCCCAAGGCAGAAGAATTTTTCTTAGTACAGAAGAACAAAATGAAGTCCCCTATGTCTACTTCTTTTTACACAGACACAGTAACAATCTGATCTCTCTTTCTTTTCCCCACATTTCCCCCTTTTCTATTCGACAAAACCGCCATCGTCATCATGGCCCGTTTTCAATGGGCTGTTGGGTACACCTCCCAGATGGGGTGGCCGCCGGGCAGAGGGGCTCCTCACTTCTCAGACGGGGTGGCCGGGCGGAGATGCTCCTCACCTCCCAGACGGGGTGGCGGTGGGGCAGAGACACTCCTCACTTCCTAGACGGGGTGGCGGCCGGGAAGAGGCGCTCCTCACTTCCCAGACTGGGCGGCCGGGCAGAGGGGCTCCTCACATCCCAGACGATGGGTGGCCAGGCAGAGATGCTCCTCACTTCCTAGACCGGGTGGCTGCCGGGCAGAGGCTGCAATCTCAGCACTTCGGGAGGCCAAGGCAGGCGGCTGGGAGGTGGGGGTTGTAGCGAGCCAAGATCATGCCACTGCACTCCAGCCTGGGCAACATTGAGCACTGAGTGAGCGAGACTCCGTCTGCAACCCCGGCACCTCGGGAGGCCGAGGCGGGCAGATCACTCCAGGTCAGGAGCTGGAGACCAGCCCGGCAAACACGGGGAAACCCGGTCTCCACCAAAAAATACAAAAACCAGTCAGGCGTGGCGGCGCGTGCCTGCAATCCCAGGCACTCAGCAGGCTGAGGCAGGAGAATCAGGCAGGGAGGTTGCAGTGAGCCGAGATGGCGGCAGTACAGTCCAGCCTTGGCAACAGAAGGAGACTGTGGAAAGCGGGAGACAGAGATGAGGGAGAGGGGGAGACCGTGGAAAGCGGGAGAAGGAGATGACGGAGAGGAGGGAGAGGGAGAGGGAGAGCCATCTCTTTTAGGCATTAAACTTGTTTTATCCACAGAAGACACACACTCAAAGTAAATTGTGTGTTTTCAACCTCAGCATTACTGAAATGTGTACTGGATTGTCTTTGTCCTGAGAGGGCTGTCTTCTGCATCATAGGATGTTAGCAGAATCTCTGGCACCTACCAACTAAATGCCAGTTGCACCCCCACCCTCAATCCTGACAAACAAAAATTTCTCCAAACATTGTCAAATACCCTTCTGGGGTATGGAGCTGGGGTGTGTGTGTGTAAAATTGTCCCTGGTTAAGAACAACTGAAGGAAATTTTAGAGTATTTACATAATTTTAAAGACTTCCAATTAAGTAAACATGGATGCAATTATAGATTATAATAGATTTCTAGTAGGGTAGAATTGTCAACATTTACATTATTAGAAGTATTAGGTGTTACAAATGTCAGGAGAAAAGACCAGATAGGGTTACATTTTAAATATTTCTGAAGATATATTTTATAGCATAATATATATTAAAATAGATGATACGGGACTAAGCATTATTGTTAAATTCAATCATAGTTTGGACAAAATGTAGTCCTTTTTCATGTCAGTTAAGCAAGTTGACTCATCTATGAATAGATTTTGACAAGATTTCTTGTCAAATACAAGAATGAATCCTATGGGACTGCAGTCATCAAGATTGCAGTTGTTATAACTGGTCAAAAAAACACTCATTCCAGATAAGAATTTCAGTGGGAATATGTGTGTGTGTGTGTGTGTGTGTATGTATATTTATATACATATAAATATATATAAATATATACACATATAAATATATATAAATATATACACATATAAATATATATAAATATATACACATATAAATATATATAAATATATACACATATAAATATATAAATATATGCATATAAATATATAAATATATATACATATAAATACATATAAATATATATACATATAAATATATAAATATATATACTTATACACATATAAATATATATAATTATACACATATAAATATATATAATTATACACATATAAATATATATAAATATATGTAAATATATATATTCATATACATATAAATATATGTAAATATATATATTCATATACATATAAATATATATTCATATACATATAAATATATAAATATTATATATATATATATATATTTTATACTCTAGGCGGCTTACATCAAATCAAGACTTGCTGGAGCTATATTGTAATGTGCCCAGTGCATATATACATTTTTTCAATCCTTTTCTATCAGATTGCCAGTGTGCATATTGAATTCTAAGCAACTTCAAATAATTCGATATGGGTGTATATTAACTACAAATATCCTATTTTTGGCAAACAAAGTCTTTTTACTGAATTTTCTGTGGGTGGTAGGGAGAGTTAGGAAATATAATTTCACACAATATCTACTGGGTTAGTGGTTAGGTCAAAAAATTAAGCATAAGCAAAACCGGGTGCTTCGAAAGGATGGCAAAACATATTTGATGTGTTTTTTTGCCCATTTTGCAGGTATTTGTTTTATGACTGCTATTGAAATGCTTTCATTAATATTTTCTGGCAAAGCAAACACTTTGTTTTGGCAACATTTACTTGGCTTCTAAGGTTGCTATTATTCAATTGTTCGCTTAATAGAGGAAAAAACTGCTTCAGAGGTGCCTGATGGTATTTATTTATTTATTTATTTATTTATTCATTTATTTATTTATTTTTGAGATGGAGTCTCACTCTGTTGCCAGGCTGGAGGGCAGTGGCATGATTTCAACTCACTGCAACCTCTGCCTCCCGTGTTCAGGCAATTCTCCTGTCCCAGCCTCCTGCGTAGCTAGGACTATAGGCATGTGCCACCATGCCCAGCTAATTTTTGTATATTTAGTAGAAACAGGGTTTCACCATGTTGGCCAGGATTGTCTGGATCTCTTGACCGCATGATCCACCCACCTCGGCCCCTTAAAGTGATGTGCTTACAGGTGTGAGCCACCGCGCCCAGAATTTTTTTTTTTTTTTTTTTTTTAGAACAAGTCTGTAGGGTTATGTGGAGCTATGGTTCAGGAATCAAATAAATACCTGAAGGAGCAGAATAAGCTCATCTGATTGGCAGGGAAGGGGATAGCTCCTGGCAGAGGGTTCAGAATTCTTAAAAAAGAAGAATAAAAAGAAAACACAAAGAGCTTGAAGGTAAAAATTGGATGACAGCTATAGGCAGATACAGACTAATGGAAGTAAGCAACAGAAGCAGATTCAAGGGAATTTGCAATTTCCCTTTGTTCTAGGTTTCTGTATTCCATATTTTTTTTTCCTCTGGCCCACCTTACTGTCAGAAGCTATCACGAAAAGTCAGAAGCTAAGTTTGTGACGTAGATGTTGGTTAGACATAAATATAAGTTTCTGCTAAACTGGATTATGAATACAGAAGAATTTGTCCTACAGACAAGAATAAAATCAACTTAATAGATTCTATGGCATGTCTGGAGAAAAGAAAATTTGGCAATTGCAATCTATCAATATATGGCAAGCTGAATGTAAAAGTCAGGAAGTAAGGGATAGTAAGCTGAAATCTATGATCAAGATACAAGTGTTGGTAGTCCCTGAAGGACAAAGAAAACAGCATGTTGAATTCTGAGTGACAAAGACCAGGAGGGTTTTCCATTTGGGTTGGATTCCTTGTTTCTTGCGGCTACATAAATTCTCCTATGACATAATCAAGGCTTATGGAGTAAAACAATCAGTACAGCAAAGGCCAGGAGAAAAAGAAATATTCCATCTAGAGACAGATTGTAGGGATATGGGGAAAAATACAAAGTTTTATTTTGTTAACAATCTTTATTGCTTATGCAGTTGACTCAAAAAAAAAAAAAAAAAAAAAAGTTAAGATCACCTTCCACTCACAGCATCTCCGCATCAATTTGTGGAGTCTAAAAAGGAAACCCAGTTTATATCCAAGTGTGGGTCTTGATACCTACAAATTTTATTAGCTTTATTCAGAAAATTAACAAATAAAACTTCCACTGTGAGAAGCTTCCATCTTATAACCTGGAGAGACATAAATATAATTAGTAAACTTTTGTTTCCAAAGCAAGTGTGTTTGTGTTTCCCAAGCAAGATTGGCTGTTCCCTCCATCCACTGAAAGAACAATCTGTTTACCCCCACTTGGCTTTCTTGCTTTTAACTTCCCTGGGACCTGCCCATGCTAAACTTACCCCAAAGTGGGTGGTTTGCACAAGAACCGAGGTCAGTGGCCCTCAGTCACAGCGCTACTGACATTTGGAGCTGGATCATCCTCTGTGGTGGGATTGTCTTGGGCCTTGTGAATATTTTGCAGCATCCCTGGCCTCCATGCACTCGATGCCAGGAACATCACCCTCCCTGGTGACAACTAAAAATGCCTCCAGACGTTGCCTAATGTGCCCTGGGGGACAACGTCACCCCTGGGTGGGAACCACTGAGCTAGATTGATGCCCTCTGCATAGAAGGATTGTACTAATTCCACAGTGTGGGAGACTTGGCAAATTATATCACAACAATTTATTGAAGATGTACACAGCACAATCACTCTAACATACTTTTATTGCCCAGTTAAAAATTCCTCCAGGGGTTGCTACAGATACCTATCTAGGCTGTTTGAACTCTACCTGACTAGGCATTCAAAATTAATGTGCCTCAAGATGTTACGATCAAACCAATTTGTTTGATCACTATCATTGATGTAAAGCTATTTGGACTTGAATAATATGTGTACCATATACATGCAGGTCAATTTTTAAAAATCTCAATCAGATTAAACAGTCTCACTCTGAAAAAAATATTTTTAAAGAAGATAATTGTCCCTTCAATATAGCTATTTATCCTTGCCTTTTTAAAAATAATGTGAAAAAACAAGAGTACTTTTTCCTCTAATGTAATATTTCTTCATTCACACTCCTAAACAAATTCAATTTCTTTGAATAGCAAGTATTTTTTTTTTACTGCAGACATAAAGGTTTACTTGTTTCCTAAGTTATTTGTAGTGACTCTGAATATGTATTTTCAACAATGTATTAACAGAATATTTCTGGTTATTCAAAACTTATTTTTCTGACATCTTTTTAAATTCTCATTGATTTAATCCATGTATAATATATTTTTAAAATTTTTGAAATACTCTTAATCTTAAGAATAATTGCGCCTGTAATCCCAGCGCTTTGGGAGGATGAGGCGGGTGGATCACGAGGTCAGGAGATCGAGACCATCCTGACTAACACGGTGAAACCCCGTCTGTACCAAGAATACAAAAAAAATTAGCCGGGCGTGGTGACGGGCGCCTGTAGTCCCAGCTACTCTGGAGGCTGAGGCAGGAGAATGGCGTGAACACGGGAGGCAGAGCTTGCAGTGAGCCGAGATGTGCCACTGCCCTCCACACTGGGCGACAGAGCGAGACTCCCACTCGGGGGGGAAAAAAAAAAAAAAAAAAAAAAGTGGGAGGATATTGGGCCGGGCGCGGTGGCTCACGCCTGTAATCCCAACACTTTGGGAGGCTGAGGTGGGCGGATCAGGAGGTCAGGAGATCGAGACCATCCTGGCTAATATGTTGAAACCCCTGTCTCTACTAAAAAATGCAAAAAATTAGGTGGCCGTGGTGGCGGGCGCCTGTAGTCCCAGGTACTAGGGAGGCTGAAGCAAGAGAACGGCGTGAACCCGGGAGGCGGAGCTTGCAGTGAGCCGAGATCGCACCACTGCACTCCAGCCTGGGCGACAGAGCGAGACTCCGTCTCAAAAAAAAAAAAAAAAAAAAAAAAAAAGAAAAGAAAAGAATAATTGCAAAGAAATCCATGAACTTTTATTTTTCCTAAGCCGTTTGAAGACAGTTGTGGACATACTTGTGTGTGTATTTCCTGGAAAGAAGCACATTCTCTTACATAATCACAGTAAAGCCACCAAAATCAGAAACTTAAAACTTGGCATGTTAACTGCCACAGATCCCCTTCAAAGTTTGCCAGTTGTCCTCATAATGTCCCTCACAGTGGAAAGATTCAATAGGGAATCATGCATTGTATTTAGCTGCATTTTTTTTTTTTTTTTTTTTTTTTTTTTTTTGTGGTGGGGGGATGTCTCTTTTAATCTGAAATTGTCTCTTAGCCTTTCTTGGACTGTCATGACCTTGATGTTTTTGAAGGTTTCATGCCTGTTAGTTTGCCTCGTCATTTTTTCTTGTGTTTGCTCATCATTAGATTTGGATTATGCATATGTAGCAGGAACACTACAAATGTCATTCTGTGTTCTTTGCCCTGCATCCCGTCTGGTGGTAGATTTGTCTCCTGGCTTGTCCATCTTGATCACTTCATTAGGGCAGAGTATTCCAAGTTTTTCTGTAGTAATCAACAGAACTTTGTACAGAGGTACTTTGGTATCCATGTAAATATTACATTCCTCGTCAAATTTGTACCCATATTGTACACAAATATCTATTGATATTTCTTTTTCTCTCTCTCTCTTTTTTTTTTTTTTAAGGCAGGGTCTTGCTCTCTTGCCCAGGCTGAAGTACAGAGGTGCAATCATAGCTCATTGCAGCCTCCAACTCCTAGGATCAACTGATCCTCCTACCTCAGCCTCCTGAGTAGCTGGGACTACAGGGACAGTCATCAGGCCCAGCTAATTTTTAATTGTCTTTGCAGAGATCAGGTCTTGCCGCATTTCCCAGGCTGCTCTTGAACTCCTGGCCTCAAGCAATTCTCCCACCTCAGCCTCCCAAAGTGCCGGGCATTAATATTTCTTGAATGAATTATTATAGTTATCATTATGAAATAGCAATATTCTAATTCCACCATTTCTTCTACATTCTATCAATTGACATTGCACAGTAACGTATAACCTGGGCTCATAGAGTCCTTTTATTAAACAGGTTATAATCTATTTCTGTCATTATTTATTTTTATTTGATGCTTATTTCTTGTTGAATCCATGCAACTATTTACTGATCCATTATTTTGGGCATTCACTCTTTTTTTAGGCAGTCCCTCTCTTACATTTTTCCTGTCACTTTTTCACCTTCACTTGTCTCTTCTAGATTTTAAACGTGTGTATCTTGCAAGATTAATGTTGTGCATCTCTTCTGATTCCATGAGACTTCCTTTATTCAATGGGTGAATAAATGTCCAAGGCTCCCACTGGGTTTTTCTAAGCAATCTGGTTCAGCCTTTGGAGCTGTTTAATGACCTGGCCACCTCAGCTTCAGCATCTCAGAAAAGTTCCAAGATGTGAAGGAATCTTATTACATGCAAGTTCTCACCTTGCCATATTTTGACTTTTTCTGCCATTTAAACAACACAATGGTCACTGCCAAGGGGGTCCAGCATTCTGAGCTATCACACATTCACCCCAGGCAGGCCAACCTTGGATTGCATTACTTGTCATGCCGTTAATGCAAAGATTAACATAGTGACAGCTGCCATTCTTTTCTTTCTTTCTTTCTTTCTTTCTTTCTTTCTTTCTTTCTTTCTTTCTTTTCTTTTTTTTTTAATGGTTGGAGCATTATCTGAAGCAAATATGTTCCCACGCAGCTGCTGTATCTATGATTACACTTTCATTTTGATAATGACAAGCTTTTGAATAAAAGTGCTGGTGAGTTTCTTGAAAACAGTTACAGTAACAGAGTTGAACATTTATTCACATTATTTCCAAATTTGCAAAAGAGGAGAGTAACTAATTTATTTATCTATCCTCCTACTTCTCTTTGTAGCAGAGGAATTCACACTTATGTACCAATAATAGCTCATCATCCTCCCTGCTAAACTTAACTTGCATTCTACGCATAGAATGCATTCACTTAACTTACATTCTACTCATACTGATTTTAAAAATATGACCTTTTAGTTTTCTGTGGAAAGTCAAATCTTCTCTATAAACAGCACACAATAGGTAGAAAACCTAATTTCCGATTTAAAATATTTCAGTCTCTTGCTAAGCAAGTTCCTTTCAGTTTATACATCTGCTCTAGTAAAGTGGAATTTCTTATCACCCCTGTTTTAAGCAATCACTTATGGGTACCTTAGACCCTTTGGGTAGATGCTCAGCTGGTGAGAGCCCTACTCACCTTCCTCTTCCCCAAGATGGTGGATAAGTTTATGAAGGTGTCACTTTGTACAATGG
This sequence comes from Homo sapiens, assembly GCF_000001405.40. Lineage (NCBI taxonomy): Eukaryota > Metazoa > Chordata > Mammalia > Primates > Hominidae > Homo > Homo sapiens. The sequence continues at coordinate 14,008,774 of NC_000024.10, forward strand.
GATGGGGGCCCTGGGCTCTCTCTGGTCCCTGTATGTGCATGGCTTGTTCCCTCTGTGTGGGGTTTGTCTCCATCCAGCCACAAAACTCCTCCATTTGATATGCAGTTTTTGCCTTGGAATATTTCTTAGTTTTGTCTCTTCTAGCATGTTGGAGGTCTAATGGTCTTTCCCTATGGACTTAGCCCCACTTGAGCTCTTGCTGCTACTAGATGTCTGGTGGCGACTCCTCTTCCATTGCTAGCCCCTGCATTCTGCTCTGCCTCTGGTTGTTAGCAGGCAACTCCGCCTGCAGCAACCCCGTGGGAAGTCCACCAGTCTGTACTGCCTGCCAACTGTACTTCTCCCCAGTGATACAGGGAGTAGAATCTTCTGCTAACACAGACATACATACTGCCTCCACAGGTGGCCACCCTCGTTGCTGTGGGACATCTGTGCAAATGTCTTCTCCCACTTTCCAAAAGAGCAAGCAGCACTCCACCCACCAGTGTGACTCTCAACCCATGTAAACTCATCTCAGCGGTACCCCAAGGAAGGAGATCAAGTTATATGCTCCTACTGTCAGTTTTACTCTCATCCACATCTTCTTCCTGCATGTCCCTGGTTTGGAAGAAACAGCTTGTTTTTTTGTCCAACATCAGTGATTCTTAAACTTGACTGTACCAGGGAAGCTTTTAAAAAATGCTGATGTTTGGGTCATGCAGATTCTCAGTCACTGTTCGGGGTATGTCCTACATGAAATAGTGTTTTGCAAATCATTTCCAACATGCAGCCAGGATTACAAAACATTACCTTGTATCCTGAGTTCTCTTTACTCTTGGCATAACATTGAAATCTGTTATATCTTGTGTATGTGTGTGCCCGTGTGTATGTCTATGTGTGTGCATGTAGAGAAAGAGAGAGAAACTGTGTGTGTGGCCTCATAATAGGTTAAATCTTAAAGGTTACAATCTGGGAAATTTTGACTTAAAGAATCCTTTTGTCTCTCTCAACAAATTATGGTCTTTACAGCTGTTGTCTCTAAAGAAAGAAAGAAAAAAAAACCCCTGTGCTTGTCAATAGCTCAACACGGCCTCTTTATTTCCCTTTGCACTTTACTCAGTAGCTCGATATTCTGCATTTTGTAGCAATAGTTCAGAAGCCACTCTCTCTGCCTTAGGCCTCTGGATACCTCAGAATGCCTCAGGATGCCTAGCGAGAAGGATATGCTCACAGAAATGCAAAAACGGAAGCACATCAGTAAAGTTTGCAAAATATGACCTTTGCATCACTGCTATTATCCTCCTCACAGCAAATGAGGCACTTCTAAGTGAAGATTACATTTACTGAGCCACATAAACCAAGGGTTATAAAGTATGAAATATGGAACCAATAGGGAAAGAAATTTATTTTTAGAGAGACAAAGGGACTTGCCCAAGGTAGCACAATTATGTAAGGATCTAACCAAAGGCACCATTTCCGTGGAGGTCAGGAAGCAGCTCTGTGGGAGTAGGGCCAGGAGGTTAAAATCCAAGTGGCTTAAAGGTAATGTAGTAGCTTTCAATAGAATGTAGAAAGAACAAAGAGCAGGGCCTGTTTTCTCTCCTTCTTGATACCTCTACGAGGCTATTACTGCAGCCTAATGATCCAAGAGTCAATAAGAACGAGGGATGGAGTTTCTGCCTGTTCTGTCATTATTAAGTTTTTATTCACCAAAGTGTTATTGATAACTATCTTTTGGAACTATGGCTCAACAAACGATGAAAGCAGCCTAGGTGAAGTGGATCATGCCTGTAATCCCAGTGCTTTGAGGTGGGAGGATCACTTGAGGGTAGGAGTTCAAGATCAGCCTGGGCAACACAGGCTGAAGTGGGAGGATTGCTTGAACCCAGGAGTTCAAGGCTGCAGTGGGTCTTCATTGCACGGCTCTACTCCAGCATGGGTGACAGAGCAACATCTGTCTTTGAACACACAAGGAAGTAAAAAAGAAAAAAGAAAACAAATATACACATGGATAAGTATAAATGCTAATGATAAACTGACTTATCAATATTTTGTTTCACATGAGTGATATTTTCACAGCCACTGGATTACTTATTAGTGGTTCTAAACCAGAGGTGATTTTGCCCTCCCAGGGGGCATTTAGCAGTATCTGGAGGCATTTCACATTTTATGGTACTTTTCATGTTTCCTAAAGCTTTTGAAAAACTGACCTTCTTAATTGACTACTTATGATGCTTTCAATATTCAAATTGTTCAATTGTAATTCAACTTTCTCCGTTTCACTGTTTATTTGCTCTTCTCTGACCTTCACGATTTTGGCAAAGTTAAAAACTTGTGTTGGGTCACAGACCACTAAGATAGAGGTCTGAGCCTAATTATTATTAACTTATTGGTTGCAGAAACAGCTCTTGTATTGACACTAGCTAGATTTATTTTATTTAATTATTTTGGAATGTGCAAATATTATGCAGTCGATGTGCCTCAGAGGATTATTTTCTTTCACTTTTTAAAGTAAAACTAGAAGTTGATATTTTAGCATTCAATATTCTTCACTTTGGGGGACAGATGAACTTCAAAATAAAACATGAAGAGCAACTGTACTCTAAGGAAAAAACAGCTACATCCAAACTAGGCAAGAATGTTCTATAGTGGAATATTTTATGCTGTAGAGAATATTTTACAAGTCATAGCAATGGATTGTGCACACACCTTTATCTTGCCAGAAATGCACTTTATGACTTCTTTTCTTATTCCAAAAGGATAGTAATACCTGATCATCTTCTACTCAATTTTGAAAACATTTATGCTTTCAGGTACAGTTTTACCCAATATGTGGGCTGGGCTGGTTTCAAAAATATTCATATGGAGGTTGCTAATTATAGGATCTCGGGAACTTTTGCAAATAAACACAGACACCTGAATTCAAGAAAAAAGGAAGCTGATTAGAAATAGAAGCCTATTTTAAGTAAAAGAGATTATCTTATGCAACCTGGGTGGGCCTGACTTTACACTGAAAGGCCTTAAAAGCTAGTCTGAGGAGAAAGAAAGAAAAAAGATAGAGAAGGATGAGAGAGCAGAGAGAAAGAGGAAGAAGAGGAGAAAGAGGAGGAAGGAGAAATTCTACTTGTGGACAATAGTTTCAGCTTGTGCCTGTGAAGTTTAAGCCTGTTGGTGATCTTCCCCTCCTTACTAAGGTCTACAATTACTTAAGTGAATTCCTGATAACAAATCAATCTATAGATAGACAGATATAATATGCAAATGTTTTAGCAGCTGTTCATACTTTATATCTGCAAAGTCCTTTCACAGCAACAACTAGATCGAATGACAGAAGACTGTAGCCTAGGCAACCTGACACACTAATACATGGCATGAGGCAAGAGAGAATGAGAGCCAAGCAAAAGGGGAAACCACTTTAAAACCACCAGAACTTGTGAGACTTATTACTATGAGAACAGTATGGAGAAACTGCCCCCATGATTCAATTATCTGCCACCGGCTCCCTCCCACAACACATGGGAATTATGGGAGCTATAAACTCAAGATGAGAATTGGGTGGGGGCACAGCCAAACCATATCAGTATTTCAATTATAATTCTAATTTTTATTTTCTGTTATTTAAAGATAAGACTGGCTACTATATATGCAATTTGTATTCTGCAATCATGCTAGATTTACTTAGTTATAGAAAGATTTATTTTGTCTTTAGGTTTGTTTTGCATTGGCGATTATATTATCTCAAATACAGATTATTTAATTTCTTCCTTTAAGAAAAAAAAGGGAGGAGCCAAGATGGCCGAATAGGAACAGCTCCGGTCTACAGCTCCCAGCGTGAGCGGAGCAGAAGAGGGTGATTTCTGCATTTCCATCTGAGGTACCGGGTTCATCTCTCTAGGGAGTGCCAGACAGTGGGCACAGGTCAGTGAGTGTGCACACCATGCGCGAGCCGAAGCAGGGCGAGCATTGCCTCACTTGGGAAGCCAAGGGGTCAGGGAGTTCCCTCTCTGAGTCAAAGAAAGGGGTGACAGAGGGCACATGGAAAATTGGGTCACTCCCACCCGAATACTGCGCTTTTCCAACGGGCTTAAAAAACGGCGCACCACGAGATTATAACCCGCACCTGGCTCGGAGGGTCCTACGCCCACTGAGTCTCACTGATTGCTAGCACAGCAGTCTGAGATCAAACTGCAAGGCGGCAGCGAGGCTGGGGGAGGGGCGCCCGCCATTGCCCAGGCTTGCTTAGGTAAACAAAGCAGCCGGGAAGCTCGAACTGGGCGGACCCCACCACAGCTCAAGGAGGCCTGCCTGCCTCTGTAGGCTCCACCTCTGGGGGCAGGGCACAGACAAACAAAAAGACAGCAGTAACCTCTGCAGACTTAAATGTCCCTGTCTGACAGCTTTGAAGAGAGCAGTGGTTCTCCCAGCGCACAGCTGGAGATCTGAGAACGGGCAGACTGCCTCCTCAAGTGGGTCCCTGACCCCTGACCCCTGAGCAGCCTAACTGGGAGGCAACCCCCAGCAGGGGAACACTGACACCTCACACGGCAGGGTATTCCAACAGACCTGCAGCTGAGGGTCCTGTCTGTTAGAAGGAAAACTAACAAACAGAAAGGACATCCACACCAAAAACCCATCTGTATATCACCATCATCAAAGACCAAAAGTAGATAAAACCACAAAGATGGGGAAAAAACAGAACAGAAAAAATGGAAACTCTAAAAAGCAGAGCGACTCTCCTCCTCCAAAGGAACGCAGTTCCTCACCAGCAACGGAACAAAGCTGGATGGAGAATGACTTTGACGAGCTCAGAGAAGAAGGCTTCAGACGATCAAATTACTCTGAGCTACGGGAGGACATTCAAACCAAAGGCAAAGAAGTTGAAAACTTTGAAAAAGGTTTAGAAGAATGTATAACTAGAATAACCAATACAGAGAAGTGCTTAAAGGAGCTGATGGAGCTGAAAACCAAGGCTCGAGAACTACGTGAAGAATGCAGAAGCCTCAGGAGCCGATGCGATCAACTGGAAGAAAGGGTATCAGCGATGGAAGATGAAATGAATGAAATGAAGTGAGAAGGGAAGCTTAGAGAAAAAAGAATAAAAAGAAATGAGCAAAGCCTCCAAGCAATATGGGACTATGTGAAAAGACCAAATCTACGTCTGATTGGTGTACCTGAAAGGATGGGGAGAATGGAACCAAGTTGGAAAACACTCTGCAGGATATTATCCAGGAGAACTTCCCCAATCTAGCAAGGCAGGCCAATGTTCAGATTCAGGAAATACAGAGAACGCTACAAAGATACTCCTCGAGAAGAGCAACTCCAAGACACATAATTGTCAGATTCACCAAAGTTGAAATGAAGGAAAAAATGTTAAGGGCAGCCAGAGAGAAAGGTCGGGTTACCCTCAAAGGGGAGCCCATCAGACTAACAGTGGATCTCTCGGCAGAAACCCTACAAGCCAGAAGAGAGTGGGGGCCAATATTCAACATTCTTAAAGAAAAGAATTTTCAACCCAGAATTTCATATCCAGCCAAACTAAGCTTCATAAGCGAAGGAGAAATAAAATACTTTGCAGACAAGCAAATGCTGAGAGATTTTGTCACCACCAGGCCTGCCCTAAGAGAGCTCCTGAAGGAAGCGCTAAACATGGAAAGGAACAACCGCTACCAGCCGCTGCAAAATCATGCCAAAATGTAAAGACCATCAAGACTAGGAAGAAACTGCATCAACTAACGAGCAAAAGAACCAGCTAACATCATAATGACAGGATCAAATTCACACATAACAATATTAACTTTAAATGTAAATGGACTAACTGCTCCAATTAAAAGACACAGACTGGCAAATTGGATAAAGAGTCAAGACCCATCAGTGTGCTGTATTCAGGAAACCCATTTCACGTGCAGAGACACACATAGGCTCAAAATAACAGAATGGAGGAAGATCTACCAAGCAAATGGAAAAGAAAAAAAGGCAGGGGTTGCAATCCTAGTCTCTGATAAAACAGACTTTAAACCAACAAGGATCAAAAGAGACAAAGAAGGCCATTACATAATGGTAAAGGGATCAATTCAACAAGAAGAGCTAACTATCCTAAATATATATGCACCCAATACAGGAGCACCAGGATTCATAAAGCAAGTCCTGAGTGACCTACAAAGAGACCTAGACTCCCACACATTAATAATGGGAGACTTTAACACCCCACTGTCAACATTAGACAGATCAATGAGACAGAAAGTCAACAAGGATACCCAGGAATTGAACTCAGCTCTGCACCAAGCAGACCTAATAGACATCTACAGAACTCTCCACCCCAAATCAACAGAATATACATTTTTTTTCAGCACCACACCACACCTATTCCAAAATTGACCACATACTTGGAAGTAAAGCTCTCCTCAGCAAATGTAAAAGAACAGAAATTATAACAAACTGTCTCTCAGACCACAGTGCAATCAAACTAGAACTCAGGATTAAGAATCTCACTCAAAACTGCTCAACTACATGGAAACTGAACAACCTGCTCCTGAATGACTACTGGCTACATAACGAAATGAAGGCAGAAATAAAGATGTTCTTTGAAACCAATGAGAACAAAGACACAACATACCAGAATCTCTGGGACGCATTCAAAGCAGTGTGTAGAGGGAAATTTATAGCACTAAATGCCCCCAAGAGAAAGCAGGAAAGATCCAAAACTGACACCCTAACATCACAATTACAAGAACTAGAAAAGCAAGAGCAAACACATTCAAAAGCTAGCAGAAGGCAAGAAATAACTAAGATCACAGCAGAACTGAAGGAAATAGAGACACAAAAAACCGTTAAAAAAATTAATGAATCCAGGAGCTGGTTTTTTGAAAGGATCAACAAAATTGATAGACCACTAGCAAGACTAATAAAGGAAAAAAGAAGAATCTAATAGACACAATAAAAAATGATAAAGGGGATATCACCACCGATCCCACAGAAATACAAACTACCATCAGAGAATACTACAAACACCTCTATGCAAATAAACTAGAAAATCTAGAAGAAATGGATAAATTCCTTGATGCATACACTCTCCCAAGACTAAACCAGGAAGAAGTTGAATCTCTGAATAGACCAATAACAGGAGCTGAAATTGTGGCAATAATCAACAGCTTACCAACCAAAAAGAGTCCAGGACCAGATGGATTCACAGCTGAATTCTACCAGAGGTACAAGGAGGAACTGGTACCATTCCTTCTGAAACTATTCCAATCAATAGAAAAAGAGGGAATCCTCCCTAACTCATTTTATGAGGCCAGCATCATTCTGATACCAAAGCCAGGCAGAGACACCACAAAAAAAGAGAATTTTAGACCAATATCCTTGATGAACATTGATGCAAAAATCCTCAATAAAATACTGGCAAACCGAATCCAGCAGCACATCAAAAAGCTTATCCACCATGATCAAGTGGGCTTCATCCCTGGGATGCAAGGCTGGTTCAATATACGCAAATCAATAAATGTAATCCAGCATATAAACAGAGCCAAAGACAAAAACCACATGATTATCTCAATAGATGCAGAAAAAGCCTTTGACAAAATTCAACAACACTTCATGCTAAAAGCTCTCAATAAATTAGGTATTGATGGGATGTATTTCAAAATAATAAGAGCTATCTATGACAAAGCCACAGCCAATATCATACTGAATGGGCAAAAACTGGAAGCATTCCCTTTGAAAACTGGCACAAGACAGGGATGCCCTCTCTCACCACTCCTATTCAACATAGGTTTGGAAGTTCTGGCCAGGGCAATTAGGCAGGAGAAGGAAATAAAGGGTATTCAATTAGGAAAAGAGGAAGTCAAATTGTCCCTTTTTGCAGACGACATGATTGTATATCTAGAAAACCCCATTGTCTCAGCCCAAAATCTCCTTAAGCTGATAAGCAACTTCAGCAAAGTCTCAGGATACAAAATCAATGTACAAAAATCACAAGCATTCTTATACACCAACAACAGACAGACAGAGAGCCAAGTCATGAGGGAACTCCCATTCACAGTTGCTTCAAAGAGAATAAAATACCTAGGAATCCAACTTACAAGGTATGTGAAGGACCTCTTCAAGGAGAACTACAAACCACTGCTCAAGGAAATAAAAGAGGACACAAACAAATGGAAGAACATTCCCTGCTCATGGGTAGGAAGAATCAATATCGTGAAAATGGCCTCACTGCCCAAGGTAATTTGCAGATTCAATGCCATCCCCATCAAGCTACCAATGCCTTTCTTCACAGAATTGGAAAAAAACTACTTTAAAGTTCATATGGAACCAAAAAAGAACCTGCATCGCCAAGTCAATCCTAAGCCAAAAGAACAAAGCTGGAGGCATCACACTACCTGACTTCAAACTATACTACAAGGCTACAGTAACCAAAAGAGCATGGTACTGGTACCAAAACAGAGATATAGATCAATGGAACAGAACAGAGCCCTCAGAAATAACGCCGCAGATCTACAACTATCTGATCTTTGACAAACCTGAGAAAAACAAGCAATGGGGAAAGGATTCCCTATTTAATAAATGGTGCTGGGAAAACTGGCTAGCCATATGTAGAAAGCTGAAACTGGATCCCTTCCTTATACCTTATACAAAAATCAATTCAAGATGGATTAAAGACTTAAATGTTAGACCTAAAACCATAAAAACCCTAGAAGAAAACCTAGGCATTACCATTCAGGGCATAGGCATGGGCAAGGACTTCATGTCTAAAACACCAAAAGCAATGGCAACAAAAGACAAAATTGACAAATGGGATCTAATTAAACTAAAGAGCTTCTGCACAGCAAAAGAAACTACCATCAGAGTGAACAGGCAACCTATGAAATGGGAGAAAATTTTTGCAACCTACTCATCTGACAAAGGGCTAATATCCAGAATCTACAATAAACTCAAACAAATTGACAAGAAAAAAACAACCAAACCCCATCAAAAAGTGGGCAAAGGACATGAACAGACACTTCTCAAAAGAAGACATTTATGCAGCCAAAAAACACATGAAAAAATGTTCATCGTCACTGGCCATCAGAGAAATGCAAATCAAAACCACAATGAGATACCATCTCACACCAGTTAGAATGGCAATCATTAAAAAGTCAGGAAACAACAGGTGCTGGAGAGGATGTGGAGAAATAGGAACACTTTTACACTGTTGGTGGGACAGTAAACTAGTTCAACCATTGTGGAAGTCAGTGTGGCGATTCCTCAGGGATCTAGAACTGGAAATACCATTTGACCCAGCCATCCCATTACTGGGTATATACCCAAAGGACTATAAATCATGCTGCTATAAAGACACATGAACACGTATGTTTATTGCGGCATTATTCACAATAGCAAAGACTTGGAACCAACCCAAATGTCCAACAATGATAGACTGGATTAAGAAAATGTGGCACATATACACCATGGAATACTATGCAGCCATAAAAAATGATGAGTTTATGTCCTTTGTAGGGACACGGATGAAATTGGAAAATATCATTCTCAGTAAACTATCGCAAGAACAAAAAACCAAACACCGCATATTCTCACTCATAGGTGGGAATTGAACAATGAGATCACATGGACACAGGAAGGGGAATATCACACTCTGGGGACTGTTGTGGGGTGGGGGGAGTGGGGAGGGATAGCATTGGGAGATATAGTGGGTGTGGTGCACCAGCATGGCACATGCATACATATGTAACTAACCTGCACAATGTGCACATGTACCCTAAAACTTAAAGTATAATAGAAAAAAAAAAAAAAATAGGAGCACATTGAGACCTTAGCAAAGTTATCAAAAATCCACGAGTTTGAGCTGATTTATAGAGCACAGTATTACAGAATGGTGATTTCCTGTTTCCGGCTTTCCACAGTGCACCAATTAACTAATAATGTGTATCTTATCCACAGGCAGCAGAGGTCCTCCCCTGAACTATTAGCTTCAGCAACTTGCTCTCCTGTTCTTGTTTAAACACATGACATCACTTAATCATGAATTCCTTCCTGCAGAGGTTTAGAACAAAAACCAATGTGAAATATTTGTCAATTCCATCTGACCTTGTTAATTTTGAGCAACTCAGCAACTCTCATGCCAGCGTCCTGGATGATATTTGAACATGTTTCAGGTTCCAGTCATAGACTATGAAAGAACAAGGTCCAGTTCACACTTAGTTTTCCAAATACATAGTTCTTTGCATTTGCATATATTGCTTTACATTTTATAAAATATGATGTACTGTCTCATTGGATTCTTCCAGATAACCACAGTGCATTACATTTATAATTTATTTATTGATTTATTTGGAGATGGAGTCTCACTCTGTCGTCCAGGCTGGAGTGCAGTGGCACGATCTCAGCTCACTGCAACCTCCACCTCTCATGTTCAACCGATTCTCCATTCTCCTGCCTCAGCCTCCCAAGTAGCTGGGACTACAGGTGCACATCACCACGCCCAGTTAATTTTTGCATTTTTCTTTTTTCTTTTTTTTTTAGTAGAGATAGTGTTTCACCATGCTGGCCAGGATGGTCTTGAACTCTTGAGCTCATGATCTGCCCACCTTGGCCTCCCAGAGTGCTGGGATTACAGGCGTGAGCCACCTCTCCCAGTCCTACAGTTATAATTTTAAACATGGATAAAATAGGGTGCAGACATATTAAATCCAATAATTGGAAGTGGCCGTTTGGGGAACGTTGCCTAACGTGTAGTGCATACTTAATTACTAGTTTTTTGAATGGATACGTATTTGTGTTTGGAAGTAAGAAACATTGTATTGTTGTTGTTTTAATAATAGTTGTCTTTGTTTATGACATAGACAGGTGGGCAAGACATATTAACTAGGTTTCAAAACAGATTTAAATCCCAATTCTGTTGTTAACAAGATTTTATGGAATAACACTTATGGGGCCAGAAGCAGGATAAGATAAGGTAAGCCCTTCCTCCCTTAGTGAGTAAGATATCATTAGGACAGAGACATGAATGCAGAGAGTACTGATGTTGTGGCTAGTGGGAAGGCAAGGCCCAATTCTAGATAAGAAGGAAGAAAGCAAAAGTGGTTCTGGAATCAAGGTCTGTCTTTCCACCATATTCTTTTCTATTATTCAGCTGTTTCCTTCTCTAAACTATATTTGAATTTACTCAGCTGGAAAGCAGGAATTTCAGTTCCAGGTACTGTTTTATCCCAAGATTTTCTCTGATAGCTTGAGAGTCCTTTTCATGCATATGTTAACAAAGCATAATGTGGGCTCTATATAGTAAACTCAATTCCCTTTGGATACTCCTGCAATCCTACGCAGCCCAACACTCTATCCTGGGTGCCTTCTTAATTCCTCCATAATAAGGTATTAGAATCTCACTATGGCTCCATCAATATGAAGAGTTGGAAGTTTCCATGTGCTGTGAAAATTGTGTGTTCAACTACCCACGAGATCTACCCAAAGAAATGTCCTGCAATACCCCAAACTGAGGTATGAGACTAAAATGATTAAATTCCTCCATGTGACATCCTTCTCGTCTTCTTTTCCCAGTGACTCAAATCACAATCTTTGCCATTTATCTTCCTATATTAGTCAGGGTTCTCCACAGAACCAGTACGAATAGAATGGATAGATGGATAGATAGACAGACAGACAGGCAGGCAGGCAGATAGATAGATTGATAGATAGATAGATAGATAGATAGATAGATGTTAGATAAATAGATGGATAGCTAGAGATAGACAGATAGATAGATAGATGTTAGATAAATAGATGGATAGCTAGAGATAGACAGATGGACAGATAGATAGACATAAATATATATAGATAGAAATATGATTGAGAGAGATATATATATAGAGAGAGAGACGGATGGGGGAGAGAATGAGAGAGAGACAGAATAAAAGAGAGAGATGAGAGATAGACAGAAGATGACATTGATTATAAAAATTGGTTCCTGTGATTGCAGAAGTTGAGAAGTGCCACAATAAGCCATCGCAAGCTGGAGGACCAGGGAAGCCTGAGGTGTAATTCAGTCTTGAGTCCAAAGGCTTGAGAAACAAAACCGAGGGAATCCATGGTGTAATTCTCAGTCTGAGGCTAAAGGAATGAGAACTGAGTAGGACGGGTGGTGCAGTAGGGTGTGGAACACTGGTGTAAGTCCAAAGCCCTCAGGAGCAGGAGCTCCAATGTCCAAGGACAGGAGTGGGATATCCCAGCTCAAGAAAAAGAGAGAATTTTTCCCTTCCTCTCCCTTTTTTTACAGGCAATCAGTGGATTGGAGGATGCCCACTTGCATGGGGAGGTCAGATGTTTACTCAGCCCACCAATTCCAATGTTAGTCTCTTACAGAGAAACCCTCACAAACACACCCAGAACTAATATTTTCCCATTTATCCAGACATTCGTTAACCAAATCAAGTTGACACCACCACACTCCCCTTTCCTTAAACCTCACCTCCAGTTAACAAATGGGTTCCACTGATTTTCCTTAACATGTGCTCCATCATCTGTTTAATCTTCCTCCATCATCTGTTTAATCCAATCCTACTGTTACCATGTTTGTTCTGCTTCTCAAAATCTCCTTGTCTATCATCCCCTAAATATTTTCTCTCAATCACACTACATTGACAGTAGAGGTTTTCCAAAATTTAGCACTGTCCGTGGGTCTCCTGAAGTCAAATTCTTCAGTGGCTCCCAAGTGTCTACATGACAAAGAGCAAAACTGGTCTTCACAGCCTTCTATTGTTTTTCCTCACCAGCTTCCACAGCCTCCTCCCTTTATGATGCACCATTTTCTACTAGTGCATGTGACACACTGACAATTTCTATTTGCAAAAATTCACAATTATTTCATGCATCCATGTATCATGCAACTTGTACAAAAATTAGTTTTTTCCATGCTGCCTACAATACCCTTATCTACCTGCGAAGACAGTTCAAATATCATTTCTGCTGTGAAGGTTTTCCTAAACATCATCTCAAGCACCATGTAGAAGTGACCTCTTCACTGCAACTCCTTGAGGTCAAGGGACATGTCTAGCTTGTCTCTAAGGTCCGAGGGCCTCATGTAGTGTCAGATCTACAGTAGGCACTCGAGAGATGTCTAATGGATAATATAAATAAAGTTTTGAGTAATTGTGAAACAAATGATAAGGTTCTTATTTGCTCTTCCACAATTAACTGCTTCAGTAAGACCTAAGTGAATATGTTGCACTTTAAATACAAAGCCCATGAGCAGAACTCCCAAAAGTAACATAAATAGGAGTTCCCAATAAAGCTGTATTATCTATATTATCTGACACATTTCATTTACTAGGACAGAGCATTGTAATCCTGGGTCCTTTAGATGAACAATAACTATTTTTAATTTCAGTAAGAATAATTAGGCCAGGCGTGGTGGCTCATGCCTGTAATCCCAGGATTTTGGGAAGATAAGGTAGGTGGATCACGAGGTCAAGAGATCGAGACCATCCTGGCCAACATGGTGAAACCCCGTTTCTACTACAAATACAAAAATTAGCCAGATGTGGTGGCACGTGATGGTAGTCCCAGCTACTTGGGAGGCTGAGGCAGAAGAATTGCTTGAGCCCAGGAAGCATAGGTTGCAGTGAGCTGAGATCGCCTGCTGCTCTCCAGCCTGGTGATAGAGAGAGACTCTTCCATCTAAATAAATAAATAAATAAATAAATAAATAAATAAATAAATGCTCCACAGCTAGGTGATATTGTTAATTGTTAGGTAACAGTTATTACAGACAAGAAAGCCTAATTTACAAATCCAGGACAAAATTGCATCGTGTGGCTCTTGCCTGTAATCCCAGCACTATGGGAGGCTGAGGAGGGTGGATCACTTTGAGCTCAGGAATTCGAAACCAGCCTGGGTTACAAATATGTTTATTATATATATACACACACACATACACACACACACACACACACATGGAAATTAGCCAGCTGTGGTGGTGTGCAACTGTAGTCCCAGCAACCCGGGAGGCTGAGCCAGGAGGATGGTATGAGCCTGCCCAAGAGGTGGAGATTGCAGTGAGCCATAATTGTGTCACTGCCCTCCAGCCTGAGCAACAGAGCAGGACCTAGTCTCAAAACACAAAAACATAAGAGACAAAAAACAACAATGTCTTTCTACATCATTGAAACTGTTTGAATGAAAGCCTCGGTCGACTACTTAGTGAAATGTAAAACCGTGGACATTTGGAAAAGAAAATGATCCTACACAATATTTATTAAAACTTCCTCCCTGAGATTGTTTTTCCAAAAATAAGTAATGTGTGTGGCAAAAAAGTTAAGAGAATTTCAGGGTTACAATCTTGTTAACAACAGAATTGGGATTTAAATCTGTTTTGAAACCTAGTTAATATGTCTTGCCCACCTGTCTATGTCATAAACAAAGACAACTATTATTAAAACAACAACAATACAATGTTTCTTACTTCCAAACACAAATACGTATCCATTCAAAAAACTAGTAATTAAGTATGCACTACACGTTAGGCAACGTTCCCCAAACGGCCACTTCCAATTATTGGATTTAATATGTCTGCACCCTATTTTATCCATGTTTAAAATTATAACTGTAGGACTGGGAGAGGTGGCTCACGCCTGTAATCCCAGCACTCTGGGAGGCCAAGGTGGGCAGATCATGAGCTCAAGAGTTCAAGACCATCCTGGCCAGCATGGTGAAACACTATCTCTACTAAAAAAAAAAGAAAAAAGAAAAATGCAAAAATTAACTGGGCGTGGTGATGTGCACCTGTAGTCCCAGCTACTTGGGAGGCTGAGGCAGGAGAATGGAGAATCGGTTGAACATGAGAGGTGGAGGTTGCAGTGAGCTGAGATCGTGCCACTGCACTCCAGCCTGGACGACAGAGTGAGACTCCATCTCCAAATAAATCAATAAATAAATTATAAATGTAATGCACTGTGGTTATCTGGAAGAATCCAATGAGACAGTACATCATATTTTATAAAATGTAAAGCAATATATGCAAATGCAAAGAACTATGTATTTGGAAAACTAAGTGTGAACTGGACCTTGTTCTTTCATAGTCTATGACTGGAACCTGAAACATGTTCAAATATCATCCAGGACGCTGGCATGAGAGTTGCTGAGTTGCTCAAAATTAACAAGGTCAGATGGAATTGACAAATATTTCACATTGGTTTTTGTTCTAAACCTCTGCAGGAAGGAATTCATGATTAAGTGATGTCATGTGTTTAAACAAGAACAGGAGAGCAAGTTGCTGAAGCTAATAGTTCAGGGGAGGACCTCTGCTGCCTGTGGATAAGATACACATTATTAGTTAATTGGTGCACTGTGGAAAGCCGGAAACAGGAAATCACCATTCTGTAATACTGTGCTCTATAAATCAGCTCAAACTCGTGGATTTTTGATAACTTTGCTAAGGTCTCAATGTGCTCCTATTTTTTTTTTTTTTTCTATTATACTTTAAGTTTTAGGGTACATGTGCACATTGTGCAGGTTAGTTACATATGTATGCATGTGCCATGCTGGTGCACCACACCCACTATATCTCCCAATGCTATCCCTCCCCACTCCCCCCACCCCACAACAGTCCCCAGAGTGTGATATTCCCCTTCCTGTGTCCATGTGATCTCATTGTTCAATTCCCACCTATGAGTGAGAATATGCGGTGTTTGGTTTTTTGTTCTTGCGATAGTTTACTGAGAATGATATTTTCCAATTTCATCCGTGTCCCTACAAAGGACATAAACTCATCATTTTTTATGGCTGCATAGTATTCCATGGTGTATATGTGCCACATTTTCTTAATCCAGTCTATCATTGTTGGACATTTGGGTTGGTTCCAAGTCTTTGCTATTGTGAATAATGCCGCAATAAACATACGTGTTCATGTGTCTTTATAGCAGCATGATTTATAGTCCTTTGGGTATATACCCAGTAATGGGATGGCTGGGTCAAATGGTATTTCCAGTTCTAGATCCCTGAGGAATCGCCACACTGACTTCCACAATGGTTGAACTAGTTTACTGTCCCACCAACAGTGTAAAAGTGTTCCTATTTCTCCACATCCTCTCCAGCACCTGTTGTTTCCTGACTTTTTAATGATTGCCATTCTAACTG
The DNA here is from genome assembly GCF_000001405.40 of Homo sapiens. NCBI lineage: Eukaryota > Metazoa > Chordata > Mammalia > Primates > Hominidae > Homo > Homo sapiens. The sequence goes on from NC_000024.10 coordinate 14,024,872, forward strand.
GTGTGAGATGGTATCTCATTGTGGTTTTGATTTGCATTTCTCTGATGGCCAGTGACGATGAACATTTTTTCATGTGTTTTTTGGCTGCATAAATGTCTTCTTTTGAGAAGTGTCTGTTCATGTCCTTTGCCCACTTTTTGATGGGGTTTGGTTGTTTTTTTCTTGTCAATTTGTTTGAGTTTATTGTAGATTCTGGATATTAGCCCTTTGTCAGATGAGTAGGTTGCAAAAATTTTCTCCCATTTCATAGGTTGCCTGTTCACTCTGATGGTAGTTTCTTTTGCTGTGCAGAAGCTCTTTAGTTTAATTAGATCCCATTTGTCAATTTTGTCTTTTGTTGCCATTGCTTTTGGTGTTTTAGACATGAAGTCCTTGCCCATGCCTATGCCCTGAATGGTAATGCCTAGGTTTTCTTCTAGGGTTTTTATGGTTTTAGGTCTAACATTTAAGTCTTTAATCCATCTTGAATTGATTTTTGTATAAGGTATAAGGAAGGGATCCAGTTTCAGCTTTCTACATATGGCTAGCCAGTTTTCCCAGCACCATTTATTAAATAGGGAATCCTTTCCCCATTGCTTGTTTTTCTCAGGTTTGTCAAAGATCAGATAGTTGTAGATCTGCGGCGTTATTTCTGAGGGCTCTGTTCTGTTCCATTGATCTATATCTCTGTTTTGGTACCAGTACCATGCTCTTTTGGTTACTGTAGCCTTGTAGTATAGTTTGAAGTCAGGTAGTGTGATGCCTCCAGCTTTGTTCTTTTGGCTTAGGATTGACTTGGCGATGCAGGTTCTTTTTTGGTTCCATATGAACTTTAAAGTAGTTTTTTTCCAATTCTGTGAAGAAAGGCATTGGTAGCTTGATGGGGATGGCATTGAATCTGCAAATTACCTTGGGCAGTGAGGCCATTTTCACGATATTGATTCTTCCTACCCATGAGCAGGGAATGTTCTTCCATTTGTTTGTGTCCTCTTTTATTTCCTTGAGCAGTGGTTTGTAGTTCTCCTTGAAGAGGTCCTTCACATACCTTGTAAGTTGGATTCCTAGGTATTTTATTCTCTTTGAAGCAACTGTGAATGGGAGTTCCCTCATGACTTGGCTCTCTGTCTGTCTGTTGTTGGTGTATAAGAATGCTTGTGATTTTTGTACATTGATTTTGTATCCTGAGACTTTGCTGAAGTTGCTTATCAGCTTAAGGAGATTTTGGGCTGAGACAATGGGGTTTTCTAGATATACAATCATGTCGTCTGCAAAAAGGGACAATTTGACTTCCTCTTTTCCTAATTGAATACCCTTTATTTCCTTCTCCTGCCTAATTGCCCTGGCCAGAACTTCCAAACCTATGTTGAATAGGAGTGGTGAGAGAGGGCATCCCTGTCTTGTGCCAGTTTTCAAAGGGAATGCTTCCAGTTTTTGCCCATTCAGTATGATATTGGCTGTGGCTTTGTCATAGATAGCTCTTATTATTTTGAAATACATCCCATCAATACCTAATTTATTGAGAGCTTTTAGCATGAAGTGTTGTTGAATTTTGTCAAAGGCTTTTTCTGCATCTATTGAGATAATCATGTGGTTTTTGTCTTTGGCTCTGTTTATATGCTGGATTACATTTATTGATTTGCGTATATTGAACCAGCCTTGCATCCCAGGGATGAAGCCCACTTGATCATGGTGGATAAGCTTTTTGATGTGCTGCTGGATTCGGTTTGCCAGTATTTTATTGAGGATTTTTGCATCAATGTTCATCAAGGATATTGGTCTAAAATTCTCTTTTTTTGTGGTGTCTCTGCCTGGCTTTGGTATCAGAATGATGCTGGCCTCATAAAATGAGTTAGGGAGGATTCCCTCTTTTTCTATTGATTGGAATAGTTTCAGAAGGAATGGTACCAGTTCCTCCTTGTACCTCTGGTAGAATTCAGCTGTGAATCCATCTGGTCCTGGACTCTTTTTGGTTGGTAAGCTGTTGATTATTGCCACAATTTCAGCTCCTGTTATTGGTCTATTCAGAGATTCAACTTCTTCCTGGTTTAGTCTTGGGAGAGTGTATGCATCAAGGAATTTATCCATTTCTTCTAGATTTTCTAGTTTATTTGCATAGAGGTGTTTGTAGTATTCTCTGATGGTAGTTTGTATTTCTGTGGGATCGGTGGTGATATCCCCTTTATCATTTTTTATTGTGTCTATTAGATTCTTCTTTTTTCCTTTATTAGTCTTGCTAGTGGTCTATCAATTTTGTTGATCCTTTCAAAAAACCAGCTCCTGGATTCATTAATTTTTTTAACGGTTTTTTGTGTCTCTATTTCCTTCAGTTCTGCTGTGATCTTAGTTATTTCTTGCCTTCTGCTAGCTTTTGAATGTGTTTGCTCTTGCTTTTCTAGTTCTTGTAATTGTGATGTTAGGGTGTCAGTTTTGGATCTTTCCTGCTTTCTCTTGGGGGCATTTAGTGCTATAAATTTCCCTCTACACACTGCTTTGAATGCGTCCCAGAGATTCTGGTATGTTGTGTCTTTGTTCTCATTGGTTTCAAAGAACATCTTTATTTCTGCCTTCATTTCGTTATGTAGCCAGTAGTCATTCAGGAGCAGGTTGTTCAGTTTCCATGTAGTTGAGCAGTTTTGAGTGAGATTCTTAATCCTGAGTTCTAGTTTGATTGCACTGTGGTCTGAGAGACAGTTTGTTATAATTTCTGTTCTTTTACATTTGCTGAGGAGAGCTTTACTTCCAAGTATGTGGTCAATTTTGGAATAGGTGTGGTGTGGTGCTGAAAAAAAATGTATATTCTGTTGATTTGGGGTGGAGAGTTCTGTAGATGTCTATTAGGTCTGCTTGGTGCAGAGCTGAGTTCAATTCCTGGGTATCCTTGTTGACTTTCTGTCTCATTGATCTGTCTAATGTTGACAGTGGGGTGTTAAAGTCTCCCATTATTAATGTGTGGGAGTCTAGGTCTCTTTGTAGGTCACTCAGGACTTGCTTTATGAATCCTGGTGCTCCTGTATTGGGTGCATATATATTTAGGATAGTTAGCTCTTCTTGTTGAATTGATCCCTTTACCATTATGTAATGGCCTTCTTTGTCTCTTTTGATCCTTGTTGGTTTAAAGTCTGTTTTATCAGAGACTAGGATTGCAACCCCTGCCTTTTTTTCTTTTCCATTTGCTTGGTAGATCTTCCTCCATTCTGTTATTTTGAGCCTATGTGTGTCTCTGCACGTGAAATGGGTTTCCTGAATACAGCACACTGATGGGTCTTGACTCTTTATCCAATTTGCCAGTCTGTGTCTTTTAATTGGAGCAGTTAGTCCATTTACATTTAAAGTTAATATTGTTATGTGTGAATTTGATCCTGTCATTATGATGTTAGCTGGTTCTTTTGCTCGTTAGTTGATGCAGTTTCTTCCTAGTCTTGATGGTCTTTACATTTTGGCATGATTTTGCAGCGGCTGGTAGCGGTTGTTCCTTTCCATGTTTAGCGCTTCCTTCAGGAGCTCTCTTAGGGCAGGCCTGGTGGTGACAAAATCTCTCAGCATTTGCTTGTCTGCAAAGTATTTTATTTCTCCTTCGCTTATGAAGCTTAGTTTGGCTGGATATGAAATTCTGGGTTGAAAATTCTTTTCTTTAAGAATGTTGAATATTGGCCCCCACTCTCTTCTGGCTTGTAGGGTTTCTGCCGAGAGATCCACTGTTAGTCTGATGGGCTCCCCTTTGAGGGTAACCCGACCTTTCTCTCTGGCTGCCCTTAACATTTTTTCCTTCATTTCAACTTTGGTGAATCTGACAATTATGTGTCTTGGAGTTGCTCTTCTCGAGGAGTATCTTTGTAGCGTTCTCTGTATTTCCTGAATCTGAACATTGGCCTGCCTTGCTAGATTGGGGAAGTTCTCCTGGATAATATCCTGCAGAGTGTTTTCCAACTTGGTTCCATTCTCCCCATCCTTTCAGGTACACCAATCAGACGTAGATTTGGTCTTTTCACATAGTCCCATATTGCTTGGAGGCTTTGCTCATTTCTTTTTATTCTTTTTTCTCTAAGCTTCCCTTCTCACTTCATTTCATTCATTTCATCTTCCATCGCTGATACCCTTTCTTCCAGTTGATCGCATCGGCTCCTGAGGCTTCTGCATTCTTCACGTAGTTCTCGAGCCTTGGTTTTCAGCTCCATCAGCTCCTTTAAGCACTTCTCTGTATTGGTTATTCTAGTTATACATTCTTCTAAACCTTTTTCAAAGTTTTCAACTTCTTTGCCTTTGGTTTGAATGTCCTCCCGTAGCTCAGAGTAATTTGATCGTCTGAAGCCTTCTTCTCTGAGCTCGTCAAAGTCATTCTCCATCCAGCTTTGTTCCGTTGCTGGTGAGGAACTGCGTTCCTTTGGAGGAGGAGAGTCGCTCTGCTTTTTAGAGTTTCCATTTTTTCTGTTCTGTTTTTTCCCCATCTTTGTGGTTTTATCTACTTTTGGTCTTTGATGATGGTGATATACAGATGGGTTTTTGGTGTGGATGTCCTTTCTGTTTGTTAGTTTTCCTTCTAACAGACAGGACCCTCAGCTGCAGGTCTGTTGGAATACCCTGCCGTGTGAGGTGTCAGTGTTCCCCTGCTGGGGGTTGCCTCCCAGTTAGGCTGCTCAGGGGTCAGGGGTCAGGGACCCACTTGAGGAGGCAGTCTGCCCGTTCTCAGATCTCCAGCTGTGCGCTGGGAGAACCACTGCTCTCTTCAAAGCTGTCAGACAGGGACATTTAAGTCTGCAGAGGTTACTGCTGTCTTTTTGTTTGTCTGTGCCCTGCCCCCAGAGGTGGAGCCTACAGAGGCAGGCAGGCCTCCTTGAGCTGTGGTGGGGTCCGCCCAGTTCGAGCTTCCCGGCTGCTTTGTTTACCTAAGCAAGCCTGGGCAATGGCGGGCGCCCCTCCCCCAGCCTCGCTGCCGCCTTGCAGTTTGATCTCAGACTGCTGTGCTAGCAATCAGTGAGACTCAGTGGGCGTAGGACCCTCCGAGCCAGGTGCGGGTTATAATCTCGTGGTGCGCCGTTTTTTAAGCCCGTTGGAAAAGCGCAGTATTCGGGTGGGAGTGACCCAATTTTCCATGTGCCCTCTGTCACCCCTTTCTTTGACTCAGAGAGGGAACTCCCTGACCCCTTGGCTTCCCAAGTGAGGCAATGCCTCGCCCTGCTTCGGCTCGCGCATGGTGTGCACACTCACTGACCTGTGCCCACTGTCTGGCACTCCCTAGAGAGATGAACCCGGTACCTCAGATGGAAATGCAGAAATCACCCTCTTCTGCTCCGCTCACGCTGGGAGCTGTAGACCGGAGCTGTTCCTATTCGGCCATCTTGGCTCCTCCCTTTTTTTTCTTAAAGGAAGAAATTAAATAATCTGTATTTGAGATAATATAATCGCCAATGCAAAACAAACCTAAAGACAAAATAAATCTTTCTATAACTAAGTAAATCTAGCATGATTGCAGAATACAAATTGCATATATAGTAGCCAGTCTTATCTTTAAATAACAGAAAATAAAAATTAGAATTATAATTGAAATACTGATATGGTTTGGCTGTGCCCCCACCCAATTCTCATCTTGAGTTTATAGCTCCCATAATTCCCATGTGTTGTGGGAGGGAGCCGGTGGCAGATAATTGAATCATGGGGGCAGTTTCTCCATACTGTTCTCATAGTAATAAGTCTCACAAGTTCTGGTGGTTTTAAAGTGGTTTCCCCTTTTGCTTGGCTCTCATTCTCTCTTGCCTCATGCCATGTATTAGTGTGTCAGGTTGCCTAGGCTACAGTCTTCTGTCATTCGATCTAGTTGTTGCTGTGAAAGGACTTTGCAGATATAAAGTATGAACAGCTGCTAAAACATTTGCATATTATATCTGTCTATCTATAGATTGATTTGTTATCAGGAATTCACTTAAGTAATTGTAGACCTTAGTAAGGAGGGGAAGATCACCAACAGGCTTAAACTTCACAGGCACAAGCTGAAACTATTGTCCACAAGTAGAATTTCTCCTTCCTCCTCTTTCTCCTCTTCTTCCTCTTTCTCTCTGCTCTCTCATCCTTCTCTATCTTTTTTCTTTCTTTCTCCTCAGACTAGCTTTTAAGGCCTTTCAGTGTAAAGTCAGGCCCACCCAGGTTGCATAAGATAATCTCTTTTACTTAAAATAGGCTTCTATTTCTAATCAGCTTCCTTTTTTCTTGAATTCAGGTGTCTGTGTTTATTTGCAAAAGTTCCCGAGATCCTATAATTAGCAACCTCCATATGAATATTTTTGAAACCAGCCCAGCCCACATATTGGGTAAAACTGTACCTGAAAGCATAAATGTTTTCAAAATTGAGTAGAAGATGATCAGGTATTACTATCCTTTTGGAATAAGAAAAGAAGTCATAAAGTGCATTTCTGGCAAGATAAAGGTGTGTGCACAATCCATTGCTATGACTTGTAAAATATTCTCTACAGCATAAAATATTCCACTATAGAACATTCTTGCCTAGTTTGGATGTAGCTGTTTTTTCCTTAGAGTACAGTTGCTCTTCATGTTTTATTTTGAAGTTCATCTGTCCCCCAAAGTGAAGAATATTGAATGCTAAAATATCAACTTCTAGTTTTACTTTAAAAAGTGAAAGAAAATAATCCTCTGAGGCACATCGACTGCATAATATTTGCACATTCCAAAATAATTAAATAAAATAAATCTAGCTAGTGTCAATACAAGAGCTGTTTCTGCAACCAATAAGTTAATAATAATTAGGCTCAGACCTCTATCTTAGTGGTCTGTGACCCAACACAAGTTTTTAACTTTGCCAAAATCGTGAAGGTCAGAGAAGAGCAAATAAACAGTGAAACGGAGAAAGTTGAATTACAATTGAACAATTTGAATATTGAAAGCATCATAAGTAGTCAATTAAGAAGGTCAGTTTTTCAAAAGCTTTAGGAAACATGAAAAGTACCATAAAATGTGAAATGCCTCCAGATACTGCTAAATGCCCCCTGGGAGGGCAAAATCACCTCTGGTTTAGAACCACTAATAAGTAATCCAGTGGCTGTGAAAATATCACTCATGTGAAACAAAATATTGATAAGTCAGTTTATCATTAGCATTTATACTTATCCATGTGTATATTTGTTTTCTTTTTTCTTTTTTACTTCCTTGTGTGTTCAAAGACAGATGTTGCTCTGTCACCCATGCTGGAGTAGAGCCGTGCAATGAAGACCCACTGCAGCCTTGAACTCCTGGGTTCAAGCAATCCTCCCACTTCAGCCTGTGTTGCCCAGGCTGATCTTGAACTCCTACCCTCAAGTGATCCTCCCACCTCAAAGCACTGGGATTACAGGCATGATCCACTTCACCTAGGCTGCTTTCATCGTTTGTTGAGCCATAGTTCCAAAAGATAGTTATCAATAACACTTTGGTGAATAAAAACTTAATAATGACAGAACAGGCAGAAACTCCATCCCTCGTTCTTATTGACTCTTGGATCATTAGGCTGCAGTAATAGCCTCGTAGAGGTATCAAGAAGGAGAGAAAACAGGCCCTGCTCTTTGTTCTTTCTACATTCTATTGAAAGCTACTACATTACCTTTAAGCCACTTGGATTTTAACCTCCTGGCCCTACTCCCACAGAGCTGCTTCCTGACCTCCACGGAAATGGTGCCTTTGGTTAGATCCTTACATAATTGTGCTACCTTGGGCAAGTCCCTTTGTCTCTCTAAAAATAAATTTCTTTCCCTATTGGTTCCATATTTCATACTTTATAACCCTTGGTTTATGTGGCTCAGTAAATGTAATCTTCACTTAGAAGTGCCTCATTTGCTGTGAGGAGGATAATAGCAGTGATGCAAAGGTCATATTTTGCAAACTTTACTGATGTGCTTCCGTTTTTGCATTTCTGTGAGCATATCCTTCTCGCTAGGCATCCTGAGGCATTCTGAGGTATCCAGAGGCCTAAGGCAGAGAGAGTGGCTTCTGAACTATTGCTACAAAATGCAGAATATCGAGCTACTGAGTAAAGTGCAAAGGGAAATAAAGAGGCCGTGTTGAGCTATTGACAAGCACAGGGGTTTTTTTTTCTTTCTTTCTTTAGAGACAACAGCTGTAAAGACCATAATTTGTTGAGAGAGACAAAAGGATTCTTTAAGTCAAAATTTCCCAGATTGTAACCTTTAAGATTTAACCTATTATGAGGCCACACACACAGTTTCTCTCTCTTTCTCTACATGCACACACATAGACATACACACGGGCACACACATACACAAGATATAACAGATTTCAATGTTATGCCAAGAGTAAAGAGAACTCAGGATACAAGGTAATGTTTTGTAATCCTGGCTGCATGTTGGAAATGATTTGCAAAACACTATTTCATGTAGGACATACCCCGAACAGTGACTGAGAATCTGCATGACCCAAACATCAGCATTTTTTAAAAGCTTCCCTGGTACAGTCAAGTTTAAGAATCACTGATGTTGGACAAAAAAACAAGCTGTTTCTTCCAAACCAGGGACATGCAGGAAGAAGATGTGGATGAGAGTAAAACTGACAGTAGGAGCATATAACTTGATCTCCTTCCTTGGGGTACCGCTGAGATGAGTTTACATGGGTTGAGAGTCACACTGGTGGGTGGAGTGCTGCTTGCTCTTTTGGAAAGTGGGAGAAGACATTTGCACAGATGTCCCACAGCAACGAGGGTGGCCACCTGTGGAGGCAGTATGTATGTCTGTGTTAGCAGAAGATTCTACTCCCTGTATCACTGGGGAGAAGTACAGTTGGCAGGCAGTACAGACTGGTGGACTTCCCACGGGGTTGCTGCAGGCGGAGTTGCCTGCTAACAACCAGAGGCAGAGCAGAATGCAGGGGCTAGCAATGGAAGAGGAGTCGCCACCAGACATCTAGTAGCAGCAAGAGCTCAAGTGGGGCTAAGTCCATAGGGAAAGACCATTAGACCTCCAACATGCTAGAAGAGACAAAACTAAGAAATATTCCAAGGCAAAAACTGCATATCAAATGGAGGAGTTTTGTGGCTGGATGGAGACAAACCCCACACAGAGGGAACAAGCCATGCACATACAGGGACCAGAGAGAGCCCAGGGCCCCCATCCCATTGTACAAAGTGACACCTTCATAAACTTATCCACCATCTTGGGGAAGAGGAAGGTGAGTAGGGCTCTCACCAGCTGAGCATCTACCCAAAGGGTCTAAGGTACCCATAAGTGATTGCTTAAAACAGGGGTGATAAGAAATTCCACTTTACTAGAGCAGATGTATAAACTGAAAGGAACTTGCTTAGCAAGAGACTGAAATATTTTAAATCGGAAATTAGGTTTTCTACCTATTGTGTGCTGTTTATAGAGAAGATTTGACTTTCCACAGAAAACTAAAAGGTCATATTTTTAAAATCAGTATGAGTAGAATGTAAGTTAAGTGAATGCATTCTATGCGTAGAATGCAAGTTAAGTTTAGCAGGGAGGATGATGAGCTATTATTGGTACATAAGTGTGAATTCCTCTGCTACAAAGAGAAGTAGGAGGATAGATAAATAAATTAGTTACTCTCCTCTTTTGCAAATTTGGAAATAATGTGAATAAATGTTCAACTCTGTTACTGTAACTGTTTTCAAGAAACTCACCAGCACTTTTATTCAAAAGCTTGTCATTATCAAAATGAAAGTGTAATCATAGATACAGCAGCTGCGTGGGAACATATTTGCTTCAGATAATGCTCCAACCATTAAAAAAAAAAGAAAAGAAAGAAAGAAAGAAAGAAAGAAAGAAAGAAAGAAAGAAAGAAAGAAAAGAATGGCAGCTGTCACTATGTTAATCTTTGCATTAACGGCATGACAAGTAATGCAATCCAAGGTTGGCCTGCCTGGGGTGAATGTGTGATAGCTCAGAATGCTGGACCCCCTTGGCAGTGACCATTGTGTTGTTTAAATGGCAGAAAAAGTCAAAATATGGCAAGGTGAGAACTTGCATGTAATAAGATTCCTTCACATCTTGGAACTTTTCTGAGATGCTGAAGCTGAGGTGGCCAGGTCATTAAACAGCTCCAAAGGCTGAACCAGATTGCTTAGAAAAACCCAGTGGGAGCCTTGGACATTTATTCACCCATTGAATAAAGGAAGTCTCATGGAATCAGAAGAGATGCACAACATTAATCTTGCAAGATACACACGTTTAAAATCTAGAAGAGACAAGTGAAGGTGAAAAAGTGACAGGAAAAATGTAAGAGAGGGACTGCCTAAAAAAAGAGTGAATGCCCAAAATAATGGATCAGTAAATAGTTGCATGGATTCAACAAGAAATAAGCATCAAATAAAAATAAATAATGACAGAAATAGATTATAACCTGTTTAATAAAAGGACTCTATGAGCCCAGGTTATACGTTACTGTGCAATGTCAATTGATAGAATGTAGAAGAAATGGTGGAATTAGAATATTGCTATTTCATAATGATAACTATAATAATTCATTCAAGAAATATTAATGCCCGGCACTTTGGGAGGCTGAGGTGGGAGAATTGCTTGAGGCCAGGAGTTCAAGAGCAGCCTGGGAAATGCGGCAAGACCTGATCTCTGCAAAGACAATTAAAAATTAGCTGGGCCTGATGACTGTCCCTGTAGTCCCAGCTACTCAGGAGGCTGAGGTAGGAGGATCAGTTGATCCTAGGAGTTGGAGGCTGCAATGAGCTATGATTGCACCTCTGTACTTCAGCCTGGGCAAGAGAGCAAGACCCTGCCTTAAAAAAAAAAAAAAGAGAGAGAGAGAAAAAGAAATATCAATAGATATTTGTGTACAATATGGGTACAAATTTGACGAGGAATGTAATATTTACATGGATACCAAAGTACCTCTGTACAAAGTTCTGTTGATTACTACAGAAAAACTTGGAATACTCTGCCCTAATGAAGTGATCAAGATGGACAAGCCAGGAGACAAATCTACCACCAGACGGGATGCAGGGCAAAGAACACAGAATGACATTTGTAGTGTTCCTGCTACATATGCATAATCCAAATCTAATGATGAGCAAACACAAGAAAAAATGACGAGGCAAACTAACAGGCATGAAACCTTCAAAAACATCAAGGTCATGACAGTCCAAGAAAGGCTAAGAGACAATTTCAGATTAAAAGAGACATCCCCCCACCACAAAAAAAAAAAAAAAAAAAAAAAAAAAAAAATGCAGCTAAATACAATGCATGATTCCCTATTGAATCTTTCCACTGTGAGGGACATTATGAGGACAACTGGCAAACTTTGAAGGGGATCTGTGGCAGTTAACATGCCAAGTTTTAAGTTTCTGATTTTGGTGGCTTTACTGTGATTATGTAAGAGAATGTGCTTCTTTCCAGGAAATACACACACAAGTATGTCCACAACTGTCTTCAAACGGCTTAGGAAAAATAAAAGTTCATGGATTTCTTTGCAATTATTCTTTTCTTTTCTTTTTTTTTTTTTTTTTTTTTTTTTTTGAGACGGAGTCTCGCTCTGTCGCCCAGGCTGGAGTGCAGTGGTGCGATCTCGGCTCACTGCAAGCTCCGCCTCCCGGGTTCACGCCGTTCTCTTGCTTCAGCCTCCCTAGTACCTGGGACTACAGGCGCCCGCCACCACGGCCACCTAATTTTTTGCATTTTTTAGTAGAGACAGGGGTTTCAACATATTAGCCAGGATGGTCTCGATCTCCTGACCTCCTGATCCGCCCACCTCAGCCTCCCAAAGTGTTGGGATTACAGGCGTGAGCCACCGCGCCCGGCCCAATATCCTCCCACTTTTTTTTTTTTTTTTTTTTTTCCCCCCCGAGTGGGAGTCTCGCTCTGTCGCCCAGTGTGGAGGGCAGTGGCACATCTCGGCTCACTGCAAGCTCTGCCTCCCGTGTTCACGCCATTCTCCTGCCTCAGCCTCCAGAGTAGCTGGGACTACAGGCGCCCGTCACCACGCCCGGCTAATTTTTTTTGTATTCTTGGTACAGACGGGGTTTCACCGTGTTAGTCAGGATGGTCTCGATCTCCTGACCTCGTGATCCACCCGCCTCATCCTCCCAAAGCGCTGGGATTACAGGCGCAATTATTCTTAAGATTAAGAGTATTTCAAAAATTTTAAAAATATATTATACATGGATTAAATCAATGAGAATTTAAAAAGATGTCAGAAAAATAAGTTTTGAATAACCAGAAATATTCTGTTAATACATTGTTGAAAATACATATTCAGAGTCACTACAAATAACTTAGGAAACAAGTAAACCTTTATGTCTGCAGTAAAAAAAAAATACTTGCTATTCAAAGAAATTGAATTTGTTTAGGAGTGTGAATGAAGAAATATTACATTAGAGGAAAAAGTACTCTTGTTTTTTCACATTATTTTTAAAAAGGCAAGGATAAATAGCTATATTGAAGGGACAATTATCTTCTTTAAAAATATTTTTTTCAGAGTGAGACTGTTTAATCTGATTGAGATTTTTAAAAATTGACCTGCATGTATATGGTACACATATTATTCAAGTCCAAATAGCTTTACATCAATGATAGTGATCAAACAAATTGGTTTGATCGTAACATCTTGAGGCACATTAATTTTGAATGCCTAGTCAGGTAGAGTTCAAACAGCCTAGATAGGTATCTGTAGCAACCCCTGGAGGAATTTTTAACTGGGCAATAAAAGTATGTTAGAGTGATTGTGCTGTGTACATCTTCAATAAATTGTTGTGATATAATTTGCCAAGTCTCCCACACTGTGGAATTAGTACAATCCTTCTATGCAGAGGGCATCAATCTAGCTCAGTGGTTCCCACCCAGGGGTGACGTTGTCCCCCAGGGCACATTAGGCAACGTCTGGAGGCATTTTTAGTTGTCACCAGGGAGGGTGATGTTCCTGGCATCGAGTGCATGGAGGCCAGGGATGCTGCAAAATATTCACAAGGCCCAAGACAATCCCACCACAGAGGATGATCCAGCTCCAAATGTCAGTAGCGCTGTGACTGAGGGCCACTGACCTCGGTTCTTGTGCAAACCACCCACTTTGGGGTAAGTTTAGCATGGGCAGGTCCCAGGGAAGTTAAAAGCAAGAAAGCCAAGTGGGGGTAAACAGATTGTTCTTTCAGTGGATGGAGGGAACAGCCAATCTTGCTTGGGAAACACAAACACACTTGCTTTGGAAACAAAAGTTTACTAATTATATTTATGTCTCTCCAGGTTATAAGATGGAAGCTTCTCACAGTGGAAGTTTTATTTGTTAATTTTCTGAATAAAGCTAATAAAATTTGTAGGTATCAAGACCCACACTTGGATATAAACTGGGTTTCCTTTTTAGACTCCACAAATTGATGCGGAGATGCTGTGAGTGGAAGGTGATCTTAACTTTTTTTTTTTTTTTTTTTTTTGAGTCAACTGCATAAGCAATAAAGATTGTTAACAAAATAAAACTTTGTATTTTTCCCCATATCCCTACAATCTGTCTCTAGATGGAATATTTCTTTTTCTCCTGGCCTTTGCTGTACTGATTGTTTTACTCCATAAGCCTTGATTATGTCATAGGAGAATTTATGTAGCCGCAAGAAACAAGGAATCCAACCCAAATGGAAAACCCTCCTGGTCTTTGTCACTCAGAATTCAACATGCTGTTTTCTTTGTCCTTCAGGGACTACCAACACTTGTATCTTGATCATAGATTTCAGCTTACTATCCCTTACTTCCTGACTTTTACATTCAGCTTGCCATATATTGATAGATTGCAATTGCCAAATTTTCTTTTCTCCAGACATGCCATAGAATCTATTAAGTTGATTTTATTCTTGTCTGTAGGACAAATTCTTCTGTATTCATAATCCAGTTTAGCAGAAACTTATATTTATGTCTAACCAACATCTACGTCACAAACTTAGCTTCTGACTTTTCGTGATAGCTTCTGACAGTAAGGTGGGCCAGAGGAAAAAAAAATATGGAATACAGAAACCTAGAACAAAGGGAAATTGCAAATTCCCTTGAATCTGCTTCTGTTGCTTACTTCCATTAGTCTGTATCTGCCTATAGCTGTCATCCAATTTTTACCTTCAAGCTCTTTGTGTTTTCTTTTTATTCTTCTTTTTTAAGAATTCTGAACCCTCTGCCAGGAGCTATCCCCTTCCCTGCCAATCAGATGAGCTTATTCTGCTCCTTCAGGTATTTATTTGATTCCTGAACCATAGCTCCACATAACCCTACAGACTTGTTCTAAAAAAAAAAAAAAAAAAAAAATTCTGGGCGCGGTGGCTCACACCTGTAAGCACATCACTTTAAGGGGCCGAGGTGGGTGGATCATGCGGTCAAGAGATCCAGACAATCCTGGCCAACATGGTGAAACCCTGTTTCTACTAAATATACAAAAATTAGCTGGGCATGGTGGCACATGCCTATAGTCCTAGCTACGCAGGAGGCTGGGACAGGAGAATTGCCTGAACACGGGAGGCAGAGGTTGCAGTGAGTTGAAATCATGCCACTGCCCTCCAGCCTGGCAACAGAGTGAGACTCCATCTCAAAAATAAATAAATAAATGAATAAATAAATAAATAAATAAATAAATACCATCAGGCACCTCTGAAGCAGTTTTTTCCTCTATTAAGCGAACAATTGAATAATAGCAACCTTAGAAGCCAAGTAAATGTTGCCAAAACAAAGTGTTTGCTTTGCCAGAAAATATTAATGAAAGCATTTCAATAGCAGTCATAAAACAAATACCTGCAAAATGGGCAAAAAAACACATCAAATATGTTTTGCCATCCTTTCGAAGCACCCGGTTTTGCTTATGCTTAATTTTTTGACCTAACCACTAACCCAGTAGATATTGTGTGAAATTATATTTCCTAACTCTCCCTACCACCCACAGAAAATTCAGTAAAAAGACTTTGTTTGCCAAAAATAGGATATTTGTAGTTAATATACACCCATATCGAATTATTTGAAGTTGCTTAGAATTCAATATGCACACTGGCAATCTGATAGAAAAGGATTGAAAAAATGTATATATGCACTGGGCACATTACAATATAGCTCCAGCAAGTCTTGATTTGATGTAAGCCGCCTAGAGTATAAAATATATATATATATATATAATATTTATATATTTATATGTATATGAATATATATTTATATGTATATGAATATATATATTTACATATATTTATATGTATATGAATATATATATTTACATATATTTATATATATTTATATGTGTATAATTATATATATTTATATGTGTATAATTATATATATTTATATGTGTATAAGTATATATATTTATATATTTATATGTATATATATTTATATGTATTTATATGTATATATATTTATATATTTATATGCATATATTTATATATTTATATGTGTATATATTTATATATATTTATATGTGTATATATTTATATATATTTATATGTGTATATATTTATATATATTTATATGTGTATATATTTATATATATTTATATGTATATAAATATACATACACACACACACACACACACACATATTCCCACTGAAATTCTTATCTGGAATGAGTGTTTTTTTGACCAGTTATAACAACTGCAATCTTGATGACTGCAGTCCCATAGGATTCATTCTTGTATTTGACAAGAAATCTTGTCAAAATCTATTCATAGATGAGTCAACTTGCTTAACTGACATGAAAAAGGACTACATTTTGTCCAAACTATGATTGAATTTAACAATAATGCTTAGTCCCGTATCATCTATTTTAATATATATTATGCTATAAAATATATCTTCAGAAATATTTAAAATGTAACCCTATCTGGTCTTTTCTCCTGACATTTGTAACACCTAATACTTCTAATAATGTAAATGTTGACAATTCTACCCTACTAGAAATCTATTATAATCTATAATTGCATCCATGTTTACTTAATTGGAAGTCTTTAAAATTATGTAAATACTCTAAAATTTCCTTCAGTTGTTCTTAACCAGGGACAATTTTACACACACACACCCCAGCTCCATACCCCAGAAGGGTATTTGACAATGTTTGGAGAAATTTTTGTTTGTCAGGATTGAGGGTGGGGGTGCAACTGGCATTTAGTTGGTAGGTGCCAGAGATTCTGCTAACATCCTATGATGCAGAAGACAGCCCTCTCAGGACAAAGACAATCCAGTACACATTTCAGTAATGCTGAGGTTGAAAACACACAATTTACTTTGAGTGTGTGTCTTCTGTGGATAAAACAAGTTTAATGCCTAAAAGAGATGGCTCTCCCTCTCCCTCTCCCTCCTCTCCGTCATCTCCTTCTCCCGCTTTCCACGGTCTCCCCCTCTCCCTCATCTCTGTCTCCCGCTTTCCACAGTCTCCTTCTGTTGCCAAGGCTGGACTGTACTGCCGCCATCTCGGCTCACTGCAACCTCCCTGCCTGATTCTCCTGCCTCAGCCTGCTGAGTGCCTGGGATTGCAGGCACGCGCCGCCACGCCTGACTGGTTTTTGTATTTTTTGGTGGAGACCGGGTTTCCCCGTGTTTGCCGGGCTGGTCTCCAGCTCCTGACCTGGAGTGATCTGCCCGCCTCGGCCTCCCGAGGTGCCGGGGTTGCAGACGGAGTCTCGCTCACTCAGTGCTCAATGTTGCCCAGGCTGGAGTGCAGTGGCATGATCTTGGCTCGCTACAACCCCCACCTCCCAGCCGCCTGCCTTGGCCTCCCGAAGTGCTGAGATTGCAGCCTCTGCCCGGCAGCCACCCGGTCTAGGAAGTGAGGAGCATCTCTGCCTGGCCACCCATCGTCTGGGATGTGAGGAGCCCCTCTGCCCGGCCGCCCAGTCTGGGAAGTGAGGAGCGCCTCTTCCCGGCCGCCACCCCGTCTAGGAAGTGAGGAGTGTCTCTGCCCCACCGCCACCCCGTCTGGGAGGTGAGGAGCATCTCCGCCCGGCCACCCCGTCTGAGAAGTGAGGAGCCCCTCTGCCCGGCGGCCACCCCATCTGGGAGGTGTACCCAACAGCCCATTGAAAACGGGCCATGATGACGATGGCGGTTTTGTCGAATAGAAAAGGGGGAAATGTGGGGAAAAGAAAGAGAGATCAGATTGTTACTGTGTCTGTGTAAAAAGAAGTAGACATAGGGGACTTCATTTTGTTCTTCTGTACTAAGAAAAATTCTTCTGCCTTGGGATGCTGTTAATCTATGACCTTACCCCCAACCCCGTGCTCTCTGAAACAGGTGCTGTGTCCACTCAGGGTTAAATGGATTAAGGGCGGTGCAAGATGTGCTTTGTTAAACAGATGCTTGAAGGTGGCATGCTCGTTAAGAGTCATCACCACTCCCTAATCTCAAGTACCCAGGTGCACAAACACTGCGGAAGCCCGCAGGGTCCTCTGCCTAGGAAAACCAGAGACCTTTGTTCATATGTTTATCTGCTGACCTTCTCTCCACTATTGTCCTATGACCCTGCCAAATCCCCCTCTCTGAGAAACACCCAAGAATGATCAATAGATACTAAAAAATTTTTTAAAAAAAGTTTAAAACATCAGAAAATACCTTGTGAAGTATATTCTTTAAAATTAAATGTTACTTATTCTGAAATATTCTACATAAATATGAATAAACTGAATGTGGAATAAGAACAACCAGAAAACTAGTAAACTGAACACAGTAGAATTTATGAACGTGAAGGTATACTGTTTATATTCTGAATCAGAGTTTTCTAGAAAGTAATATTGTTTATACATTTTTCCAGTATGTGGCTTCTGTTTTCCAAAACACACAGTCAAGAAGTTCTTACAAAGGCATCTCAGTTTAATGAGTTTTCAGGAAAGAAAATATTCAAGAGTTAAGCAAAACTTAATCAGAAACATTTGAGTTTTATTCAATTTCCTATAAAATGCCATATGGATTTCAAAATTAATAGTGGAATCTACATGACAAATGAGTAAGGGGTCAGTCTACTTTCTAGATATTAGGAGTACTTGTCATATGTTAAAAGAGGAACTGATGTTTCTCATGTCTAAAATTTTGATAGAATTATTTTATCATAGAATCTAGTCTTGGTTGCTCATTGAGCTAGCATACAGCAAAGATTTCATAGGGTTTAAAATAAGAGTGTTAAAACTGGGGAACATTTTAATCAAATCCTCATCAATAATAGGACAAATTGAAAATTATTCGCTTAGAATGTGACAGAATGCGAAGTCAAGAAGAGGGCCTCACCCCTGCACTAACTCTGGCAAATATTTGCAGTCCAGACATAATCAGGATGAAATAGCAGACAAACCCAAATGGAGGGACAGTCTGTGAAATAACTGGCTGCTACGCTTTAATTGTGCTACAACCAGGAAAGTCAAAGAAAGATGAGGAATCAGACTGAAGGAGACTAAGAGACATGAAAACTCATGGCAGTGCATAATTCTAACTGGCTCCTTCTGCCTCAAGGCATTTAAAGGCAGTCTGACCATTAGAAGGTAGAAATACATCAGTGCCCATTTCTTGATTTTTAGGTCTTGACTGTTTCTGTGTATAATAATCCTCTTCTGGGGAAATGCATGCTAAAATATTCAGGATATGAGGTATCCGATTGGAAACTTACCCTCAGATGTCTTAGGAAAAAAGAAAGCTATTTACATTCCATACTGAAATTTTTTGTAGGTTTTTGACTGCTTCGAAATAATATATGAGTAGCACGTCATCTCCAAATTATATATATATATAAAAATTATTGTTTCAAAGTTATGCATATATGTTTTTAAGGGGGTACCAAGTCAACCCCAATAAAACCGCATGACTCAAGAAAAAATGATGTTCAATTTATCCACACCATAGAGTTTAGACACTAATATAAAATGTTTTCATTTAAAATTATTACCATAAAGATATCTTACCACTGAATAAGGGAGGTACTTCGTAATAACTAATGATTGGAAACAACCCAAATGCCCATTAACAAAATATCGTGTAACTATATAATCATCACTTTTTAGCCACAAAGGAATGAACTACTGACAGATGCCATAAGATGGATGGACCTAAAACCAGTATCCAGACTAATAGAAGCAATGCACAAAAAGGCCACATAGTGTATTATTACATTCATATGAAATATTTTGAATAGAGAAGTCAATAGAAACAAAGTAAATTAGTGGTTGCCCGGGGCTGCGAGAAGGCTAGGATCACTGGGGATGTTGGCTAAAAGAGATGGGATTTCTTTCTGACATGATAAAAATATTCTACCATTGACCATGGTAATATTCACAATGTCTGTGAATACACCTGATGTGGTAAGTCTTTGTGTACTCACCAAAATCTCATCTTGAATTGTAATCCCTAGGTGTTGAGGGGAGAACATAGTGGGAGGTGATTGGATCATGGGGACAGTTTCCCCCATGCTGGTTGCATGATAGTAAGTTATCACTAGATCTGATGGTTTTATAAGATTTTGGCAAGTTTCTCCTTCACTCAGTCTTTTCTCTCCTGTTACCATGTGGAGAAGGTCCACACTTCTTTGCCTTCCACCATGATTGTAAATTTCCCGAGGCCTCCCTAGCCATGCAGAACTGTGAGTCAATTAAACCTCTTTCCTTTGTAAATTATAATTTTATACATTTCTTTATAAATTATGGTATTTCTTTATAGCAGTGTGAAAACAAGACTAACACAATACCAAACCCACAGAACTGTGCACTTTAAATGAGTGAATTAAGTGGTATACATACTCTACCACAGTAAAACCACTGGAGAAAGGAGAGATGGGTATTCTTTTTCTTTTCTTCCCCCTTATTTCTTCAATTTTTGTCAACTACATAATGTACACTGTTAATCATTTGTACATTTTTTTGAGCGTATGTCTTGCCACTGAATGTTGCTGAACTTCCGTTCAAGTAGGAACAGACATAGTTACTGGCTATCAAATAACCCTTCCTATGTTATTATCCATGTTTTTAAAAGTTATGCATCCCAAGCTTCAATAATATGAGTGAATAAATGGAAAGGGAATTATATGTACATGGATTACATGACTCTAACATTTACATTTGTATTTAGATATTTATTGAAGAGGGGAAATATAGTGTATTCTGTTAAATAACGTGTGCCTTTATATTGCGGTTTACAGCATTTACACATTCTCAGCATATGAATATTTGGAAATCTTGTAAATACTGCTTCGTTCTTGGTTTATGTGACATGTACAAAACATATTTTGTGATAGTCTGATTATTATTGGAGTCCCCCACTAGCTTGCAGGCTCACTAAGGACAGGGTCTTTGTTGTTCAGTTTCATTAAAACAGCAAGTACTTTAAAATATTTAATGAATTATAAACATATTTCTATCTGTTTTAATCTCGTTTTTAAAAAATTCCATTGCAAGTTCTTTCCAGGCAGAGTATCTTTTGATTCTGACATTGTTCATTTACTCTTGTTTTGTCACCATCTCTGTGAATGAAATTGAACATGGATTTGATATAACTAGGAACTTGCTCTGTTTTTATAATTTAAATGAAAAATCCTTTCATTCAAATAAACACAGGCCTTCAATTAACAAATAGTTTTTGCTAACCCCTGCTGCTGCATTTTTCTCAGTAATTCTTAAGTGAGAATCATGGTAACTTCACCAATCCCTTTATGTTAAAAGCAAGGATGTTCTTACGACTGGTAAGAGGTTGCTGCAAAAGTAATTGAGGTCTGAAAGTAACGGCAAAAACCACAATTACCTTTGCACCAGTTTAATAAAAAGCAATTTATGAAATGGCCATAACAATATACGCCAAAATTGTCATTTAAAGATGTAGTGTCATATATTGAAACATAACTTGGATATTTTCCAGATTCAGTTTCAAAAACAACAAAAATAAAATATAACTGTCCCATGAACCTATTTTCATCTTTTCCAACTCTTGCCCTCTACGGATTCAATTCCATGGTTTAAATATTGACCTCTAAACTAGTCAGCCAGTTTATCAGATTCACCTTTACAACTTAGTCAATAACTAGCCTTCAAAATAAATAGAAAGAAAAGAAAAGAAAAGAAAAGAAAAGAAAGAAAAGAAAAGAAAAGAAAAGAAAAGAAAAGAAAAGAAAAGAAAAGAAAGAAAAACTTTCCAATGACGTTCTTAGAGCAACTGACTAAGTCTTCTCATTCTGTCTGCACAGGTCTTTTCTCCAAGTTCAGCAGCATTTGTGTTGTAGAACAGGCACAACTGTTTTGAATTGTCACAACCACTCACTTCCATCGAACTTGGCAGAGTGGAGCATATTCAAAGAGAAAAAAACATAGGTATCTGGTTCTGATTAGTGGTTGCAGTTTTAGAATACATCTGCTATCAGGTATGCACACACAAGGCATGGGTAAAAGCAGCTGGACACTAAGACACAATAATTATATCTAGGGCTAACTTCTGTACAGTGGAAATTCTGTATAACCAAGAGTTCTTCCAAAAATGTACCCAGGCACACACATCAATACACTGTACAAATTCTTCAGATTTAACCTGGATACAATAAAACTTGAAGATGACCGACAGAATTGTGTATTCCTTTGTTATTTAAATATCTGAACATCTAATATTTCTTGGTCAGTTTCAGGTAAAAAGCTACATTAATAATGTGGTTTAAATATGACATAATAATCTGAGAAAAAACTGTGGCATATTTTAATAAAACTTTCTATTGACAATGCTAATCCATGTAACACTGAAGTGTTCCTCTCCAAAAATTCAGGATCTTTTATTGCTGAAAGGTTAATCACTACAGGGGAACATCATGACACCCAGTGACCAAAGACTTTCAATGCTGCATAAATTCTTGTGTCTTCTGTTCTTTATCACACTTATAAATTAATTTGTTGATAAGCTAAATCATTTATGTATTGAAATATGTATTACTGAAATAGGTAATGTGTTCATGAATGCTTTTATATTTTTACATGTGTGCGTGAAAACTATTTCTGAAATTTGAAAACTGCAGATGCTAATGTGGTTTGTGTGGATATGTGGCATCTGCCTCAACATAACCATATGAATGTATTTCTTAAACACATATACTCATTTACAAAGAATCTCCTATTCTGGCCGGGCGCAATGGCTCATGCCTGTAATCCCAGCACTTTGGGAGGCCGAGGTGGGCGGATCACGAGGTCAGGAGATCCAGACCATCCTGGCTAACAGGGTGAAACCCTGTCTCTGCTAAAAATACAAAAATATTAGCCGGGCGTGGTGGCGGGTGCCTGTAGTCCCAGCTACCCGGGAGGCAGAGCTTGCAGTGAGCCGAGATCATGCCACTGCACTCCAGCCTGGGCGACAGAGCGAGATGCCGTCTCAGGAAAAAAAAAAAAAAAAAAAAAAAAAAAAAACTGAAACAAAGAATCTCCTAGTCTATACTCATGATTACAACACATTCTGTGCTAGCCCACTTTTTTTCCTTTTGAAAAAGCCGTCAAAGGAAAATAAAATGAATCATTTAACTTGTTGAGCTAATAATGGACATGGACCTTATTTACGTCAACATGTTAGGCAGGACATTGCATGATAAGAAGGAGGACTTTATGACAGGTAAGTTTATTTATACCTGTGCTGCTTCCCTTTCATTGGCCAATTTTACTTATTTCCCTCCGTGATTTAATTACTACTATAAACCCGGGAAGCTATATAGTAGTAGTGGTGAAAGAGAAGTTCAGATTCCAACCTTGTCACATAATTAATTTGTAACTTTCAGCAAGTTCTTTAAGCTCCTGAAATTCAAGTATCTTTATGTGAAATGAGATTATTCTTTATTTGAAATATAAAAAAAATTCCTACCTACTCCCTTTGTTGTGAAGATTCTCTACCCTCTGCATATGCATATACCTTTATATATCCATAAAGTGGCTAGCACAGGGCTTGCAGGTTTTTGTTTGTTTCTTTGTTTGTTTTGACACAAGCTCTCACTCTGCCATCCAGGCTGGAGAGCAGTGGCATGGTCATAGCCCACTGCAGCTTCTACTTTCTGGGCCCAAGCGACATTCCCACCTTAGCCTGCCAAGAAGCTGGGACCAAAGGTAAGTGCATCCACCTGCAGCTTATAATACTTTTTTTGTAGTGAAGGGGTCTCACTAGGTTGTCCAGGCTGGTCTCAAACTCCTAGCTTCAAGCAGTCCTTCAATATGTTGATAACCGCTTATTTGCAATCCAACCAAAAATGCCTCAGACCTAAATACTATTACAACTCTTTGGACATTGGCTCCTTGTGGGTATAAAGTGTCTCCTTCCAAAGCTCAAATCTTCTCTCAGGAGGTTTGATTCTTGAGACTAACATTCATCCCAGGGCCCAAGGATCTCTCAGACCACCGCAAAAATCTTATGCTAAACGTGGACATTCCATCCACTAAACATCAGTTGTAGTCCTTTCTTCGAATGGTAGGTTTCTGTCACATTTGGACAACCCGGTTAGGACTTATAGCAAAACCTCTTTATGGGGCACTGCAAGGATCGGCGGGGGGGAGCTCTTAAATTGGAGCCTTGAAATGGACAGTGTTCTAAAAACCCTCAAACAAGCCCACGCCCTGGCCTTGCCAGATCTTACAAAGCATCTTTACTTGTTCATAGTTGAGAGAAGGGATACAGCCCTTGGAGTCCTCACTCAGCCACTGGGACCCTCCCAGTGGCCAGCTAGTTACTTGTCAAAAAAAAGGCATGGGGATGGCTGCCATGCCTCTGAGTGCTAGTGTGTGTGGCTCTCCTGGTTGTGGAGGCCTCCGAGCTAATTCTGGGCCAAGCAATAACTGTCTACACCCCACATCAAGTAATGAATGTCCTAAACTCAAAGGCCTTTCACTGGATCTCACAGAGCCATATAAGCAAATTTCCAACACTCCTTCTACAGGTACCAGAATTGAGTATTAGGCTCTGCCAACCCTTAATGCTGGCATGCTGTTACCAAACCCAAATGTGGAGAGGCCACTTTAACATTCTTGCTTGGAAACCATAGATCTAACCTGTAATGTTAGACCAGACCTCCAGGATATTCCCCTTATAGATTCAGAGGCCACACGGTACACAGATGGCAGTAGCTTTATGATAGGTGGAACCCAACTGTCAGGGTATGCTACTATTAACCTAACTGAAATCACAGAATCTGGACCTCTGCCAGGAAGTAGCACCTCAGCCCAAAAGGCTGAGCTCATTGCTCTTACCTGTGCCTTACAATTAGGGGCAGGCCTGAGGCTTAATATTTACACAGACTCAGCCTATGTCTATCATGCAGTGCATGCCCATGCAGCCATTTGGCAGGAAAGAGGACTTTTAATGGCCTGAAATACTTCCATTAAATGTGTTCCTGAAATCATGGCCCCGTTGGAGGCAGCTATGCTTCCCCCACAGGTCACTATCATTCACTGCAAAGCCCATCAGAGAAGCAATGATGAAATCTCTATCGGGAACACCTGGGCTGACAAATAAGTAAAAGTGGCTGCCAGGTCACCCTTTCAGGCTGTCTTCATTCCTAGCCTAACTTCCCTGTCTCCACACTATAAAGAGGGGGAAGCCCAAAAAGCTCTAGAAAGAGGTTTCTCCCATACCTCAGAGGGCTGGCTAAAAAGTCCTAATGGCAAACTCTTGCTCCCAGGAGCCTCACAATTGAAGTTTCTAAATAGCGTATACCAATCAACTCATCTAGGGGCTAAGGCCTTCCAAGATCTAATAAAGTCACTGTTCACCAGCACGGGGATAGCCCAAGCTCTATGAGCCATCTCACAGGCATGTCCCACCTGAGGCCAAATAAACCCAGAGGGAGGACACAAACCTCCCCAAATCCTTCAACCCATTCTAAGAGAGGAACCCTACCCCGAGAAGACTGGCAAATATATTTTACACACATGCATCATGCAATGTGTGTATTTGTTAGTCAGGTATTTGTTAGTCTTTGTAGACACCTTCACTGGATGGATAAAGGCCCTTCCCGCCAAAACTGCATGGGCCTCAGAAGTCACCTCAGCCCTTTTAGACCGCATTCTTCCTTGTTTTAGGCTCCCTCATGCCCTACAGTCAGACAATGGCCCCACTTTCATTTCTTAAAATGAGGGACCCTAGGTCCCTCCCATAACGCGTCAGAATTCTGAGAGATACAAGTCAAGTTGACATTTCGGTGGAGACACAGCCAAACCATATCAAGCTACGTGAAGGTAAAACCAGGTACGATGGGTGTTCACTTGATTTTTGGTTCTCATGAAATTTCATTTCATTTTTTCTCTACGAACACTACAAAACTTAGCCAGCTCTGGTGGTGCACACTTGTAATCCCAGCTACTCGGGAGGCTGGGGCAAGAGAAGCACTTGAACCGAGGAGGTGGATGTTATAGTGAACCGAGATGGTGACACTGCACTCCAGCCTGGGCCTGAACAACAGTGTGAGATGAGAATCTGTCAAAAAAAAAAAAAAAAAAAGAAAAAAGAAAAAAATAATTTTTTTGTTTTTTTCAGAGAATCAGTGAAGCTCTCCAGATCAAATATTATCTGCATGCGTCTTGACGTCCACAATCTTCTGGGAAGGCGGAGACAGCCAATCAAACCAGAAAAAGCACCTCACAAAGTTAACACATGAAACCCAACAGTTATGGTCAACTTTGCCCCCCATTGTACTCTTAAGAGCCTGTATCACCGCAAAATGTGAAGCCCATCTAGCCCTTTCGAGATTCTCTTTGGAATCTCTTTGGAAGATCTTTCTTCCAAACTGACCTTTTGTTAGACCCAAAGAGACATTATCTCATACAGTATGTTATGTCCCTGGGACAAACCATCAAGGCCATCAATCATTATCAAAGTCTTCATAGCCCAACACCTGGCCCCTCTTTTTCAGGAAACACTCACCCTAACCTTATGCCTGAAGACTAGGTATATCTTAAAACTCTCCCACAGGACAAAAAGCCACTGGAGCCAGCGTGGACTGGACCATACCAAGTTCTCCTTATGACCCCGACAGCTGTTCAACTCAAACATCAAGTGGATTTACTGCTCCAGGGTCAAGGTGGCACCAGCACCCCACAAAGAACGCACTACCTACACCTGTGAACCAGTTGGAGACGTTTGTCTATTGTTCAGGAGGGACTCAAACTCAGGCAATATCCGCCTTAATACTTAGAAGAAGCAAAAGCAGAAACCCCTGGTAAATCCATCAGATCCCATGAGACTTACTCACTATCAGGAGATTAGCACAGGAAAGACCGGCCCCCATGATTCAATTACCTCCCTCTAGGTCCCTCCCATAACACGTCGGAATTCTGGGAGATACAAATCAAGTTGAGATTTTGGTGGGGACACAGCCAAACCATATCAAGCTACGTGAAGTTAAAACCAGGTACTATGGGTGTTCACTTGATTTTTGGTTCTCATGAAGATGTTTTTTTCTGTGTAGATAGTTGTTAAATTGGTGTCCTTGGTGGGGGGTCAGGGGGACAATCAGTGAAGCATTCTGTTCCGTCGTCTTTCTCCTCCTGTAGATCTGTAGTATATTTTGAAATATACCTTTGTAGTATATTTTGAAGTCAGGTAGTGCGATGCCTCCTTGTGTGTTCTTCTATGGGCCCAGTTTCTGGAGTCCTAAAGCAATTACAATAATAACATCAAAGATCACTGATCAGAAATCATCATAACAGATATAATCATGATGGAAAAGTTGGAAATATTGTGAGAATTACCAAAATGTGACACAGGGACATGAAGTGGGCACATGCTGTTGGAAAAATGACACTGACATGCTTGACGGTTGCCAGAAAACTTTAATTTATAAAAAACACACAATATCTATAAACACAAAAATGTGCATCACAATAAAATGAGGTCGACCTGTACCTGCCAGTACCCAGGTAATTAGTTTACTAGGAATAAGTAATAATAGCTAGAAAAACTAGTTAAATACAGAAATTAAAAAAAAAAAAACAACTGTCTTCTCAGGACACAAAAACATGGAAAGATAGTCCAGGCTTATAGATTGACAGGATTAATATTGTATAATTCACAATACTCACCAAAGCGATTAACAGATTAAATGCAAGCCCTACCAAACTACCAAAGACATTCTTCACAGAAACAGGAAAAAACTTATAATATTCATAGGAAACCATAAAATACCTCAAATAGCCAAAGCAATCCTGAGCAAAAAGTGAAAAGCTGGAAGCAGCACACTACCTGACTTCAAAATTTTACGACAAAGCTATAGTGAACCAAGCAGCATGGTACCGGCTTAAAAACAGACACAGAGACAAATGGAGCAGAATAGAGAACCTGATATAAAGCCACATGCTTACAACCAACTCAACTTCAACAAAGACAAAAAGAACATATGATGCTGAAAAGACCAACATTTCAATAAATAGCACTAGGAAAGCTGGATGAGTATATGCAGAAGAATGAAACTAGATTCCTCTCTTTCACCACACACAAAAAGCAAATCAAAAATGGATTAAAGACTTGAATCTGGCTGGGAGTGGTGGCTCACGCCTGTAATCCTAGCACTTTGGGTGGCCGAGGTGAGTGGGTCACTTGAGGTCAGGGGTTCGAGACCAGCCTGGCCAGTATGGTGAAACCCGTCTCTATGAAAACTACAAAACTTAGCCAGCTGTGGTGGTGCACACTTGTAATCCCAGCTACTCGGGAGGCTGGGGCACGAGAATCACTTGAACCGTGGAGGTGGATGTTATGGTGAGCAGAGATGGTGACACTGCACTCCAGCCTGGGCCTGAACAACAGAGTGAGATGAGACTCTGTCAAAAAAACAAAACAAAACAAAACAAAACAAAACAAAAACCAAAAAAAAAAAAAAAAAAAGACTTGAATTCATGACCTGTAACTGAAACCACCAAAAAACATTGGGGAAATGCTCCAGGACATTGGTCTGGGCAAAGACTTCTTGAGTAAGACCTCAAAAGCACAAGAATCAAAGCAAACATAAACTATCGGGATTACATCAAGTTAAAAAGCTTCTGCATAGCAAAGGAAATTATCAACCAAGTGAAGAGACAACCCACAGAATGGCAGAAAATATTTGCAAACTACCCATCTGATACGGGATTCATAACCAGAATACAGAAGGAGCTCAAAAAAGTTAATAACAAACAATCTGACTTAAAAATGGACAAATAATCTGAATAGATGTTTCTCAAAAGAAGACACAAAAATGGCCAGCAGGCATATGAAAACATGCTTATTATGAATCATCAGAGAAATACAAATCAAAACCACAATGCAATATCATCTCACTCCAGTTAAATGGATTTTATCAAAATACAGGCATGAACAGATGCGAGCAGGGAGGTGGAGAAAGGGGAACCTGTGTACACTGTTGGTGGGAATGTAATTTACTACAGCCCCTATGGAGAACAGTATGGGGTTCCTCAAAATCCTAAAAATAGAACTAGTATATGATCCAAGTATTCCACTGCTGGGGAAAGAGAGGGAGGGGGAGAGAGAGGAGAGAGAGAGAGAGAGAGAGAGAGATGGATAGATAGATAAATAAATTTATCTGAAGATCAAAGAGATATATCTGCATACTCATGTGTATTGCAGCACAAGTCACAATAGCCAAAATATGGATTTAGCCTAAGTGCCCATTGATGGATGAATGGATTAGGCAAATGTGGCATACGTACACAATGGAATATTATCCAGGCATGAAAAGAATGACTGGATATTATGTTAAATGAAATAAGCCAGGCACAGAAAAACAAACATTGCATGTTTTCACTCATATATGGGAGCTAAAAAAGTGGTTCTCATGAAGATAGCGACTATAGTGATGGTTACCAGAGGCCAGAAGGGGAAGCAGGGGATGAAGGGGAAATAAAAGAATATAAATGTATTTATTACCACTGAACTGCACGGTTACAGGTGTAAAGCAGATACATTACATGTGTATATTTTACCTCAATAAAAATATATTTTAAAAATAAAATCACATTCTTCTCACCACGTCCTGCTGAGTTATTGTTGGAATAATGAATTACTACCACAGATAAGTCAGGTACCTAAGTAAGTAGTAAAATAGAGACAGCAAGAATAGTTCAGTGGAATGTAGAACATAGGGAATCTGGTCAGGTCAGATAAAATTTTGCTGGTGTTGAGTTAATACGTAAGTTCTACTTAACTGGGCTTTCCCATGAAACACATTTCATAGAAACAGCTAACAATCATTGCAATACCAAGTGAACCTGATCCTGAAAATCATATCCTTTGCAAGTCTCAATTATTGATTTTAGTTGGGATAAGAACTTAGAAGGATAGGTGCTGAGTGTTACCCAGGAAAAAAAGGTACAAAGGATAACAGGAGATAATTTGAATATCTATGTGATGTCTGGAAAAAGCAAAATCCTTCCTAATCATTCTACTACGTTTTGTTGGAATAATGAATTACCACAGACATCTGGTGGTAAACATGTAATTAGCAACCTAAAGATAGCTAGAATTAGCCAGACCAGGTAATTGATCCCAGGAAGCTGAAGATAACTGGCCTATGCCAGGGAGTTCAATAACCATTTTCCTCAATGCAAAATTCCAACCTCATGTTAGAAGTATTACCTAATACAGTAGCTTTCAACTTTATCCAAGTAAGTAATTAACTAGAGATAACTACATGAAGCCAGTACCTGGAATAAACAAATTCTTCTCAGTACTAGTTGAATAAACAACTAGCAATTACTAGGAAACTGGTTGAACATAGAAAGTTTAGTAACCACTCCAGTCAATTCTGTGTTCTTACTTTTTTTGGATTGTTGACTAGGTACTACGGATATGGTAACTAGAGTTACCTGAGTAAGAGTTAAATACAGAATCCTCCCTAAAATGGGAAAAACTGGTTGAAGACAGAAGTATAATATTGCATTCTCCTCAATATTTCTCATTTCTTGCTGGAATAATAAGGTGGTTCTGTCAATGGGCAGCAGTACCTAGGTTATTACAAAGTAAGAAATAAGAAGAGATGACTAGAATAAATATTTGATACCAGAATGGTGAAAAAAAAACCATTCTTTTCAAATAGAAACTCTAATTTCCTGTGTAATTAGTGAGTTACAATTAGTACTGGAGATATCTGTATGAGATGTGGACTTCATTTCAGGGGTGGGGTACATACTCAACAGATGAGCTGCTGGGTCGTATGGTAGATCTATTTTGATTTTCCAAGGAACAATTATACTATTTTTTATAACGGCTGTGCCAATTACACGTCTGTCAACAGCATGTAACAGTGAGGTGATAGTTCATTGTGGTTATCATTTGCATTCTCTGATTATTAACGATGTTGAGCACATTTTCATATACCTGTTGGCCAGTTGTGTGTTTTCTTTCTAGAAATGCCTATTCAAGTCCTTTGCCTATTTGTTAACCATACTATTTATTTGCTATTGAGCTATGTGAGTTCTTTATATACTTTGGATATTAACTCATTATTAGATATATGGTTCGCAAATAGCTTCTCCCAAACCATAGCGTGCCTTTTCATTGTGTTGATTGTTGGCTGTGCAGAAACTTTTAGTTTCCAGGATGCTCACTTGCCCTATACATTTCAGCTGCCTAGACCCCCACATTGTGTGAATGTGTGAGCCAATTGTTTAGAATAAACTGTATCTCATATATAATATTATTCATAAATAAATACTACATGGTAGTAAATACATATTTATGATATATAATATTACACACACACACACACACACACACACACACACACACACACACACACAGAGTATCCTGTTTGGTTTAGTTTCTCCTTCTCTGAGGAACCCAGCCCGATACAGATACCCAGCTGAGCTAGTGTGTTTGCTAATCTTGACCTCTGGAAGCCAGTGCTTTAAACCATGAGAATGAAAAATTGTGAGGCACTATGTGGATGCTGGGAGAAGCATGTGAGATGGAAAAGTTGTTCCATGGCAGCCAAGAAGTGAATGATCCTCAAGGTGTAGCAGAGGAATTTGTAGGAGAGAGGGATGACTGACGTCTTCGTACAGCCCTCCATCCATCCCAGTTAGCATGGAGGGATTTTAGGTAGGACATACAGAAACTGGGTAATGATGGTAGTTGTGGAGGAACAGAATGTACCACTGAATGGGGGTTCCGGGGGAAACATGTGGGGGAAATATCCTCCCTTGCCACATGATCTGCCAAAACTGAACATGGGGAGTTTAGGAGGGGCGACATGTCAGTTTGGGAACTATCTTTAGGGGTGCTAACCCAAATCTCCCTTTCTCCAACTAGAGCACCCTGCCTTCCTCATTAGATGTCACCGCCCCCCCCCCCCGCCCCCGACTTCATCCGCCATGTCCTGATGGTGCTTTATGACGTATAAGGCCTTCCTTCCCACCCAGGGCTACCATTGGCTGGGTAGTGGAGTGTTGACCAATCACAGCTCAGGGGCGTGATCGTCTCGTCCTGGGATCGCGAGAGGGGTATACACAGGGAGGCCAGGCAGCCTGGAGTTAGTCGACCGTTGCGAGACGTTGAGCTGCGGCAGATGAGTCCAAAGCCGAGAGCCTCGGGACCTCCGGCCAAGGCCAAGGAGACAGGAAAGAGGAAGTCCTCCTCTCAGCCGAGCCCCAGTGGCCCGAAGAAGAAGGTGAGTGACCCTCCCAAGCTCCTCCTCGTCTTCCCCTCGCCTCTTTCCTCACAAGAAGCCTCTCCTGTCCTCACTTGGCACAACCCCCCAACCCGGCCCCCACCGCTTCTGAGGACACGTCCCTGTTCCCAGCCTCCTCCATCCTCGTCCCTAAACCAGAGCCCTTCTGTGATCTCCCTGTTGTCCTTCCAGACTACCAAGGTGGCCGAGAAGGGAGAAGCAGTTCGTGGAGGGAGACGCGGGAAGAAAGGGGCTGCGACAAAGATGGCGGCCGTGACGGCACCTGAGGCGGAGAGCGGGCCAGCGGCACCCGGCCCCAGCGACCAGCCCAGCCAGGAGCTCCCTCAGCACGAGCTGCCGCCGGAGGAGCCAGTGAGCGAGGGGACCCAGCACGACCCCCTGAGTCAGGAGAGCGAGCTGGAGGAACCACTGAGTAAGGGGCGCCCATCTACTCCCCTATCTCCCTGAGCAGCAACTAAGTTTAGGCCCAGCTGCCAGACCTCAGAGATCTCACCAGCAGGGTGCTTCCCATGTTGATGACAATAAAATGAATGTGTTGCAAACCGATCTGAGTGACTCCGTGTTCTCTGATGGTGAGGAGGGAGGGAGGGGGGGGTAAGAGGTGTGTGGGGAGGGAGGGAGGAAGAGGTGGTGTGTGGGGAGGGAGGGAGGCAGAGGTGGTGGGTGGGGAGGGAGGAAGGAAGAGGTGGTGTGTGGGGAGGGAGGGAGGAAGAGGTGGTGTGTGGGGAGGGAGGGAAGAAGTGTGTCAGGAGGGAGGCAGGCGGGAAGAGGTGGTGTGTAGGGAGGGAGGGAGGGAGGCAGAGGTGGTGGGTGGGCAGGGAGGGAGGAAGAGGAGGTTTGTGGGGAGGGAGGGAAGAAGTGGTGTGGGGAGGGAGGAAGGGGTGGGTGGGGAGGGAGTGAGGAAGAGGTGGTGTGTGGGGAGGGAGGAAGAGGTGGTGGGTGGGGAGGGAGTGAGGAAGAGGTGGTGTGTGGGGTGGGAGGGAGGGAGGAAGATGAGGTGTGTGGGGAGGGAGGGAGGAAGAGGTGTGTGGGAAGGGATGGAGGAAGAAGAGGTGTGTGGGGAGGGAGGGAGGAAGAAGAGGTGTGTCAGGAGGGAGACAGGGGGGAAGACGTGGTGTGTGGG
The DNA here is from genome assembly GCF_000001405.40 of Homo sapiens. NCBI lineage: Eukaryota > Metazoa > Chordata > Mammalia > Primates > Hominidae > Homo > Homo sapiens. The sequence continues at coordinate 14,057,536 of NC_000024.10, forward strand.
GAGGGAGACAGGAATACGTGGTGTGTAGGGAGGGAGGGAGGAAAAGGTGTGTGGCGGGGAGGTAGGAAGAGGTGGTGGGTCGGGAGGCAGGGAGGAACAGAAGGTGGGTGGGGAGTGAGAGAGGGAGAAAGAGGTGGTGTGTAGGGAGGGAGGGAGGAAGAGGTGGCCTGTGGGGAGGGAGGAAGGGTGGAAGAGGTGGTGTGTGGGGAGAGAGGGAGAAAAAGGTGGTATGCAGGGAGGGAGGGAGGAAGAGGTGGTGTGTTGGGAGGGAGAGAGGAAGAGGTGGCCTGTGGGGAGGGAGGAAGGGGGGAAGAGGTGGTGAGTGGGGAGCGAGAAACGAAAGAAGGAAGGAAGAGGTGTTGTGCGGGGAGGGAGGGAAGTGGGGTCTTGCGGGCTTGAGGGCAGAGGGAGAGGTCACAGTTTGCCAGACAGGAGCATAAGGTTTGCGTCATGGCTGAGCACTGGAGACAAATTTCCCCCTCACAGGATGACTCTGCTTCATTTAGGGTTTATTTTTTCTTGCAATCCTGCCAGCACAAGCACCAAGTACCAGGATCTGGATTCTACCTACTTAGGTTTCATTGTTAAAATACCTTTTCCTCAATATAAACTGATGGTACAATGGTTTCCATCTCTTTCCTTTCAGGGTCCCCTCCCTACAATCTAATATAATTAAGAAGAAAAATTCAAAGTAGAGCAATATCTATCTACTTGAAAAAAGCCTTTTTGCAACTGAGGAGACAAAAAGTACATTTCATATTTCCATATATTAGAAAGACACAGGTCCTTTATATAGTAGAATTCACTGTATACAAATGTATAGAAACATATGTAAATAAAATGTAATATACAACTATATTTACTGTATACAAAGCTATATATAATATATATTTACATATAAATATATAAATACAAATATAGGAATATGGATTATATATTTATATGTAATAGAAATATAAATATATATTGATATAGATGATATATATCTGTTAGAAATACGCAGGTCTTTTCTATAAATACTGGAACCTACTATATAAATGTATATATTAATATATGTGTTTTCTTATGATTTGTAGATTATATATAGAAATATTTATATATTTTATGTATAAATACATATATAAACAATTATTCATATATGATATATAATCATTTATTTTAGAGGGTAAGCTGTTAGTATTGTTCAAGCAGGGGTCTCAGGCAAAAGGAGAAAGGAAATTATCATTTTAAGAAGAAAAGAGTACAAAATTATCACGATTTAATTTCCACTTGTTAATAATTACACGGGCTGAATAACTCATGCTCTTTAATCTTACGATGAATAGCACGTTAAACTTTTATGTGATTCTGAAAATATGAATTTCCATATAATGAGGGTTTGAGATGTAAAGCACTAATTTTATAGGCAGTTTTCACTTGTTACGTAGATTGTTCTTAGAGCTTTACAGATGTTAAATTAATGGCGGCTTAGAAGAGATGGTAGCATCATTTGAGAAACAATAAATTAGTTCTGTTTCATCCTTTCCTTGGTGCAGTCATGGCTTCACTTCATTAGGTTAGGAAGGGATTTCAGAGCTTTGCAAGTTGAACTTGTAGCTGCCTCCTATGGAATCCTACGAAACCTAGGACGCTGTACCACAGAAACAGGGCGTTGCCCCATGTCCCGAACACCATCATTTTGTGGTATATTTCTTTTGTATTTCTTATATGGAATTACCATATAAAAATGAGCATGCTAGGTATAACTCAAAGCCTGTTTATTTGCAAGGCTGTATTGACCCTGAACGATAAATATTTGCATGTTATGGATGGGAAACAAGTCCCCATAAAAAGCTCCTGCTGCCTTTTAGGAAAGCCTATGGTCTGTGGTTGCAGATCTCTTTCCAAAGGGAAATTGGTGAACTTTCTCCTATAGTTTTTTCCATAATGACAACATAAAAACAGTAGTAAACTCATCTTGCCAGTGGTCATTTTTGGGTTTGGGATATATTAGGGAGCAATTTTGCAATGTGTTTCAAAATTACATTCAATAATTAATTTTGTCCACCTTATTTTAATGCCATATTTCCGTTCAAGCTCTGCATGTCACGACAGTCTGTGATGATTCTTTTGGCATTGAAAAAATTATCCATGGCACTTAAACCGTGTTTCTTTCATCATTTCATGGCAGTTGGAGCTTCAGCTGCTATTTGTTGGGAACCCATCCTGACTAGGGCTTCATGTTTTATTGTGATGATTGGCAGACTTACTTCACTAGGGCTTCATGTTTTATTGTGATGATTGGCAGACTTGTGTTTCAGGCGTTTTCAGATTTGGAAAGTTACTATGATTTTCAAATTATAAATGCAAAAATATCAATGAATTTATTTCACAAACTATTTTAATTCATTATAGACAATAAGTGGTTTAATTAGAAATCAATAATTTAAATAATATTTTAATTTGTTGGAGCATTCACAAATACTACATCTTCCTTTAAGTCTTTCTTTACTCTACATGTTATATACACAGTAAAATTAGTTAATAAGAGTGTTACATATTTTCCCTCCTCCTCCAACTATCCACAAGCTCAGGCTTGACATAAACAGTGGAATGAGTAAAGACCTGAAGTAATATAGCAGCAAAGCTGTAGTTGATTTTTATAATAAAATAATAGATATCAAAGCTTCCTGACATTTTTAGGCAAATCTTCCTGTGTCCCTAAAGGGACGTTCCCCTTGACAGCAGTCATGAACAACAGGTGATCTTGAAATTCTCAGCTGTCAAAGACAGTTGCTGGGAAAATTTGAAAACACCTTGTACATATTAAAGAGCTAAGCATGAGATGATGTATACATACATATGTCTCTGTCTCATTAGACCGCAGGAAATACGGCACATGGCAGGAAGGCTCATGTTGATTCCCCTTGACCATGCAGCTTCCTCTGCTCCTGACTCCTAAGAACTTAGTTCTTTCAGTTACAAAATTTTGCTTGCCTTAGGACATTGGGCTTCATGATATTTGAGAGCAAATAGAGCTTCTGCCCAAATAGGAGCAGCAATCAAGTCACAATCTGTCTCAGATAGCAAATGCTGTCACCTGCATAGAGTATGGGCAGAAACTCTCTGATCTGAAGAGACAGTGATGATTTCCTGACAGTTTGAACAAGGAGAAGCCAGTAGCCCCAGCGAGTCAGCAAATACTGCAACAAGTTTTATTAGGCCTTGTCTGAAATCTTAGACTAAGCAGAGCAGGCAGGTCTATAAAATACAAAAGGATATTCATGATTATTTCAGAAAGAGCATGAAGCAGACACAGGCATTCTGGGTCATTTACAGTTAGTTCTCTAGGACTGAGAAGCTGTATCTCTCCACTACAACTACAAGTGTATTAAAAGGCTGAAAATATGAAAGGATTTCTGGGTCTTGCATTCACCCTAGATCCCTCATCCAGTCATTTTAAAAATGGATTCTAAACTCTACTGCAGGAAGAGTTTGCACAGTTAGCATTAATACAGTCGCAGGCAGTTCAAACAGTAACACCTTTAGAAATTAATTGATTATGCTGATTTCCTCAGCGTTTTGAAAACTGGAATTGATACTATCATGACTACAGGGTGCAGATTTTATTGGAAAAATGTTTTATTCCTGGGACGAGTAACTCGATTGCTTATGAAAATGCCAAAAAACTATGATTTACTTCATAATCTTCAGAAATGTATGTCTTGAATGTTAGAAATACAGTCACATAGTTCTAAAATACACAATTTTATTAGACTAAAAAAATGAAGAACTGAAGAACAGAAATAAGACAAACAATATTCATATGAATATATAAGGTAATTATTATTTCACTGCAACTTATGTATAATATATTCCTGTAAAAAGTAATACCGTTGCCCAACGTTATTACAATTTAACATCTCTCCTGTTTTTTAGAAAAATAGAAATGTAATTACTTTTATTCAAGTCATATGAAATAGTTTATGTCATCAGTAAATTTTGTAGTTAATTATTTTGCAGGATTTTCTTTAAGGCAGCGGTTGGTTAGCAGTAACTATCAACTACTCTTCCCAAGCAAACAGGCAAACAAAGGATTAGGCTTCAGCCTAAATATTACAGCTCTCTGAGTGTGTGTGGGAGGACTCCAAGGTCACGTGGCTTGACTGGATACTTAAGCTGCTCTTCATCTTTTGGGCAGTTATTAATTCACTAAGGATTTTTGAATATCCGCTATGTTCCAGTTTTGTTGCTAAGTGTAGGGGATGCAAATATGACTGACCTGATTTCTGCTCTCCAGTCTAGTAATGGAGAAAGACTCACAAAAAAATTATTACAGTACACTGTGCTATGAATCATGATAAAGGGATGTGCATGCTGCACTAGGAATTCAGAGACGAAGCACTCAACAAGGCTTGAATGATTCAGGAAAAACACTTGCAAGTGTCCCATTTCCTCTATGTCTAGGGAAACCTTTCTTTCTTAAAGTAGGTAATTATAAGAATATAAATTTCCTAGATTCTAAATCTCAATATTAGAAAACACACTTGCAAATAACAGGAGTTTGCTGAGGGGCCATATGCACAGCCATAACACTGTTCCCAACATCCATAGTCAGGCCATGGAACCGTTTAAATCAAAGGAAGTCCCAGTATACTTTGCAAAGATTTTCTTGAAACTTTGTAATAGAAAGAATCTCTGCTATCCATCCATTTCTGACACTCACCCACAATCATTGATGAGAAGATGGGTTAATACTTGCCTCCAGTCAGGTGAGGCATTGAATCCTTGGAATATCATGCAATCCCTGAATTCCCCAAGTAGGTCAAATTATTAAGGCTGGGTGACAGGAACATATGCTGTCCTTAGCTTCATTCTAACGGATTTCAACTGCAACATCTCCGGTGGCAAACCTTCACTTTTCAAGATCTACATTTCTGATTGAGTCAAACTGGAACAATATGCCCTATGATGAAAAGAAACCCATACTATTACTGTAGAAATATGCCCATATCAATAGATTTCTATGTGTACAGAATACAACCTTCCTGTACACTACCTTAAAATTATCTTCATTGTTCTGGAACATGCACATAATGGATTATGGTGACCTAAATGCTAAAATTAAATTTGACATTGGCTGCAAAAGTCTCAACTGAGAAGAGTGCATCACCACATATTTGAGGAACTGTACCCCAAATTGCTTGTTCAAGTCTTTTCATTAGAGGTTTCATTAAATGTCATCATTACACATGGCACATATAGCAGGATCCATATCACCACGCATAATGATTTTCAGAAAGCCAGTGTCGTGGCAGTTCAGATAAAGCTCTTGGTTTGTTTTCTAAAGAGAATATCCTAAAGAAGAATTGACAGCATGCATGAGAAGACTTTTTTTCACAATTGTAAGCAATGATCAAATGTCCTCATAAATGAATCAGGTCAGACGACAGACCTCAGCATTGCATTGCTTAGTTGGGTGACCGGGAAACACAGCACATTTTTACTTTTAAGAGTTTTATTGTTACAGAAAAATTAAGAAATTCTCTCAGCTTAAGAATATCAAGAAGGATCCTGCGTACCCACATGGTGCTCAACATAGTCTCTGAAAGCCCAGGTCAGATATCACATTCAGTTTCTTTCTTTTTTTTTTTTTTGAGATAGTATTTTGCTCTTGTCACCCAGGCTGCAGTGCAATCATGTGATCTTGGCTTATTGCAACTTCCGCCTCCGCAGTTCAAGCCATTCTCCTGCCTCAACCTCTCAAGTAGCTGGGATTATAGGTGCCTACCACCACGCCCAGCTAATTTTTTGTATTTTTAGTAGAGACAGGGTTTCACTATGTTGGCCAGGCTGGTCTTGAATTCCTGACCTTAGGCAATCTACCTGTCTCTGCCACCCAAAGTGCTGGGATTACAGGCTTCAGCCAGGGAGCCCAGCCTCAGGCAAACAGCCTCTCTAAGCCTCAGTTCCTTATCAGCAGAGGGACTACACTATTTATCATCCAACTTGTGACACCTGGGAGTGAAAGAGGGCAGGATCATTAGCCGGTACACTGAGCAACAAGTGTCAACTAAAACTTCTCTAGGTAAATGTACAGTTACCCTAATTAACAGAAAGAAGTGTATTGGTCCAATCAGTCATTTTTGTTCCCTGAGTATACATTAGAATCATCCTAGGAGAATCCATGCACACACACACACGCACTAAACTGGATCATCTCCAAAACCTTTTCAGGCTTTCAAATTCAGAGATCATAATTTCTGAGCATAAACTTATGCCATTGCTATTGGCAAAGTTGTGTAACTGCAAACTATTTTCATATCTAGAACACAGAAATACTGAATACCAGTAAGATAATGACTAATATTCATTTAGGAAGAATTTGCAGTTTACAAAACACTTTCTCAATATCATCCTTTAAAAAAAAAAATCTAACCTGAAGCCCGTGAGAAGTCAGGTTAATTTATTATTATGAACTTTTTGTAGGAGAGGAAATCATTGCTTACAAAGTGCCAAAACACAGATTTAAATTATACAAAGAGCAAATAAAATAATTAAGCCCATGTCTTAATGCAAAATGGTGGCAGATAAGAGAAGTCACCTTGCCCTCCTCCTGCATGGGTTTGAATTCTACTTCTGTTTCTTTATTAGCTCAATAAATTGGTTCAAGTCATTTAACCTCACTAAACATTATCTCTATTAGAATAATATTAATCCTTGCTTCAGAGTGATGCCAGTATTTCATGAGGTATTACATGAAATGTCTTAGTACTATGTGCAATAAATATTAACAATCACTGCTATTAGTACTACTATTACTCTTTCTCCACTCTTTCTCCCTCTTTCAACCACTCTAGTTACTATACTACTATCATTACTACTAATACTAGAACTCATAACATAATCCCTGTATGCTATGATCTGAATGTTTGTGTCCCTATCTCTTCCAAATTCCTATGTTGAAATCCTCTCTCCTAAGGTGATGGCATTACGAGGTGGGGTGTTTGGGAGATGATGACATAATGAGGGTGGGGCCTCATGAATGGGATCAGTGCCCTTATAAAAGGGACCACAGAGAGCTCCCTTTCCCCTTCTACCATGTGAGGACACAGCAAGAAAGGGTTGTCTTCGAACCAAGGAACAGGCCCTCACTGGACACCAAACCTGCTATCCCCTTAACCTTGGACTTACAGCCTCCAAAACTCCAAGAAATACATTTCTGTTGTTTATAAGCTACCTACCTTATGGTATTTTTTACAGCAGTTTGAACAGGCTAAGACAGTATTATAGGCAGAATAAATGTATCAGTCTTTTTTCACACTGCTATGAGTACCTGACTCCTGTAATCGCAGCACTTTGAGAGGCTGAGGTGGGCAGATCACCTGAGTCCAGGAGTTCATCACCAGCCTGGCCAATATGGCGAAACCCCATCTGTACTAAAAATACAAAAATTAGCCAGGCCTGGTGTCTCACACCTGTAGTCCCAACTCCTCAGCAGGCTGAGGCAGAAGAACTGCTTGAATCCAGGAAGCAGACGTTGCAGTGCACCAAGATTGCATCACTGAACCCCAGCCTGGGTGAGAGAGTGGGACTCTGTCTCCAAAAAAAAAGAAATACCCAAGACTGTGGTAATTTATAAAGAAAAGAGGTTTAATTGACTCACAGTTTCATATGGCTGGGAAGGCCTCAGGAAACTTACAATCACCGCAGAAGGAGAAAGAGAATTGGAAGCAAATACCTTCTTCGCAAGGCAGCAGGAAAGAGAGAGAGAGTGAAGTGAGAACAGCCCCTTCTAAAACCATCAGATCTCATAAGAACTCACTCACTATGATGAGAACAAACTAGGAAAACAAATCCCATGATCCAATCACCTTCCACACGAGGTCCCTCCCTTAATACCTGGGGATTACAGTTCGATATGAGATTTGTGTGGGGACACAAAGCTGAGGCATATCAGTAAGTGTTCCTTCAACTAAACAAGCTTAATTACAATGAAGCCCTTTGTGCTCATCTTTAACCTCCTCCCACACAGTCTTAAATAAAACAAACCACACATGAACAGTCTTCAGGGAGGACACTGCAGAAAAGCAGAGACACAGAAATGTAGCAATAACAAACTCTGGCTATCCTTGGCATTTATAGCACAAGAACAGACTTTATATAGATACTCAAATGGATTTACAGACATAGGTGACTGTCAGCCTTAGAGATGTGCCACCAGAAGCTCTCAAGTCACTGACTAGCTTTAAGGGCTACAGTTGGCTGGCAGCCTCCAACTGCAATGCCTCAAGACCAGCTGTTGAGTTTATATGGAAGTCACACTCTTCTTGGGGGAGCTCCTAGCCAAGGTGGAATATGGTTACCAACACTAGGGTGTGTCCACTTCTGTCTTCTGTGTTGCTGCCCTGTGAACAGTCTTTATGCTGGAGACCCCTGGGCTGGCTGAACATTCCTCAGAGACACAATGTCACCTGAGGATCTTCCTACTGAATCGTCCTCCACTCCCACTTCCCTTCACAGATTTCAGACTGCACTGTGGTCAAATGCCCCCCAGGTCCAAAATAACAGCCCCAAACATCTCCACACATCTTACACAACCTTATCCAAGTTGTACTGTACTTACTTGAGACACAATAATAATTTTTAAAAAATTGTAGAGAAATACTTTGCTCCAAAATTCTGTTATTTTCCTGGTTTTCTAATAGTTTATTTATTTGAACAGTTCTATGGAGTTACAAGGTATGACTAGCTTGTCTTTTTAATGGAATACCTATCACATATGGCTCAGGAAAAAGTGATTACAGATCATGCTCTTTTCATGCAATATTTGTTTAGCAAATTAAATTTGTTAAGCCACATTAGCTCAATGATATGAAAATTTTAATAATGTTAGATCTATAAATTGTAGGAAAAATGAATTAGAATTTCAAAATGTGTTTAGTTCCAAGGAATTGGATTACTTGTGTATGTTTCATCTGGAGAGATAAATGATGTTCTAAATTACTGCCCATATTAGCCGTTTAATTTCATTCTTGTTTTAGTAATTTTTATTTTTCAACATATTTAAAACATTAAAGATAATCAAAAAGTTTCATGCAGAGTATTTCAAAATATTACTTTGATCTGGTGATCTATATGTTTTAGATATAAATATTGTTAAGATTAAGGATAATAACAAAATATTTGCTCTATGACAAACAGCAGTCTATACTCTTTGCATATATTAACTCATTTAGCCTTAGACACATTTTAAAGCTTAAATATAATCATTATCCTCTTAACACACATTTTATTGATTATTCTGATCTAGACAGTTAAATGTTTTTAATGTTAATCTTGTCATGATTTAGGATAACAATACAATAAACTGTTCTGAACACTTGACAAATAGTATCTCATGCTCCTTATACATATTAACTCATTTAGCCTCATACACATTATATAATTTAGGCATAATCATTATCCACAAGGTAAAGATTAAGGAACTGAGAGAGGTATGTTGCCGGTGTGACTAGCTGGAGCCAATGTTTTGTGATGTAAAGGAATTTACCAAGACAGTTGTAAGTAATGAAAGCCAGATTTATTAGAGAAAGTATGAAAATACATTGCAAGGGTGCAACAGGCAGCACAGCAGAGAAGGGACTGTCTGTCAAGAGGCAGGGGCTGGAGGTAAATTTTATACGAGTGTGCTGGTGGAGGCTATGGGTGGAATGAAGTCATGCGGTTGGGGTTATGTGCACAGGGAGGTAGTTGTGTCAGTGGGATGTTTGTGATTGGCTGTCTCTCAATACAGTTCTTCTACTCTTCTCCCTCACCAGGCCAGGGGCCTTCACTCATCTTGAACACTTCCCCACCTGGGGCTCCTTCTTTGTTGTTGATTATCAAGACTCCACAAGGTGAAACAAGAGGACAGAACAGAAAGCTCTACAGATTGTCCCCGCAGCAAAGACACCAATTTAACAAATATTTACACAGAAAAAAACACCTGCATAGAACAAAAAATCAAGTGAGCTCTCAAAGGACCTGGTTTTAACTTCATATGACTCAAAGAGACACTGAAGAGATTGAAAAAGCAGTCCTGAATTACCAATGCTATCCACCCCATGTCACACAGTGGTAGCACTGAACTCAGTGCTGTTCTATTACAGCAGAAAAGAAAATCAGACTGCTGTCACCACTGTCAACTCAACATAATACTGGAAGTCCTAGCTAGAGCAACTAGACGAAAGAAAGATGTAAAGGGCATCCAAATTGGAAAGGAAAAAGTCAAATCATCCATATTTGCAGATGATATAATCTTGCATTTAGAAAAACCTAAAGACTGTACAAAAAACCTATTATAACTAATAAACAAATTCAGTAAAGTTGCAGGATACTAAATCAACCTACAAAAATCAGTAGGATTTTTATATGCCAACAGTGAACAAAGTAAAAAAGAAATTTCAAAAGTAATCCCTTTATAATAGCCACACATAAAATATAATATCTAGGAATTAATGAAAGAAGTGAAAGATTTCTATAATAAAAACTATAAAACATTGATGAAAGAAATTGAACAGGACACCAAAAAATGGAAAAATATTTCATGTATATGGATTGGAAGAATCCATGTAAAACCTCCTCTTTCCCCCAAACAACACCTACAACTTACAGCGCTAAGTGTAACTATTCTAGGATTCTTAATGGCCTTAGAACTGAGCCTTAGAGCCAACAGACTTAAAATAAGACTCCCGTTACACACAATAACTTCTCTAACATATTAGGATTTTACTCGAATCAAAGCAACCTGCAGATTCAATGAAATTCTTACCAAAATGCCAATGACATTCTTCACAGAAATTGAAAAACAATCTTAAAATCTAAAATTTATATGGAACCATGAAAGACACAGCATAGCCAAAGCTATCATAAGCAATGAACAAAACTGGAGTAATCAGATTACCTGACTTCACATTATACTACATATACAGCTATGGTAACCAAAACAGCGTGGTACTGGCATAAAAGCAGGAACATAGACCAGTGGAACAGAGTAGAGAACCCAGAAACAAATCCATACACCCACAATGAACTCATTTTTGACAATGTTGCCAAGCATATACACTGGGGAAAAGACGGTCTTTTCCATAAATGTTGTTGGGAAAACTGATATCCTTATTTAGAAGGATAAAACTAGACCCCTATATCTCACCATATAAAAAATTCAAATCGAAATGGATTAAAAACGTAACCATAAGACTTCAAATAATTAAACTCCTACAAGAAAACATTGGGAAATGTCTCCAAGACATGGTCTGGGCAAAAAATTTTTGAGCAGTACTCCACAAGCACAGGCAACAAAAGCAAAACTGAACAAATGGGATCACATCAAGGTTAAAACCTGCTGCACAGCAAAGGATGCAATCAACAAAGTGAAGAGACAACCCACAGAATGGGAGAAAATGCTTGCAAACTATCCATCTGAGAAGGGATTAATAACGAGAATAGACAAGGAGCTCAAACAGCTCTCTAGAAAAAAAATCTAATAATACAATCAAAATGTGGCCCAAAATTTTGAATAGACATTTCTGAAAAGCAGACATACAAATGGCAAATAAGCATGTGAAAAGGTGCTCAACGTCACTGATCATCAGACAAATGCAAATTGAAACTGCAATGAGATATCATCTCACACCAATTAAAATAGCTTGTATCCAAAAAACAGGCAATAACAAATGTTGGTGAGGATGTGGAGAAAAGGGAACTGCTCGTTGTTGGCAGACCTGAAATCAGGACACCCACTATGGAGAACAGTTTGAAAGTTTCTGGCTGGGTGCGGTGGCTCATACCTGTAATCCCAGCACTTTGGGAGACGGGGGGCAGGCAGATCACGAGATCAAGTGATCGTGATCATCATGGCTAACATGGGTGAAACCCTGTCTCTACTAAAAACACGCAAAAAATTAGCTGGGCGTGGTGGCGGGCGCCTGTAGTCCCAACTACTTGGGAGGCTGAGGCAGGAGAATATCATGAACCTGGGAGGTGGAGCTTGGAGTGAGCCGAGATCGCGCCACTGCACTCCAGGTTAGGCGATAGAGCAAGCCTACCTCACAAAAAAGAAAAAAAAAAAGTTTCTAATAAAACTAAATTTTAGGCTACTGTATGATCCAGCAATCCCACTACTGATATATACCCAAAAGAAAGGAAATCAGCGTATCGAAAACACGTCTTCATTCCAATGTATGTTGTAGCACTGTTTACTAACATGTGGAAGTAAGCTAAGTGTCCACCAACACCACCTGATGAATAGATAAAGAAAATGTGGTACATATGCACAATGGAGTACTATTCAACCATAAAAAGGATGAGATTCAGCTGTATGTAACATTATGGATTGAACTGGAGATCATTATTTTAAGTGAAATAAGCCAGGCACAGAGAGACAGCATCACATGTTCTCACTTATTTGTGGGATCTAAAAATCAAAGCAATTCAACTCATGGGGACAGTAGAAGGATGGTTACCAGAAGGTAGGAAGGTTAGTGGGGGCTGGGGGGAAGGTGGTGATAGTTGAGGGGTACAAGAAAATAGTTAGAATGAGTAATGTCTCCTGTTTGATGGCACAACAGGGTGACTACAGTCAATAATAATGATACATTTCAAAATAAAGAGTGTAATTGGATTGTTTACAATTCAGTGGATAAGTGATTAAGGGGATGGATGCCCCATGTTTCCTGATGTGTTACTGCACGTTACATGCCTGTATTGAAACATCTCAGGTACCCCATAAATATATACACCTACTATGTACCCACAAAAATTGAAGACAAAAGAAAATTGAAAAGAAAGAAATTGAGGCACAAAGTGGTTAAGTAACCTTCCCAAAGTAACACAGCCATAGATGGTAGAGCCTGGATTTGAACCAAGAAAAGCAAATGCTTTTGCGTGAATCAAGAAAAGCAAATGCTCACTTATCTTAAGCCACATCAGTTAAACATGCAGTCTCTGAATGTGTGTACATATGTAAATGTATCATCGCACTTGCAAACTGAGTAATTTTAAAATGAACATATATATATGTTTATTGTTTTATTTAAATAAATGTATCAGAACATTAAAATCCAAATGCTTAGAGCCCTTGTCAAAGTACTCAACTTGAATAATCAAGGGACATTCAGGCTACCAATACTCAGATTGGCAACCTGCCCTCACTTTTTCAAATGATTCTCTGGTTGTAGGAGAGTTTCTGGAAGCAATATAATCAGTTAGTAAGCTATATAAGCAAGTCTGTCTCAGCAGTCACATCTATCTGGTTTTAGACAATTTTTTTTTTCTTTTTTAAGATAGATTCTTGCTCTGTCAGCAGGCTGGAGTGCAGTGGCACGATCTTGGCTCACTGCAAGCTCTGCCTCCTGGGTTCAAGCGATTCTCCTACCTCAGCCTCCTGAGTAGATGGGATTACAGGCATCTGCCACCACGCTGGCTAATTTTTATATTTTTAGTGGAGATAGGGCTTCACCATGTTTGCAAGGATGGTCTCGATCTACTGACCTCATGATCCACCTGTGTCATTATCTCACAGTGTTGAGATTACAGGTATGAGCCAGAATTTTCCAGTTATGCTTCAATCATTTTGTCAGCTGTCTTGTAGTATGTTATTGATAAGCATCTATTAAGCATAGAGTCACATATAATGTAATTATGTGTCCCTCTGTCAAACCCTGGACCTATTAAAATATCAGTGTGACTCTAACACTACACTGACCTAGCAAGTATTACATGTTAGACTACAGCTTAGAGAAAAAGAATACAAATTACATGAAATGTTGATCATTTACTTCCCTACAGGATATTCAACAAAATACCCTAAACTTTTGAAGGCAACTCCAAAATAGCTATCTCTTTCATTTTCTGGAACTATGATAGAGTCCTTATTAAGGTACCTTCTCAACTCTTCAGCCATGCCCTGGAATTCCACTGGCCAGGACTGAGAACAGAAATCATGTTGTTGTCACATGTTACCTCACCCTCGGGAATGGAGTGGGTATTATTCCACATTGTCTTGTACAACCTACTACTTAACAGTTTAGATACCTGTATTGCATTGGTTATCATCTTTCCCACTCCTTAGAGTGCAGACTACCTGGTTTATTCATTATGTCCGCAATGTCTATGAAAATATCAACACACAGAGCTCTCTCAGTTGATATTGATAAACAAATACATTCAGGAAACACATTCACCAATTATGTAAACAGTTGGTAACCTCTTAACCTGCATTGAAGAAAACACTTACTTGAAAGAACGAGTACTGATAGGTGTGTTAAAAAATATATCCTATTACTTTATAGACATCCTTGCCATTCATGAATTTAACATTTCTAATATTGAAGCCCCTGGCATGTCATAATTTATAAATTTATTAATACTCAGATTCCATCCCAGCATGGTTGATAAAAATAGTGGGTGAGAAGAAGTCATTTCAGTAAATAACCTAATAGCAATATCTTGTAAATAACCAAACACCAATATCTAATATAATCTTTGGTCTCTTATCTATAACTATTATGTGCAGAAATGTTACTCATGAGTCTAGATTGCTGATAAGATGTCTGGAAACAAAATATGTAAAAAGGAGTCATGTATATTACATAATATTAGGTAACTTACTATGTATGCACTTAAATTATTGGCAGCTCTTTTATTAGGTTATAGCTTACATTGGTAGGCTTTGATATAATGTTTTGTATTAAAATTTGAGAAAGAAATTTCTACAAAGTAAATTACAAAATGCTTTTACCTACGTGTGTGAACATATCATACATATAATTTTATATAGGTAGTCAATTTTTAATTCCTATTTGTATTTAAATTTTAATTCATATTTCTATTTAAATTGTCTATGATAAACATGTATTTCTTTGGAAATCAGAATTTTTTTTTTTTTTTGAGACCAAGTCTCACTCTGTCACCCAGGCTGGAGTGCAGTGGCGTGATCTCAGCTCACTGCAACCTCCACTTCCTGGGTTCAAGGGATTCCCCTGCCTCAGCCTCCCAAGTAGCTGAGACTACAGGCACCTGCCACCATGCCTGATTAATTTTTTGTATTTTAGTAGAGATGGAGTTTCACCACGTTGGCCAGGATGGTCTCAATCTCCTGACATCATGATCTGTGAGCCTTGACCTCTCAAAGTGCCGGAATTACAGGCATGAGCCACTGAGCCCGGCCAAAACTTTTTTTTTTCTTAAAAAACTGAATTCCAGCCAGAATAGAAAGAACTTATATTTGCTGTGTGAAATGAACAGTCCATGGGGAGTGTCTATGTATCCACACACAAACGTAATTCTAAAGCCTACCTTCCTATCCTAAAGGTTACATTAGTAGTAGCTTTAATTTTAATATCTAATGAATAGATTATTATACTACCTAATGTAGAAATGATCTCGTGTTCATTTTTAACCTTTAGTTCGCTTTGCTAAAAAATAAAATGAATCCATAATGTGGGCTTAATAAAGTAATGACTATTTGGTAATCCAGTGAACATTGTAAATAAAAATTAAAAACAGTCTAAACAAGTAGCTATATGACTGTTTGATTTTTTAAATTTTGGACAAATTCAAATTCATCTATGTTTAAAATCAATAAGAGCTCTGCAGAATCAACGTAAAAGATACATGAGACAAGAGAGAAAAAAATGACAAACACTAATCTAAGTTATTCTCTTTTCAATCTTTATCAATTTAATTTTGCACTGAGATTTCAATCATGACTCAGATAAGTAAGAAGCCCTTGCCATGCAACACAGGTAGTTGCAAGCAGATGATAACATTTGACCTGAAAACTTTCTGACACCTTCCTGATGTTGGTCTGGGAAAGGGTAAAACACAGGTAGGTGGGAGAATCAGCTGGTTTCTCAATGGATTAAGGCCACATGAAATTGAGACCTCCTTGGCTCTTTCAACCCAGGGAGTTGTGGCTTCTAGCTGGCAATTACTTACCTGGGTCTGTGATTTGCAATATCCAATTCTCATCAGTCTGCAAGGGGCAGACTGGAAACAGTTACAGAAAAACACCTTGAAGACAAGAAATCCACTTGCAACCCACCTGGCATCAAATTTTTGGGGGGATTTTGAATGTAATTTTGGAGGTCACATGAGTCCTATTCTGAAAGTCATTAATAAAACTAAAGGCAAAAATTTCTAAAAATCTCCTGTGCTTAATTGCTACTATCTGAGGTTATTTAACCTTCAGAGCTGAGGGCTGCCAGGTTTGGTCATGATGTGAACACTAAGAAGGAGAGAAAGTAGATCCCCTGGAATGGAAGTAAGAGATGCTAAGTGAGAATCCACAAGACCTTGGAAATCCAAAGAGGACACATGGTTTCTGGCAGCTTTCCACTTCCTAGTGCCAATTCCCTAGACATCCCCGCCTTTCTCGGGTTCTGTATTATTATTTTTTAAATTGACAAATAAAATTTTATGTATCTATTATATATAATATGTTTTGAAATATGTTTACATTGTGGAATGCTACTCTGACTTAATTAACATGCATTATCTCACATACCTAACATTTTTTGTGATGAGAACACTTAAAATCTACTTTTTTAGCAAGTATATTCTAATAATATTTTTCCTTATCCACATATAATTTCTGTTTTTTTCTCTCAGCAACCAAAGCAGTTGTAAATAAGTCAATGAATCTCAGGAATAAAAACATTTTTTAAAAAGACAATAATTAATTATTTGTTCTTTCATGTTTTGAGTCGTATCTAATAATCACAACAGTCTCATTTCATGCAGAGCAGAAAGTTTCTTTTCTCCCCATTTTCTGTGGGATGTTAACTGGGAATATTGGAAAGCATCCCTGAGCAGGGCCAGCTTCATAGGTCGTAGCTGGCCCAGTCAAACAGGGCCCCATGCTCAGAAGGACCCCATACATGGACCCCAGGATCTGCTCTGCTCATGTTATATATCAGTGTCCCCACTGGATGTCCCTTAGGAAACGCAAATTCAGGCCGGGCGTGGTGGCTCACGCCTGTAATCCCAGCACTTTGGGAGGCCGAGGCGGGTGGATCATGAGGTCAGGAGATCGAGACCATCCCGGCTAACAAGGTGAAACCCCGTCTCTACTAAAAATACAAAAAATTAGCCGGGCGTGGTGGCGGGCGCCTGTAGTCCCGGCTACTGGGGAGGCTGAGGCAGGAGAATGGCGTGAACCTGGGAGGCGGATCTTGCAGTGAGCTGAGATTGTGCCACTGCACTCCAGCCTGGGCGACAGAGAGAGACTCCGTCTCAAAAAACAAACAAACAAACAAACAAAACAAAACAAAAAAAAAGAAAATACAAGTTCAAACATAAAATTGCTACAGATTTCAAGATGGCCACAGCGGAGCCATGTATCCTTTCGGAATTTCACTGTGGCTTCTAGCTCAGACTGCTGAACCACTTTTACCTATTCTTTTTGTGGTTTTCCAAATAAGGAATGCATCTGTGTACTTTTGGGATATTATGTTATTTTTGTTAGAAATTTAGTGAAGATGTTGTAAAGAACATTTTTGAACGTTTATGTCAATAGTATATTTATTTACGGCTTTAAAGAAAATATGATCCTTAGAGGATGTCCACTAAATGGTGATTATACTCTTTCAAAGATTACATTTGGAACCCTTCACATATTAAATTAAAATGAAGCTTATAAAATCAATGTCACATTTTAAAAATGTTTCTCTTTAATAGAAATAATTTGATACTTAGTTTCAACATCATGTTAAAAGACCTAAAGATCATCATATATTATCAGATACGTTGAGTCGTAAATAAATTATATTTCTAAAGGATGTCTATTTTGAATTATCTTTTCAGACTGCTATGGTCTGAATGTTTGTGTCCCATTCCAAAAATGTATTTGTTGAATCTTATCCCCCACAATGATGGCATAAGGAGCTGGTGCCTTTGGGGTGCAGGAGGTCCTGAGGGTGGAGCCTCATGAATGGGATGAGTGCCCTTATCAAAGAGGCCCCAGAGACCTCCCTCACCCCTTCCACCATGTGAGGATGGGGCAAAAGTTTCTATCTATAAACCAGGAAATAGGGCCACACAAAACACTATCTGCTAGTGACTTATCTTGGAATGCTTGCTTGTCTTCCAGAACTGTGAGAAACACATTTCTATTGTTATAAGCCACCCAGTTTTGGGTATTTTGTTACAGCAGCCTGCCTGGACAGACTAAAACAGAGAAATTCTTTTCTGTTATCAAAGAAAAGTCTTATTTTGTTTTACATAATATAAACATATATGTTTGTATATATATTTGTAATATATATAATATGGTGTATATATATGTAATACAAAATTTTTGAAAATACATTACTCCTTTTAGAAAGAATTTGCCCTGTGTTCCTTTAGGTAGTCAGTTCTTGAAGCCTATTTCTAATAGAGGGAAAATGGCTATGTACAATGTAAAAAGCATTTACATTAGTAAGATGGGTTTGGCTTGGAAGCTTTAGAAACTCAATTCCAACTAGCTTAAGTAAAACAAATAGAAAAAGGTAGGTGTAGTGAGGAAAGGTAAAATATAAAACATATTGTTTGAAGACTTTGAAAGCTAACCTGCTCTGTCTTATACTTATCTAAAATGCCAGTTGCAAGCACTGAAATCAAATAATTCTAATACAACAACAGAAACACTCAGGAAATCTTCATTATGTCTATTTTTCAGTGCAATATATAATATTATATTTGCATCCACAGGCTCAAGAACTGCAACTACACCTAGATGCCTCTCTCTTTCTTTTTTCTTTTCTTTTTTTTTTTTTTTTCCTCTCTATCTCATTCTCAGCTCTGGATCCCTCTAAGCCACCTCTGTTTTCCGGCTGTCTCTCTCCACATAGTGGCATTCACACATGACCTTTTTCATCTCTTCCATCATTTTGTCCCTGGAGATGGAGACCTATGGGAAGGAAATAGCCCCTCTTTCTACGGTTTTGGAGGGGGAGTTCTACTCCAAGACTGCAAAAGTTCCTTTCTCTGAATTCCATGGTGGTCTCAAGACAACATATTGCTTAAACTAAGCACAGAGCGCATGTTATCATGAGTTATTACCTTAAAGCCCCCATGTAAAGGGCAGTGCTCTTGCAGTGTGGTCACATTCCCCCGAAATTAAAGTGCATGCATCCAATCTCCACAGTTCATTGAGAGTGGTTTGCAGCATTTGGGGAGGAGGTGACAAGAGGAGTTATCAAGCAGGAGGGAGAATAAGCATATTGAATACACATGACAAGAGATTTGTTGTTTTTTTTTTTTAAAAAAGCAAAGCATTTGTAATGTTGACCAACAAGAGGTATTGAGGTGCTAAGATGAGAAGACTGGAAAGTGAAATAACACCACAAGGAGTGTAGACTGGAAGAACTGATTAGACTCAAAGATTCTGAAATACCATCCTGTCCCTGGAGCCAAGGTGTGGACAAGCATCCCTTATCCATGTTGATTTCTCCTCCTTTATGGGATACAGGATAAAATCTCCTGGGAGGGAGCACTGGAGAGGAAAAGGAGCCATCAAGCTGGGGCACTTTGTTTCTGTGCTGAGTGCTACTGTAGGCACCTCCCAGAGCTAAAGGTTTCTTACTTTGTAGCTGGTGAGCACAACCAGGGCATCTATGTGTGGCTTTGCAATACCACATCATCACACTTCTGTAATTACATGTCAGATGTCTTTCTACTCACTGGCCTCTGCATCCTGGATGATAAGGGCTGAATTCTTTCAACTGTGTATGCCCTGTATCAATGCAACACTTGTTATATAAGAGATGTTAGATGTTTAATAAATATATGATAAATGGCCAAATAAACCAGTTTGAACTAATTACAAAGGAAAATAGAAGAGCAAAAATTAGCAAATTACAGAAAAAATGTTTTAAATGGTAATTAAACTACTATATATTCAGAATCACAGTGGTAATTTACTTAAATCCAACATCCAAAACAAATATTTATTGATCTATACTACATGCCAAGTGCTATGCTTGGTAATGAGATAACAAAGACAAATGTGAATGAATATGATATTCTTCCTTACATTAGAAAGCTGAACTATTTTGTTTTATTTTTAGAGATGAGGTCTCACTATGTTGTCCAAGCTGAAGATGAACTCTTAGTCTCAAGAGATCCTCCCAGCTCAGCCTCTTGAGTGACTGAGACTACAGCCACATGCCACCTCACCCAGCTGGGAGCTGAACTTTTAATTAGTTACATGGATATATGATACGAGGCAGACAGGAATAAGGAGAAAACAAGTTTAAAATTTTAAGAGTTAAATTGGGCCAGGCGCAGTGGCTCATGCCTGTAATCCCAGCACTTTGGAGGGCTGAGAAGGGAGGATCATGAGGTCAAGAGATCGAGACCATCCTGGCCACCACCCCCAGCTAATTTATGTATTTTTAGTAGAGCCCGAGTTTCACCATGTTTCCATAACTATATTTACTTTTTGAAGAAGAGGACTCCTAGAGGGTCACTTCTTCCTTTTTATGCAATCTTCCCTTGGCCTGTGGCAAATCCTAAGCTTTGGAATTAGGTACACTTGGTTTAGAAGTCTCAGCAAATTTAAAAATATATTGTGTGATTTGTAACTAACCTGATTTGGAAATACTGCAATAATAGTCATTTATACTTAAGAAATTCTGCCATGTTAAGATATTAAATAACTTACCTGAATTGGAGACTTGATGTCATCATATTCTCAGATTAGTTTACCTGCTATTATTTATTTTTTTGCACTAAATGGGAGAGTGGGTTGTTTTGTCTGATTGTGTTGGCATAATGAAAAATGTCTTTTATCTGGTGCTCCCATGGAAAGGGAGAAAATAATTATCTTTGTTTACTTAGGGCATCCTCATTTGTTCTTCTTCAAAATAAATTTTCAGCCAAAGTAACCTTTGACTTACATTTGTTTGATTTACTTTATTTTTAGCATTTGAAATAACCCACCTGTAGGATAGCCTTGAGTTATTTTTATCAACTGTTTCTACCTACTCAGATTCACGTTCGCTCAGTTCTCACTGATGGTGTAAGTTCCTCAAGCTTTTTACTGTTGTGACAAATACATGTGTAATTAATCTTTCTCTGAGCTTTTGCATTCATAATTAAGAGGAGCACCTGACGTTGGGCATATTTTAGGTGGTAGGCAAATTTAGACATTAATGTGGAAGAGCTCAATGCTGTAATTCTTTTTCTCAGCTCTCACAATTTGCAAGGAAGCCATGGTGCTAGACTCTGTGGGGAACTCAAAGATGAGTAAGTCTGGGCTATGGAGAATATTGAATATAATTGAAATTAGTACAAGGAAATCGGGAAGATGGGCAGTCTAGCTCAATAGAATGAACACACATTTTGTAGGGCTACCCTGATTTCTCACCTAGAAGCTTCCAGCAGCCTATATCCACTCAAGCTCCCTGCAATCCACCCACCTCATAGCACTCAGAGTGATGTCACCCAAAGGCACATCCGATCACCTCATTTCCCCCTGGGGCAAGGACTCTCTGTTGACTTAGGATAATGTGGCCCAAATTTCTCAGCATGCATTACAAGGCCCCATTTGACGTAGCCCTACTTGTGGCACACCATGGGGACACATTTCAACTCTGTGCCCCTCTCTGAATTGTTCTTGCTGTTGTTTTTACTATCCTCTGCTTTCACCTTCATCCTCTTTCCAACTCCTGTTTATATTTAAGTCTCAGCATGAATATCAAATTGGAGAGAAACCTTTGGGAACCCACGAGGTTGTAGGTTGACACCCACTGTATTGATTTCATGTTACTACTTTGATGAAGGACCTTTAAGTTAGTGGCTTAAAACAGCATGTGTTTATCATCTTCCAGCTCTAGAGGTCCTAAGAGTCTGGTCTAAAATGAATATGTCCATGCTCACTCTCTCCAGAGGTTCCAGGGAAGAATCCATTTCCTTACCTTTTTGGGTTTCTGGAGGGTGCCCAGACTTCTTGGTTCCTGACCCCTTGCTTGATTTCTAAAGCTGTAAGCACAGCATCTTCAAATCTCTCTAACTCTGGCTCTCCTACCTCTCTCTTTCCCTTACAAGGACACTTGTAATGACCTTGGGCCTTGTCAGGTCATCTAGGATTATTTCCTCATCTCAAGGTCCTTAATTGCACCTACGAAGTTCCTTTTGACATAGAGGGTCTCCTAGTCACAGGTTCCAGGTACTAGAATGTGGACATCTTTGTGGGGAGTGGAGAGACTGCTGCAATAGTACAGCCACTTAACTGAAATTCTGCAATGTTAAGACATTGAATAATTTACCTGAATTTGAGACTTGATGTCATCATATTCTCAAATGAGTTTACCTGTTGTTATTTATTTTTTGCACTAAATGAGAGTCAAACACACCCTCATGGGGGCTCTCATGGCCTCTGTGACCTGCTCTTGGAGGCACTTATGAATCTCATGAGCACAGGTTCTTTGTATCTTGTCCTCTCCAAGTCCGAGTGCCTAGCCAAGCACCTGGTGCCCAGTTAGTTGCTAAATCAATTCATTGTTTAATAAAAAACAGACTTGGGTGTAAATCCTGGCTCTGAGATGCATTTTTAATGAGATACTGGGATACATACTTGAACTCTCCAATCCTCTGTTTTCTTCTCTGTCAAGTGGGATGGTTATACCCACCTTGCAGGGTGATGTGAAGATTAACTGACCGTGTCACCTCTGTAGATCCCAGTACAGGGTAGACACAAACACCCCTGAAAGACTTATAAAATGCCAGTGCCCAACACGAATCTCTGAAGACTGATTCAGCCTATGCAAACCGTAGGAATCGCCATTCTTATTTCTGTCACTGGTGCTGTCATTTGTAATCAGACCAGTTGCAGGGTTGTAATCAAACTGCTACTGAGACCACAAAATTGGGGTGAGAGAGAAGATTAATTGCACTGAAGAAACCTTTTGAGAAAAATGTGCTCAATTAAAATTCCGATTAAGTCTTCAAGTATTTTTCAGATGGGGACAAAGGCCATTTAAGGTGGTTTACAAAGGAAAAAACAAACAAACAAAATGATTAGGATTATGAGAATGTATAACTGGCAAAGGGCCTGAGAGAATGGTGGATGAGGTCCCTGCCAGGTGGAGAATTTGCATACCTTTAATAGTGTGACACTCTACTTTTGCTGTTGGGTCTGTGGAATCCCAAGTTTTATAAGTGGAATGATTTCTTTCTTTACAGTATATAGGGACACTTTTAAATTTTATTTTTAATTTTATTTATTTATTTATTAGCTGGAGTCTGGCTCTGTCACCCAGGCTGGAGTGCAGTGGCATAATCTCGGCTCACTGAAAGCTCTACCTCCCGAGTTAACACCATTCTCCTGCCTCAGCCTCCCTAGTAGCTGGGACTATGGGCACCCACCACCACACCCAACTAATTTTTCGTATTTCTAGTAGAGATGGAGTTTCACCGTGTTAGCCAGGATGGACTCAACCTCCTGACCTCATGATCTGCCCACCTCGGCCTCCCAAAGTGCTGGGATTACAGGCATGAGCCACCACACCCAGCCTTAATCTTCTTTTTTTAAGAATGTAACCAATTTACCTAGAAGTTTGCTGAAGAAATCAGAAAGCAGTCATTCGGGGCAGTAACACTGGGTTATGACTTCATGGCCCAGCTAAGGTATACACAGTACATTTTTCCCAAAAGTACGTGAAAACAGAGTGTTGAGGACTGTCTGTACAAACTGTGGCAAGGTCAGCATTCTCTCCTGTAAAATATTTACAAGGTGTTCAATAATTAAGGGTGAATAATGCAGATTGTTTTTGTTCTTTAGAAGTGGATTCTTCCTTTCAATGTTCACGAACTGGCCCAGAACCTACTTCAAGTATCCATCACCAACAGCAAAATCAGAGAAAATCACTTAGTCTCCAATTTTTCCTCCAGGGAAGGCCTCATTAATGTAACAAAGGCACATTTCCTGTTTGAAGAAATCAGCAAGTGCTGATTTCAACATTTCCTAAAATATAATGAGCATTGCCACGTTCTTTAGATCCTGTCTCTCTTATCAGACCAGATAGATGTTTAAGTGCTCTGTACATTATGTGTTTGATGAAAGCATTGACCAGGATCCCTCCTGATGCAGCCTCACAATGCACTGTGATCCAAAAGCTCCCTGTACTTGTTCAGTGTTTTCCTGCAATGTTCAGATCTCATGTTGATTATGCGAAGCAAGTCACTGATGCAGTTTAGTAGCAATAATAATTCCTGAAATTTATGTGGCTAATAATTTGGAGTGTATGTAAGGTTTTTAACATGTACTCTCTTATTCTATCCTTCAAGTCCTTTTGTAAGTTAGGTAGGACTGGTTTTATTGTGACCCTTTAATGTTTTTGTTTTTCTTGAGACGGTGTCTCACTCTGTTGCCCAGGCTGGAGGGCAGTGGTACGATATTGGCTCACTGAAACCTTCCAGCTCCTAGGTTCAAACAAGTCTCCTGCCTCAGCCTCCTGAGTAGCTGGGATTACAGGTGTGCACCATCACAACTACCTAATTTTTGTATTTTTAGTAGTGATGGGGTTTTGCTTTGTTGGTCAGGCTGGTCTTGAACTGCTGACCTCAAATGATCTGCCTGCCTTGGTCTCCAAGGTGCTGGAATTACAAGCATGAGCCACCATGCCCGGTCCCTTTTATGTTTTTATCAGAGAAGTGATTGGAAAGATTTTATGTGATGTCCACACCTCGGTGACCAAGATTATCCTGCATGGTAGTGGGAACCAATTCTGGTAACCAAGTCTCTTAACTTTTCAATCTAATGTTCTATTTTGTTTCTCCATTTTGTTCTGATGTCTTTGTATCCAAACACATTTGAAAGTTGGTTGGTTGAGAATTCATTATCTCTAGGATATACTTCAGCTGACTGATTTCCAAATACCAATGTGCTCGCTGTGCTAATGCAGTGAATATTTGTAGGATGGAAAGGGTGTACTTCCTTGGAATTTTTTCTTGTTTTTCCCTCTAGTGCAAATATTAAGCTTCAGGTAATATGGAGGATGTATGTTTTCATACAGCAGAAGGTACTTTTCTATAATCCTATTACAATATTATGTAGACTTCACAATGTAAAGGGAACAGATGGCCACCCATGCTGAGTGGTCTTAAATTGTCAAAGTCCAGTACAGACAGATAAGGCTTGCAGTAGGTAGACATGCATCTTCTGGTTTAGCTAGGAACAGATTGTGTAAGCTCCCAGAGGCAGGGAATTCTCTGGTTTGCTCACTGCCGTGGCTCAGTACCTGCCACACTGCCAGCCTTTTTGTGGGCACTATGTAATATGTGTGAAATGAATAGATATGATGCAAGGTGGCATCTGTTGAACTGACCCTAAATTGGGGCCAGTGTAACAGTGATTTTTTTTTTTTTAATCAATCAAAAGAAAAAAAAGAAGCTGGGCCCTTCATACTCAGTAACCTCGGCAAAATCACATAGCTGGTTGGGCCCCAGCTGTGACTGTGGTCCATGTGTCTAGCACTGTCCCCTAACTATACCCCACGCTGGATAAAATGCCCATCTTCCCTGTCAATCCCTTTTATGTGGCAGACAGAAGAATGACACCCAAAGCTGCCCTTACCCTAATTCCCAGAACCTGTCCAGAAGTAAACTTACCTGGCAAAAGGGATTCTGTAGATGTGATTACGTTAAAGGTCTGAGATAGGAGGATGATCCCATATTATCCAAGTGGACCCTAACTAAGTACATGAATCTTGAAAAATGGACACCTTTCCTGGATTCTGTTTACCATGGCTGGTTTGGAGATGTAGCAACCACATGCCAGGGGAGCACAAAGGCTTCTAGGAAAGCAGCTCCCCACTGACAGCAGCAAAGAAAAGGGGGCATCTGCCCTGTAACCTGTGGAACTGAATTCTCTGAACAGCTGACTGAGCAAGGAGACACATTCTCCCCCAGAGCCTCCAGAAAGAGACGCAGCCCTGCCGACCCCTGGATTTTCCCCAGTGAGACCCATACCAGACTTTGGACTGTCAGACTGTATGACAACACGTTTGTCTTGTTTGAAGGGGTTAAAGTTATAGCAATTTATTATAACAGCAATAGCAAACTATTGCTGTTAAGTAAACATGGCATATTTCTAGTTTGTTTGTTTGGGATAATAACTATTCAGAAAATTGGGGTAATTACTTGAGTCCATTGAGGAGGAGAGAAATTGTTGACACAAACATGTAATACTTTGTAAGGAGAATATTGAATAACTGACACTTACTATAGGTTCTACAAGAAACATTCTACATGTTTAGGAGGATATTTTAACCTATTTCAGAACTAAAAAGAAGGAAGGATGAATATTTCCTTGATACCAGATGGTGACTGTCAAACCATACGAAATCTATGACTGAAATACTTACGAAGCATTTAGCAGAAAAGAGTGAGAGTGCGGGAAGACTAGGGATGATGTAGCAAAGGAAGAAGCATGAAGGGGAATTAAAATAAACCCCCTGCCAAGTAGGGACATGATCAAGTATATATGTTCCCATGAAAGAAGAGGCTGGTGGGAGAATGTTGTTTGAGGTGGTACCATGGGGGATGGTGGTTCTGACCTATCAGCTGGGGTTGGGGAGGCTGCCTGAAGGTCACCCTTAGGTAGAGACAGGAGGATCTGAGTTCGTGAAGCCATGTGTTGAAGCAACTCAATGATAGATGGCTGTGGGTCACCCAGGGCTTGGCACACCTGGGTCTGAACACATGGCCTGGGGTCTTGATATGGTTTGGGTGTGTCCATGTTATGGGAGGGACCTGGTGGGAGATAACTGAATCATGGGGGCAGTTTCCCCCATCCCATACTGTTCTTCTCATAGTGAATAAGTATCATGACTTCTGATGGTTTTATAAGAGACTTTTATAAAATACCAGTGCCCAAGATGAATCTCCGAAGACTAATTCAGTCTGTGCAAACCATAGACGTCACTATTCCTATTTCTGTCACTGGTGCTGTCATTTGTAATCACGCCTGTTGCAGGGTCATAATCAAACTGCTATTGAGACCATAAAATTGGGGTGGGAGAGAAGTATTTCAATAAACAAGTGATTGAGATAGATGTCCATAAAATTGACCAAAAGATGAAAAAAAAAATCCATTGTGAGAAATCCAACATATGTATGCTGGCTCTGGTAAAAATATATATTTTATATTAAAATAAATTTGTTCCAGGGGCAATCTCAACCACTTATTAGCAGACAGATCTTTGGGCAACTTTGTCTTTCTGAGAGAAGGTTATGAGAGAATTAAATGAGACACTATATTTGAGGGAAAGTCTACTTCATGAGTGTATGGTCTGTGCATTTGCATGTGGCTCCACTATCCAAGGAGCCTCACCATTGGTTTAATGCTCTGCTGCCAACATCTTAATATTCTCCATACTTTCTGAACAAGAGGCCCTGCATTTTTATTTTGCACAGGACCCAGAAGTTATATGCCTAGTTCTGGCACCTCGCACCAGCATGGTGCAACAGAATCGTTTCACACATGGCTATTTCTTGCCTTCTTTCCTGCTGGAATCCCTGTGATATGCTATTATGCTTGCATTTGCCACTGCTGAAACCGGAGCCCCCAGAAGCTTTTTTGGGCACTTGTCAGGAGCCTGTTGCTATAGGAACTGTTAAAAACAGGCCCTGTGCCTTTGTAACCAATATGCTACCAACAACATTGGACAACCTTCTTTAGTCCCACTATTGAGGTAGGTGGAGGAGTGTCGGGTCCATTCCCACCACTGAGAAGGGAGAGAGATACACAACAGATGTTTGTTGAGTGTTAGCTCTGCCAAGGGTGGGACATACCAGGAGAGACACAAGTCCCTGTCCTTTCAGTGGGTATTTTGGTAATTAGGAAACAGGAGACATGACCAAGGAAGAACCACTGCATAAGAAAGCTATGGAAGTTCCCTATACCTGGTGCAGAAATAAACATGGCAAGAGTGGGTTCCAACTGTGTCGGGTCACATCTCAAAAGAGGATTTTCCTATGGAAATTGCTATGCTGGTGACTGAGTCTGTAATTTAGTTGCAGTTCAGAATAAATAGGCTCTTGAGAGCTGACCCAAATCAATGTAGTTGCATGCATTTTTATAATCAAATAGAGTAGCTATTTATTCAAAGCCTATTTATTCTGAGTTCTAAATAATTGTAAATGGATGATCCAGGAGTCAGGATTTGAGCCATAATTCATTTCTGAATAATGTATGATGAAAAAAAAATCTCATGAAATCCTTGACAGCAAACTGTTATAGAGTCCTTCACTTATCAGTTGAAAGATTATAGCTTAGAAAATATTCAGTATCTAATGCTGTATGTTTTCAAATAGAACACTAATGATTTGGAAACTACATGGCAAAATAAAACACTTACATTTCATAAAAGCTCTCAGAGCCCAGCTTCTTATGATGTAAGGAATGAAAGTTCCCTAAATGACAATCTTTTTCAATTTCTTAAGTGGGAGATAAAGCATAATTGGTGTCACTGCTTGCCAGGGCTCCATTACATATCCTGACTACATCATTGGAACATAAAATATGTCATTCCCTTTGCAAATCCTGGTGACATACATGAGAACATCTCTGAGTTGTGGGCTAACCTCCCCTATCATAATCAGAGGGCTTTGTTCCTCCAGAACATAGGAGTGCAACTGTAACATGATTTTTATGGTATACGATGGAACACTGCAAATAATTTATTTGTAACCTTTACATACTCAGGAATTTAGACCTAACTTAAATTTCAGTTTGTAATAACTTGTGTGTCTAATATTAAAATGCTGATTTTTACCCAAGGTAAATTGACTGATTCAGAGCATGTCAAGTTGTACCTATCTGTTTAGAGTCTTTTCAGGTATTAAAAATATTATCTTTTATGTAATTGTGTGCAGCTTGAAGTCTGTGAGACTTATTTACTGAGATTTGGATAGTCAATAACATGTCAGTTATATTGTCTGAATGTTAATGCCTGTAGTTACGAGATGCTTCTTTATTTTATTCATCTAGGTCCTCCTAGCCAGCAGTTTCATGCCCATACATGCATGATTGAAGCCAGCGGAATACAAAGGGCAGATAAAGTTATTAAAACTGAGGAATTACCCTCCTCTGATACTAATATGTTTCTTTTAAAACATTCAATTTTATAATTATTTTAATGGCTCCAAAATGTATGTTTTTTCCTCATAAATAGCTTTGTTTCTCTTTAAGAGGGAAAAATACAGAGACAGTGGTAACTTACGAAGATCTTGTGAATGAGAATGATTGGACTGTGATGCTCTTGTTTTCATCTTTAAAATATATATTTCTTTTTGTTGTTGTTAGCAGTGAACGATTTTTTTTCCACCTAGTAAAGTCATACTCACAGCCCCTCTTAAGTAGAGTTACACCACCGTAAGGGTGGGAAAAAGCTTCAGGGCTCCACACCCTTGTCTTCCTCCAGACAATGCAGCATAGTTTCCTTCCAGCCTGCCCTTGGCACACTCCCGTCGAAGGCTCTCCACTTAACCAGACACATTGATCATCAGAATGCCAAAACCTGTTTTGTTTAAGGAGAGCGCTCCTCACTTGGGGCTGGCACTTAAGACAGGATGTCAATTCGTTTAGGGAAATTTAGACATGGGCATCCACCTAAAGTCTGCACTATGTGACCCAGCTTCCTTCTGTGATCTACACACGGTTTGTTCTGAACATTCACCATTCTACTCAAGGCAGCTCCTCTGCAGCACAGACACATGTTCAACATGAACATTTTATACTCAAATATGGTATCTAATTTACAAATGCCACAGATGTATATTTTATAACCAAATATGCCATCTAATGTATACCAAAACCATACATTTTATAATCAAATACAGTAGCTATTTAACAGACACAAGAGATATGTATTTTATAATCACATAAAGTATCTGTTTAGCTCATACCAGAGATATACATTGTATCATCAAATGTAGTAACTATTTAATACATTACTGGAAATATGCATCTTATAATGAAATGGAATAGCTATTTAGCACATACAGAGATATATATTTTAAAATCAAAGAGAGTATCTGTTAGCACATACCAGAGATATGTATTTTATAATCAGAGTATCTGTCTAACATGTACCAGATATATGTATTTTTTAATCAAATGTAGTACCTGTTTAACACATGCCAGAGATATATATTTTATAATCAAATAAGCACATACTGGAGATATGAATTTTATAATAAAGTATCTGTTTAGCATATATCTAATAAAGTTTCACATAAATCAGAGATCATACATATATTCAGGATGAATAAATCACATATTTTATAAATATATTATATATTTATTAATAACGAGTACACACAAAGTGCTTTAACATTCATTCATTCATTCATTCACCCACTCACTTTTAGGGCCCAGGACATGGACATAGAGTAGTTTTTCTCCGTGTCCCTATTATGCCAGCTCAAGGAATTGATGATCTCACAACAAAAGAACCGTGTTTTAAGAACTCCTTGGCTAATAGAATCGAGGCAGTGTCTCTGTTCTGATCTCATCTGTCCTTATGATTGTCTTTTCTTGAGCTTTCCTGACCTTTGGAATTCTTTCTTTTCTCTCTAGTGCAAAACATAACAGGCTTCAGGTAATATGAGAACGTATGCTTTGATACAGCAGAAGGTAATGGGTTTAAAGTAGAAAATTCAACATATTTGGGCACTGTCATTTGAAATACTTAATGAAATGTTGAATTGACAAGTATAATTACTTTGCCACTTAATAAATTGGAATATTTTTCCTCGATGTCCCTATTACACCAGTCTTTCACTTGCAAATTAAGAACCTTTCTGTCTTAGAAGGGGAAGCAAGTGGTAGAGGCTCCAGGTTCTCTTCCAATATACACTTCTTCTTCCTTAGTAAAGGAATCCCAATTTTTATCTGGACCTATGGCTGTACAGCTAGGTTATATATCCCAGCTTCCCTTGGAGTTAGGTGTGGCCATTTATTTCACTGTCGGGCAATGACAGGTGAGCTGAATAACTGTGGGACTTACAGTACAAGGAAGGTTGTATACTTTTCCATTTTTCCTGTTACCCAAAACTTAGATACGATTACTGGAGCTCCAGCAGCTATTGTTCATCATGAGGTCAAGGATCACACCCTGAAGATGGCCAAATAGTGAGCTGGAAATACCAAAGTCCTAAATGATTTGAGGAGTCTACCTTACCAGCCGGCCCTCTATATTCCTGTTACCAGACAAAAGTAGTAAAACTTTTGTTATTATTGTATACAACAGAATTCAATCCTATCTGCTGTAGGGGTTCTTACTTCCAATTTTCCACGTGAGGAAATTGAGATACAGAGATGTCAATCTACTTCACTCAAGTCACCAAACTTGGAAGGGGGCAACTTCCCCAGGATGGTCCTTAATATTTCTATTTTTCCTATCCCTGTTGCTCCATTTTGCCCTTTAGTTCTTTTCAATGCATTTTAATTGCCCTTTAGTTCTTTTCAATTTTCAAACAATGCATTCCTCGTGTTATTCCGGTCCAGCCCCAGTGCCACATCATGGGTGTGTGACAGGAAGACTAGCAATGTTTAAAAGGGCATGAGTGAGGAATCAGAGTTTCTAGTGAACTTACCATGATGTGATTGAGTACTTTGGACAGGAAGAGAGTGACAGCCACAATTAAACAGCAGGAAATGCACAGGCCCAGAACTATGAGGAAGATGGAAAGTGACCCACCCAAGCCCCTTGACCCTGGACAATGTCCCAGGACAGTGTCTTGCTGATCATGTGACTGTGCATAGGAGGCACATCATAATTACTTGTAGAGTTGAACCTTATATCTTCAGACAGCATTCAGTTTTCTTCTGTTGTTTAATGGAGTCTGCAATAAAGGGGCCTCGTGCACATGACCAACAGAGAGCCACAGAAGCCTTGCATTGTTTATAACAC
Source organism: Homo sapiens (assembly GCF_000001405.40). Taxonomy (NCBI): domain Eukaryota; kingdom Metazoa; phylum Chordata; class Mammalia; order Primates; family Hominidae; genus Homo; species Homo sapiens. Next base: position 14,089,461 of record NC_000024.10, read on the forward strand.
CAGAAAGGGACAATTTGCAAGTCCTGTTCTCTGTTTAACACTAATTCTTCTTAAGTCTGATCACCTCCCACAGTCTAATAGGGTTTTTATGATGAGTTATTTCTTTCCTTTCCATTTTTCAGGAAAGTGTGAATGTTGCTTTAAATGCAGTGTTTTTCTGTGGGTATAAACTTTTTATGTGATTTAAATTACATAAAAATTTCAGTCGTGCTGAAGACACCTCTCATATTCTAGACTTTGGTGTTTTCGTAGAGCTCAGGTTTTCATCTGTTTGTTGTCTTCGGTTGTTTCACCGAAGTGAGGAAGGTGGAGGTGGCTGAAGGGGAAAAGGGACTTAATGTTACTTATATTTGTGGCACTGAGTCAGGAAAGGCCGAGAAAATGGAACTAAGCCAATGGGGGTGAAGTCTACTCTCTGCTTGTGACTTGTTAAATACACAGACCTTATTTCTAAATTGTTTCTCCTTGTTTCTAAATTGCAGATATTAGTGGATTTTATTAAGGTATATTTATGGATCCAATATGTGCATTAAAATTTATTTATCAATCACTTAGAAGCATCATACCTTAATAAGACTTAAGATTAACTTCAACCATGGCAAATACCAGTATGAGTCCTTTTGAAACCCTCTACCAGTACTTTAAAATGACGTGATGTCTTTGAAAATTTTTTTATTTTTATTTTTTTAACCGGGGCAATATGGCAAAAACCCATTTCTACAAAAATTACGGAAGTATGGTGGCATGTACCTGCAGTCCCAGCTGCTTGGGAAGCTGAGGTGGGAGGATTACCTGAGTTTGGGGAGGTTGTGGTTGCAGTGAGCTATCATTACACCACTACACTCTGGCCTGGGCAACAGAGGGAAACCCAGAAAAAAAGAAAATTGCTTTTTAAAAACATATTATTTTAAAAGTTCCTGTAGTTTTCTGTGGCTTCACCTTATGACTATTTTAGCACCTTACTTATAGTACATATTCATTAATAAATGTATCAGTGAATAAATGGAAATAAATTGAAGTTTAGTCCTAGATTTTTCACTAATAATTTTTCTTTACTAAATATGAACTCTTTCCAATGGTAGAATAAGCCCCAGGAATGTTTACATATTTAGGCCATGTTTTCACAGATTCTTGTCAATTTGGAATAAAAATGAGAATTTTCAAGAGGAATTATTAACTCATTTGTTTTAAGAGAGAGAATTAGCGTTGGCAGGTGACTAAAATACCAGAATAGAATCATCTCCAGAACTGACAGATGCAGATCAGAAGAAAAGCTGTAGGATTTCGCATTGTTTCTTTTCATTTGAGTTGGAATTCAAGTAATATTTTGACTCTGTAGTATTACAAGATTGTTTCTTGGCTTTTTGGCTAAGATTAAGTGTATGCTATAACAGGAACATGAAAATGCAACATTGTATTACCCTAGTCCATGTGGATTTTGCATTCTGGGTCATTTTTCCTTTCATTATTGATACTTCTGTCAGAAAGAGAATTGTGGAATACTCCATGTAACTGTGCTTTTATATGAGATTGATACTGTGGTCCTTAGGCTCCTATTTCCTCATGGCTTAGACTTTTTATATGGAAATGCAGCTCTGTCACTGTCATAGCACACAGTGGTAGCTGGCCTTGCCACCAGCTAGATTTGGCTTGATGGAAACCTGAATATCAATTTCTAGTTATTATGAAATAGACACTCTTATTCTTCAGTGACTTTTAAGAATTTTTTTTGAATTATCTGTTTAATTTTTGAAACATGTTAGTCTTCCAGGGACTATTTTCTATATGGTGTTCATAGGTGATCATATGCTAAATAACCCTTTAGAGCCTTCTCAAAATTAGATATTTGGAGTCATCATTTTTAATCATCCTTCTGCAAAAACTAAGAAGCAATCCACCAAGAATCAATACTTAGTAGAGGTTAGTATGTCAGGTTTCTCAATCTTTCTTGTAGATTGTATTTTTACTTGTGTTTCTTTGATTTAAATATCTCATCTGTCTCTTCTCTACACCATAAGTGGGAGATTCTCACCTGTGTCCAAGGAGGTGGGTGTCTCTTTGTCTCTTTCTCTTCTACTCTAGGAATTGTTAATCAAGACTATTGTCAGGTGTGGCTACCTGTAGGCTATCTCATGAAAAAAAGGGAGATATGTTTGCAAATATGAAATTATTGTTCAAATCACATTTACTTCTCTCTCACCCCTGATAAATCAATGCTAATTTGCCCTGCCCCATAGAGCATCCCTGAATTTTACAGTGTGTGAGAAAAAACTTGAAGTGAAAAGACAACTCTATCCCTTTTTCCTGTATATTCTATAGCAGTAGTATTCTCTGTAAAGTATCAGATAGTAAGTACTTTCATCATTGTCTCTGTCAGCACACCTACTCAGCTGCACCATTGTAGAGGGAAGCAGCAGCAGGCAGTATCTCAACAAAAGGTCCTGGCCATGTGCCAGTAAAACTTTATTTACAGAAGCAGATGGTGTGCCATAGTTTACCTCCCTATAGCAAGGAAAACTGCAAGCCTCAGTTTCCTCTTCTGTAACATGAGGGAACTGAATATAGGAGCATGACCTTTCTGCCTTATAGGGTTCTTGTAAACAGCATATTCAATTATACATGCAAAATCACTTTTAAATTATTACGCCCTGTGCCATCGTATTTATAATAATTATAGATAGCAACATCTTATTCATTCTTCCAGCAAAGTATTTTTTATTTACTTGTTTTTTTGAGAAAAATATACCTTAAGAAAATGGAGCACTTCATTGAAGTTCTATCAGAAACATAATCCCAGCATCTATCACACATCCAGACAAACACTGAACACTCAGGGAAAGTTTGAAGAATGAATAAACTGGCCCTTCCAGTAGAGGTTAACCCATCAGGTCCTTTGTTTTAAGTTGCTCACTCACATTATATAATAGCAGTTGCTTGAATTCACAAAACATGTTCTCAAGAGGTACTCCTAACGTATCGATATATAAAGCAAAGTTTAACAAGTACTGCCAGATGTTTAGCCTGTTTAGGTGTAACATGTGGACTTATCTCTTTAGAATTGATTCCATTAATTTTAGTTTTCAAAACTATACTTTCAGAGAACAATCACAGATGTCAACCACACAATTGGGCATGAGCTTTTTGTTGAGCTGTTGCTTATTTATGTGTCTTAGGACTCAAGCATTGACTTGAATGTGGAGCACACAGAGAATGTGGTCAAAGATTAGAGAAAAGAACAGTAGGTCTAGCAGTGGGACTCAGAGGTGGTCACTGTACGGCATCTAATGAGTATGATTTTGAAACCATCTTGCCCTGGAATTTTTATGTACTTGCCTTCCCTTTTTCTTTGAGGATGATGGCGCTATGTGATGAAAACTGACAAACACACAGGAAAACTCTAACAGGGTGGACTGGCAGTTACTTTTCTTTAGGACAATTCTGGGGCTGCAGAAGCTCATGGCAGTAGCTACCAGCATGTAAAATGCTGTCAATGAAGCAAGGAGTTGGGAATGTCTCACAGCCATATGTTGTGAACAGCCAGATAATTCACGGACAGAATTATTTGTGCAAGATTTTAAATTATCAGTAGAGCACAAGATACAAAATATTTCCACTTTTAATTTGAAGGTTGAAGAATATTTATTGTTTTGACGGTTGTTTCCAGAAACTTTGCTGGAATCTGCATGCCTGAATAAATGTGTGGTTGTCCTGAGTGATTCAGCTTACGAGAGCATAAATCAGGAGTAAGAGGTATCACAGGTGCATATCTGAGCAGTGGTCATCAAGGATTGTGAAGGAGCTGGTATCATTAAAATTTAATCAGGTCATTTAATAAACTGCTGTGTATTTTCCTAGTCATTTTTCCAATCAGAACAAGCTAACAAGATTGAATATAATTTAGAAGAAGGGTTTTTGATTCTTTGAGACTGCAATCATTAACTCCAGAGTAAATTAGAACACTCTTCAATTTAATGAGCCAGATTGCCCTTCTTTTTATTAAGTTAAATAAATCAGAAGAGCTGTTACTTAAGCTTGTATATCTTTTAATATTTTCTGTTGAAACTTACATGAATTTTTAAATCATTGATGACAGCTTCTGTTGACAATATGAAATAATTTTGGAAGCGGTCTTTTTCCTTTTGGTTATTATCCTATTCCAGAATTTGATATTTATACCTAAGGCAATCAGGAAAAAAAAAAAGAAAGTTCTGAAACAGAATCAGATATTTTGGGGTCTATTTTTTGCAAAACACCCTCTTTAAGATTATACCTTTATATAACCAGCTATATTTTATGTATATACCTAGGGGTACATATATAAACACACATATATACAAATATATATATATACATGCATATACACATATGAATAATATGTGTAATATAACACACATAAGACATAGTATATCATAATCTTTATATTCTTTTAAAAACAATGACAATATGCAAATTATCCTTTTTTTTTTTTTTTTTTTTTCAGGTGGAGTCTTGCTCTGTTGCCCAGGCTGGAGTGAAGTGGCTGGATCGAAGTGGCTGGATCTTGGCTCACTGCAATGTCCACTTACCAGGTTCAAACGATTCTCCTATCTCAGCCTCCCTACTAGCTGGGATTGCAGGCACATACCACTACACCCGGCTAGTTTTTTGTATTTTTGGTATAGTTGGGGTTTCTCAATGTTGTCCAGGCTGGTGTCAAACTCCTGGTCTCAAGTGATCCTCCCTCCTCAGCCTCTCAAAGTTCTGGGACTATAGGCCTCAGCCACCACACCTGGCTCAGAGCAATTTTATTCTATTTTATTTATTTATTTATTTTATTTTATTTTATTATTATTATACTTTAAGTTTTAGGGTACATGTCCACAATGTGCAGGTTAGTTACATATGTATAAATGTGCCATGCTGGTGTGCTGCACCTATTAACTCGTCATTTAGCATTAGGTGTATCTCCTAATGCTATCCCTCCCCGCTCCCCCCACCCTACAACAGTCTCCAGAGTGTGATGTTCCCCTTCCTGTGTCCACGTGTTCTCATTGTTCAATTCCCACCTATGAGTGAGAACATGTGGTGTTTGGTTTTTTGTCCTTACAATAGTTTACTGAGAATGATGATTTCCAATTTCTTCCATGTCCCTGCAAAGGACATGAACTCATCATTTTTTATGGCTGCATAGTATTCCATGGTGTATATGTGCCACATTTTCTTAATCCAGTCTATCATTGTTGGACATTTGGGTTGCTTCCAAGTCTTTGCTATTGTGAATAGTGTCGCAATAAACATACGTGTGCATGTGTCTTTATAGCAGCATGATTTATAGTCCTTTGGGTATATACCCAGTAATGGGATGGCTGGGTCAAATGGTATTTTTAGTTTGAGATCCCTGAGGAATCGCCACAATGACTTCCACAATGGTTGAACTAGTTTACAGTCCCACCAACAGTGTAAAAGTGTTCCTATTTCTCCACATCCTCTCCAGCACCTGTTGTTTCCTGACTTTTTAATGATTGCCTTTCTAACTGGTGTGAGATGATATCTCATTGTGGTTTTGATTTGCATTTCTCTGATGGCCAGTGATGATGAACATTTTTTCATGTGTTTTTTGGCTGCATAAATGTGTTCTTTTGAGAAGTGTCTGTTCATGTCCTTCGCCCACTTTTTGATGGGGTTGTTTGTTTTTTTCTTGTAAATTTGTTTGAGTTCATTGTAGATTCTAGATATTAGCCCTTTGTCAGATGAGTAGGTTGCGAAAATTTTCTCCCATTTTGTAGGTTGCCTGTTCACTCTGATGGTAGTTTCTTTTGCTGTGCAGAAGCTCTTTAGTTTAATTAGATCCCATTTGTCAATTTTGTCTTTTGTTGCCATTGCTTTTGGTGTTTTAGACATGAAGTCCTTGCCCATGCCTATGTCCTGAATGGTAATGCCTAGTTTTTCTTCTATGGTTTTTATGGTTTTAGGTCTAATGTTTAAGTCTTTAATCCATCTTGAATTGATTTTTGTATAAGGTGTAAGGAAGGGATCCAGTTTCAGCTTTCTACATATGGCTAGCCAGTTCTCCCAGAACCATTTATTAAATAGGGAATCCTTTCCCCACGGCTTGTTTTTCTCAGGTTCATCAAAGATCAGATAGTTGTAGATATGCGGCGTTATTTCTGAGGGCTCTGTTCTGTTCCATTGATCTATATCTCTGTTTTGGTACCAGTACCATGCTGTTTTGGTTACAGTAGCCTTGTAGTATAGTTTGAAGTCAGGTAGCATGATGCCTCCAGCTTTGTTCTCTTGGCTTAGGATTGACTTGGTGATGTGGGCTCTTCTTTTGATTCCATATGAATTTTAAAGTAGTTTTTTCCAATTCTGTGAAGAAAGTAATCGGTAGCTTGGTGGAGATGGCATTGAATCTATAAATTACGTTGGGAAGTATGGCCATTTTCATGATATTGATTCTTCCTACCCATGAGCATGGAATGTTCTTCCATTTCTTTGTATCATCTTTTATTTCATTGAGCAGTGGTTTGTAGTTCTCCTTGAAGAGGTCCTTCATGTCCCTTCTAGGTTGGATTCCTAGGTATTTTATTCTCTTTGAAGCAATTGTGAAAGGGAGTTCACTGATGATTTGGCTCTGTGTTTGTCTATTATTGGTGTATAAGAATGCTTGTGATTTTTGTTTATTGATTTTGTATCCTGAGACTTTGCTGAAGTTGCTTATCAGCTTAAGGAGATTTTGGGCTGAGACAATGGGGTTTTCTAGATATGCAATCATGTCCTTTGCAAACAGGGACAATTTGACTTCCTCTTTTCCTAATTGAATACCCTTTATTTCCTTCTCCTGCCTAATTGCCCTGACCAGAACTTCCAACCCTATGTTGAATAGGAGTGGTGAGAGAGGGCATCCCTGTCTTGTGCCAGTTTTCAAAGGGAATGCTTCCAGTTTTTGCCCATTCAGTATGATATTGGCTGTGGCTTTGTCATAGATAGCTCTTATTATTTTGAGATACGTCACATCAATACCTAATTTATTGAGAGTTTTTAACATGAATCGTTGTTGAATTTTGTCAAAGGCCTTTTCTGCATCTATTGAGATAATCATGTGGTTTTTGTCTTTAGTTCTGTTTATATGCTGGATTACATTTATTGATTTGCATATATTGAACCAGCCTTGCATCTCACGGATGGAGCCCACTTGATTATTGTGGATAAGCTTTTTGATGTGCTGCTGGATTTGGTTTGCCAGTGTTTTATTGAGGATATTTGCATCAATGTTCATCAAGGATATTGGTCTACAATTCTCTTTTTTTGTTGTGTCTCTGCCTGGCTTTGGTATCAGGATGATGGTGGCCTCATAAAATGAGTTAGGGAGGATTCCCTCTTTTTCTATTGATTGGAATAGTTTCAGAAGGAATGGTACTAATTCCTCCTTGTATCTCTGGTAGAATTCTGCTGTGAATCCATCCGGTCCAGGATTCTTTTTGGTTGCTAAGCTGTTGATTATTGCCAAAATTTCAGAGCCTGTTATTCGTCTATTCAGAGATTGAACTTCTTCCTGGTTTAGTCTTGGGAGGGTGTATGTGTTGAGGAATTTATCAATTTCTTCTAGATTTTCTAGTTAATTTGCATAGAGGTGTTTGTAGTATTCTCTGATGGTAGTTTGTATTTCTGTGGGATCAGTGGTCATATCCTCTTTATCATTTTTTATTGTGTCTATTTGATTCTTCTCTCTTTTCTTCTTTATTAGTCTTGCTAGCAGTCTATCAATTCTGTTGATCCTTCCAAAAAACCAGCTCCTGGATTCATTATTTTTTTTGAAGAAATTTTGTGTCTCCATTTCCTTCAGTTCTGCTCTGATGTTAGATATTTCTTGCCTTCTGCTAGCTTTTGAATGTGTTTGCTCTTGCTTTTGTAGTTCTTTTAATTGTGATGTTAGGTTGTCACTTTTGGATCTTTCCTGCTTTCTTTTGTGGGCATTTAGTGCTATAAATGTCCCTCTACACACTGCTTTGAATGTGTCCCAGAGATTCTGGTATGTTGTGTCTTTCTTCTGGTTGGTTTCAAAGAACATCTTTATTTCTGCCTTCATTTCGTTATGTACCCAGTAGTCATTCAGGAGCAGGTTGTTCAGTTTCCATGTAGTTGAGCGGTTTTGAGTGAGTTTCTTAATCCTGAGTTCTAGTTTGATTGCACTGTGGTCTGAGAGACAGTTTGTTATAATTTTTGATCTTTTACATTTGCTGAGGAGTGCTTTACTTCCAAGTATGTGGTCAATTTTGGAATAGGTGTGGTGTGGTGCTGAAAAAACTGTATGTTCTGTTGATTTGCAGTGGAGAGTTCTGTAGATGTCTATTAGGTCCACTTGGTGCAGAGCTGAGTTCAATTCCTGGGTATCCTTGTTGACTTTCTGTCTCCTTGATCTGTCTAATGTTGACAGTGGGGTGTTAAAGTCTCCCATTATCATTGTGTGGGAGTCTAAGTCTCTTTGTAGGTCACTCAGGGCTAGCCTTATTAATCTGGACTCCTGTATTGAGTACATATATATTTAGGATAGTTAGCTCTTTTTGTTGAATTGATCCCTTTTCCATTATGTAACGGCCTTCTTTGCCTCTTTTGATCTTTGTTGGTTTAAAGTCTGTTTTATCAGAGACTAGGATTACAACCCCTGCCTTTTTTTGTTTTCCATTTGCTTGGTAGATCTTCCTCCATCCTTTTATTTTAAGCCTATGTGTGTCTCTGCACGTGAGATGGGTTTCCTGAATGCAGCACACTGATGGGTGTTGACTCTTTATCCAATTTTCCAGTCTGTGTCTTTTAATTGGAGCATTTAGTCCATTTACATTTAAAGTTAATATTGTTATGTGTGAATTTGATCCTGTCATTATGATGTTAGCTGGTTATTTTGCTTGTTAGTTGATGCAGTTTCTTCCTAGCCTCGATGGTCTTTACATTTTGGCATGATTTTGCAGTGGCTGGTACCGGTTGTTCCTTTCCATGTTTAGTGCTTCCTTCAGCAGCTCTTTTAGGGCAGGCCTGGTGGTGACAAAATCTCTCAGCATTTGCTTCTCTGTAAAATATTTTATTTCTCCTTCACTTATGAAGCTTAGTTTGGCTGGATATGAAATTCTAGGTTAAAAATTCTTTTCTTTAAGAATGTTGAATATTGGCCCCCACTCTCTTCTGGCTTGTAGAGTTTCTACCGAGAGATGCACTGTTAGTCTGATGGGTTTCTCTTTGTGGGTATCCCAACCTTTCTCTCTGACTGCCCTTAATATTTTTTCCTTCATTTCAACTTTGGTGAATCTGACAATTATGTGCCTTGGAGTTTCTCTTCTCGTGGAGTATCTTTGTGATGTTCTCTGTATTTTCTGAATCTGAATGTTGGCCTGCCTTGCTAGTTTGGGGAAGTTCTCCTGGATAATATCCTGCATAGTGTTTTCCAACTTGGTTCCATTCTCCCCGTCACTTTCCAGTACACCAATCAGAGGTAGATTTGGTCTTTTCACATAGTCCCATATTTCTTGAAGGCTTTGTTCATTTCTTTTTATTCTTTTTTCTCTAAACTTCTGTTCTCGCTTCATTTCATTCATTTCATGTTCCATCACTGATACCCTTTCTTCCAGTTGATCACATTGGCTCCTGAGGCTTCTGCATTCTTCATGTCATTCTCGAGCCTTAGCTTTCAGCTCCATCAACTCCTTTAAGTACTTCTCTGTATTGGTTATTCTAGTTATACATTTGTCTAAATTTTTTTCAAAGTTTTCAGCTTCTTTGCCTGTGGTTTGAATTTCCTCCTGTAGCTCAGAGAAGTTTGATCGTCTGAAGGCTTCTTCTCTCAGTTCATCGAAGTCAGTCTCTGTCTACCTTTGTTCCATTGCTAGTGAGGAGCTGCATTCCTTTGCAGGAGGAGAGGCATGCGGCTTTTTAGAGTTTCCAGTTTTTCTGCTCTGTTTTTTCCCCATCTTTGTGGTTTTATCTACTTTTCATCTTTGATGATGGTGATATACAGATGCGTTTTTGGTGTGGATGTCCTTCCTGAAAATGTACCAAACATTAGAACACATAGGTGGCTATAACATGCAACTGAAAACATAGTATAAAACCCCAAACCAATGCATGCAACCAAAAACATAGTACAAAATCACAAACCACTGCAAATCCATTCATGTATTCAGTTTTTAGTGTGTGAGGAGGGCTTTACAAAGACTGTCAGCTACAAACAACTTAATGGTGAAATGTAAGGAATGATATTGTGGTAAGCCATGTGATCTCCTTCAGCTCCTTCTCTCAGTTTCTGAGTGTTAAGGATGTTGTATTTGAAAGCAGACACTCCTGCTCTTTTACCACACACGAATTCTAGTTAAGCACCTGGTTCCCAGTTGGGAGAAAAATGATGACAATCTCCTCTGTTTTAAAGACACATGTCAAAGCTACATATCTGTGAATGACAACCTAATCAAAGCCCCTTCTGTTTCCTAATTTTTAAATGCTTACTTTAGGAGGAAAGATCTTGGTACTCTAAAATAAGCACAACATGCTGACCTACACTGAGATATTTTAAGGTTAAGACATCAATAGAAATATAATTGTAAATCCTAGTGGGCTTTTCTACCAGTTGTTAAGCAGGTATTCATATTCTGTTCATCTTTGAAAATATGTGGTTAGGTGGGCTGACTTTCCTGTCCACCACTCCTGTGGTCAGAAATTCACATATAGCTTTTGACTCCCCCAGAACTTACTACTAAGAGCCTACCGTTGACTGGAAGACATACCAATAAGAATACAACAGTCCATTAGGACATATTTTGTATGTTATGTAAATTATACACTGTATTCTCACAGTCAAGTAAGCTACAGAAAAGAAAATACTATTAAGAAAATCATAAGGAAGATAAAATATATTCACTGTTTATTTAGTGAAAGTGGATCATCATAAGGATTTTTGTCCTCATCTTCACATTGACTATGCTGAGGAGGTGGAGGAAGAGGAGGGTTGGTCTTGCTGTCTCAGGGGTGGCAGAGACAGAAGACATAGAGGAAGTCTAAGGGAAGGCAGGAGAGGCAGGTCACATGGTGTACTTTTACTAAATAAATCCACATGGACCCTCATAGTTCAAACCCGTTTTGTTCAAGGGTGAAGTGTACACTGACTCTAAGTAGGGTCCTTTAGCAGCAGGTAATAGACCCTGGCTGTGTTAAGTCATACAGAGCAGGTACTGGAAGCATATGATGTGAACATTTCCTACTATTGGCAGCTGGTAGGAGAACAGGCTTCTAAAACTCAGCTATTTGGCAACAGGTTGGCCATCCTAGGTCACTGTGGTTGCCACTGTTTCTAAGGTGACATTGACTTTCCTCAACCATTCTCTGTCCCATGGTGGCTTCCTTTTCAGGCACAGGTCAGGTGATCAGAGTCCATTTTCCAGTGGCATGACACACACCTTAGGTCCTCAGGGATATGTGCCCTTGCTTGTGCCACATAAAGTTGCAATGGTTTCCTTAACTATTCCACTAGTGCTGGAATAATCACCATGATTATAAGTCCTCCCCAACCATGTGAAACAGTGAGCTTATTAAACCTCTTTCTTTTTTAAATTTCCCAGTCTCAGGCATGCCTTTTTCAGCAGTATTGAAATGGATACACAAACGTTTGTTCCTCCAGTCCTGATCAAAGTCTTTAACCATGGGTTGTCTATTTCTCAAATTGTTCCTCTCCTATCCTGTGGCACAGATTAGCCTGAGAGCCTGGTTCCTTCAGTTCTAGAGCTACGGGGGCACAGCTAAGTCATGGAAACACCCATGCTTCATGTTAAGATCATGCCACACATTCTCCATGGCACCTAAATGGTGGCCCTCCATTTTCCATGTTCCTCAATTTACCCAAAGAACCTATCCTCTTCAGTTTTTCAAGGACATTGACTATTCACCAAAATTATTCCTTATCACTTTCTTAATGACATTGTCTAATTCCAATAAAGTGTCTCATTTCCTTGCACTAAGTAATAATTCACATATTAAAAATAAACACAAATACTACAGAGTAATAATAAAATCAAAAGTCTTGATAGATTTTCTAAAAAGAATTTGATTAGAAACTTCCAACAATAACTGTCTGAAACCTGTTTTGCATTATAAACTTTTCAGCATTTTATTCAAAGCAATTTTCTTTAATTAAAAACTTAACAGTGTAATCAAAAACACCTTGATACAAAAATTCAATTTTCCTCTTACTTGGGGGGAGAAAGGGGCTTGTTTCAGTCTCATCAGGTTTGCCAGGGACAATCAGAATAAAAACTCTGAAATTTAAGCTGTAGGATATTGCTCTACAGGTAAATATACACTATTTTTATAATCTAGGTTTTCTTATCACAGATACAATTACCAATAACATGAAAATCAGTAGGAAAAATTTAAACTTCAGAAATTACCTCCACCTATACACTAGATTAGGGTTTCTCAGCCTTGGTACTGCTGACAGTTGGGGCCATGACTTCTTAGTTTTTGGGGGCAGTCCAGTGCATTCCAAGACATTTAAAATCATTTCTGGCCTCTACCCACCAGACACCAGCAGCACCACTCAGACGTGATAACCAAAAATGTCTGGGTATAATATCTTTCCATATGGATAACTACTAGACTAGATTAAGGGAATCTGTTTTATGTCAATTATACATTTGGGTACTTAAGTTTTTCTCCACTATTTTAATATATTTCATTACCTCCATCTTTCTAAGCAAATAAGAGATTTAACTTAATATTGCAGATTAGAGCCAAGATGGCTGAATAGGAACAGCTCCGGTCTACAGTGTGAGTGACGCAGAAGACGGGTGATTTCTGCACTTCCATCTGAGGTACCGGGTTCATCTCATTAGGGAGTGCCAGACAGTGGGAGCAGGACAGTGGGTGCAGTGCACCATGCTTGAGCCGAAGCAGGGTGAGGAACTGCCTCACTCAGGAAGCACAAGGGGTCAGGAAGTTCCCTTTCTACTGCACTTTTCCAACGGGCTTAAAAAACGGCACACCAGGAGATTATATCCCACAACTGGCTCAGAGGGTCTTATGCCCATGGAGTATCGCTGATTGCTAGCACAGCAGTCTGAGATCAAACTGCAAGGCAGCAGCGAGGCTGGGGGAGAGGCACCCACCATTGCCCAGGCTTGCTTAGGTAAACAAAGCAGCCAGGAAGCTCGAACTGGTTGGAGCCCACCACAGCTCAAGGAAGCCTGCCTGCCTCTGTAGGCTCCACCTCTGGGGGCAGGGCATGGACAAACAAAAAGACAGCTGTAACCTCTGCAGACTTAAATGTCCCTGTCTGACAGCTTTGAAGAGAGCAGTGGTTCTCCCAGCATGCAGCTGGAGATCTGAGAATGGGCAGAATGCCTTCTCAAGTGGGTCCCTGACCCCTGATCCCCGAGCAGCCTAACTGGGAGGCACCCCCCAGTAGAGGCAGACTGACACCTCACACGGTTGGGTACTCCTCTGAGACAAAACTTCCAGAGGAACGATCAGACAGCAGCATTCACGGTTCACAAAAATCTGCTGTTCTGCAGCCACTGCTGCTGATACCCAGGCAAATAGGGTCAGGAGTGGACCTCTAGCAAACTCCAACAGACCTGCAGCTGAGGGTCCTATCTGTTAGAAGGAAAACTAACAAACAGGAAGGACATCCACACCAAAAACCCATCTGTACATCACCATGGTCAAAGGCCAAAAGTAGATAAAACCACAAAGATGGGGAAAAAACAGAGCAGAAAAACTGGAAACTCTAAAAAGCAGAGTGCCTCTCCTCCTGCAAAGGAACACAGCTCCTCACCAGCAATGGAACAAAGCTGGATGGAGAATGACTTTGATGAGTTGAGAGAAGAAGGCTTCAGACGATCAAACTACTCCAAGCTACAGGAGGAAATTCAAACCACAGGCAAATAAGTTGAAAACTTTGAAAAAAATTTAGACAAATATATAACTAGAATAACTAATACAGAGAAGTGCTTAAAGGAGCTGATGGAGCTGAAAGCTAAGGCTCGAGAACTACAGGAAGAATGCAGAAGCCTCAGGAGCCGATGTGATCAACTGGAAGAAAGGGTATCAGTGATGGAAGAGGAAATGAATGAAATGAAGTGAGAAGGGAAGTATAGAGAAAAAAAGAATAAAAAGAAACGAACAAAGCCTCCAAGAAATATGGGACTATGTGAAAAGACCAAATCTACGTCTGATTGGTGTACTGGAAAGTGATGGGGAGAATGGAACCAAGTTGGAAAACACTCTGCAGGATATTATCCAGGAGAACTTCCCCAATCTAGCAAGGCAGGCCAACATTCAGATTCAGGAAATACAGAGAATGCCACAAAGACACTCCTCGAGAAGAGAAACTCCAAGACACATAATTGTCAGATTCACCAAAGTTGAAATGAAGGAAAAAATGTTAAGGGCAGTCAGAGAGAAAGGTTGGGATACCCACAAAGGGAAGCCCATCAGACTAACAGCGGATCTCTCGGCAGAAACTACAAGCCAGAAGAGAGTGGGGGCCAATATTCAACATTCTTAAAGAAAATAATTTTCAACCCAGAATTTCATATCCAGCCAAACTAAGCTTCATAAGTGAAGGAGAAATAAAATCCTTTACAGAGAAGCAAATGCTGAGAGATTTTGTCACCACCAGGCCTGCCCTAAAAGAGTTCCTGAAGGAAGCACTAAACATGGAAAGGAACAACTGGTACCAGCTGCTGAAACATCCTGCCAAATTGTAAAGACCATCAAGGCTAGGAAGAAACTGCATCAACTAACAAGCAAAATAACCAGCTAACATCATAATGACAGGATCAAATTCACACATAACAATATTAACTTTAAATGTAAATGGACAAAATGCTCCAATTAAAAGACACAGACTGGAAAATTGGATATAGAGTCAAGACCCATCAGTGTGCTGCATTCAGGAAACCCATCTCACGTGCAGAGACACAGATAGGCTTAAAATAAAAGGATGGAGGAAGATCTACCAAGCAAATGGAAAACAAAAAAAGGCAGGTGTTGCAATCCTAGTCTCTGATAAAACAGACTTTAAACCAACAAAGATCAAAAGAGACAAAGAAGGCCGTTACATAATGGAAAAGGGATCAATTCAACAAGAAGAGCTAACTATCCTAAATATATATGTACCCAATACAGGAGCACCCAAATTAATAAGGCAAGCCCTGAGTGACTTACAAAGAGACTTAGACTCCCACACAATGATAATGGGAGACTTTAACACCCCACTGTCAACATTAGACAGATCAAGGAGACAGAAGGTTAACAAGGATACCCAGGAATTGAACTCAGCTCTGCACCAAGTGGACCTAATAGACATCTACAGAACTCTCCACTGCAAATCAACAGAATATACATTTTTTTCAGCACCACACCACACCTATTCCAAAATTGACCACATACTTGGAAGTAAATCTGTCCTCAGCAAATGTAAAAGATCAGAAATTATAACGAACTGTCTCTCACACCACAGTGCAATCAGACTAGAACTCAGGATTAAGAAACTCACTCAAAACCGCTCAACTACATGGAAACTGGACAAACTGCTCCTGAATGACTACTGGGTACATAATGAAATGAAGGCAGAAATAAAGATGTTCTTTGAAACTGAGAACAAAGACACAACATACCAGAATCTCTGGGACCCATCCAATCTTTCTGGAATATAACCTTTTTAATCAGGTAATCAAATACATATGTGCACATATTTACTTATATTTATATTACCTGTAATATTTTTGAGGTTTTTATTCCATTTATTTGTTAAAATTCTCATGGTACAATTAAATATTTCCACAGTCACCAATGGATCACATTCTGCAGTTTGAAAACATTCTAATGCAAACTTGAACAACACAGACACTGAAATTCTAAACTTGTGTTTAAAAGACTTTACAAAAAATATAGCATCTAAAAATAATTAGTACTGTATTTGAAATAATATCCTTTTCTTTCTCCTCTTAACTTTGTCTTAGATACATTTTTTAAAACTTTATGACTACTGAGTATCTCATAGAAATAATTTCTACTCTAAAGTATGATTTTTTTTTTCTATTTATATTGTGTTTAACTATGTGACATACGAGTGCTAGGGCTAAAAAACCATTAGTTTATATATTTCGCCTATATAAAGCCACTAAAATGGTGATAGTAATTTCATGATGAAATTTTTTAATCAACTGGTTATATAAACCAAAATGTATTCTTATTTTTTAGCCACATTGTGGACATTCAGATAAAGAAAATATACCTGTAAGTATGCAAAAACTTTATATCTAATGTAGGTCACCATCATGTTGCAAAAATAAACATAAAATCAATTGGCTAAACTTGTCCTTGAACATTTAGTATCCCGGACTAATAGTATGGAAATGTGCAATTTATTTTATTTTCATTTGTTGTTTTTATTTTACATACAATAATACACAATATCTTGTATTTTAAATTGTGTTTGACAATGTCTTCACTATCTGTCAGTGAAATATAATTAACTTACAGTGAAAAAAAGAATGCATATTGAGTTAGAATTTGCTGTCAACATTTTAAAATATTTAAAATATTTTAAATGTTTTAAAAATATATTAATTTAAAATATTTTAAACTTTTTGTGATTTAAAAATATTTAAATTTAAAATTTAAAATATTGCCAACATTTTAAATGTTTTAAAAATATTTAAATTTAAAATTTTTAAAAATGTTTTAAAGATCTTTCTACAATTTATATTCTATATTGATCTATCATATTTGCTTAGTTGCTACAATTCACTGGTTGGCCTCCATATCATCTTAAACAGTGCCATTAAATTATTGACTATAGCTGGGAAGATTGAGAGGGTACCAACTTAGTTTTAATTTACATTTTAAAATATCAGTGATTTGCAAAATATTTCTATGGATTAGAAAGATCAGAAAGAAGGTATTTAATCATTACTTTCTGGTCTATTCCATAAATATTTATTGTGAATTTGCTTTGTGCCAGGCAGAATTTGTACTGGATAGTTGATGTGTAGGTGTGAACAAATAAAGCAGGTTCATGACTTCATGGAATATTTGTTGTACTGGGTGAGAAAGCAGTAACAAGTAAATGAGTCAATAAACAAGGTTCAAAGTGGGAATTTCATTAAATTACAAAAATAAATACAATAGAATAGTCTATTGTGCTATAGACTGATGGGGAAGATAGCCTCATAAAAAGCAAAGCAGGATTAGTGCCACCCTCCCTCCCAATGGTATCCTTGCATTAATTCAAATAATGATTTTATTTCCTCAAGAGGTTTATTGCCATTTGCTGGGAAGTTACTCTATTTTTGCTATTGTAATGCACATCTTCAACGACTTTGATATGAATAACACCTGCTCAATCATAAGCAGCTACCTTTTTTCTTAATTTTTAAATAAGTTTTAGAAACAAGGCCTTGTTCTGTTACTGAAGCTGGAGTGCAGTGGCACTATGCAGTGAATGCATAGCTCATTGTAACCTTGAATTCCTGAGCTCAAGTGATTCTCCTGCCTCAACCTTCTGAGTGTCTGGGCTTAGAGGGACATGCCACTACACCCAGCTAATTTAATTTTTAATTTTTTTAACTTTTATTTTTTGTAGAGACATGGTCTTGCTGTGTTTCCCAGGTTGGTCTTGAACTCCTGGAAGAATTAAAGGGATCCTCCCACCTTGGCCTTCCAAAGTGCTGAGATTACAGACATGTGCCATGGCTTGGCTGCTGTTTTGAAGACATTGTTAGAGATATTAGCTCACAGTCATTTTGTCTTGTCTGGTAGTGGAGGTGCTATAGGGACTGATCTCTAGAAGATTTTCCTTTTGGATTAGTTTAATAAGCTTTTGGCACAAATAATGTAGAATCACAGATAATAAAATTCATAATAAATTTTAAATGTATTTTTTGATGTTGTTTGTGAGGATTGTTTGTAATACTCTGGGTGCCATATCAGAGAGATTGACACTATCCCCATACATTTCTTTTGTAGACAACACACCGCCCTTTTCTGTTTGTATTCAGTCAAAGCAGACTGCCCTTTTGAAAATGCTCATCTTTCAATGTGCATGATAGATTAATAAAATAGCTATACTCAAGAATAAAAAGAAGTTTCAATAAAATACCATTCAAAAACTTACAATCAAATGGCTAGGCTTATTCTGGGTCATAAAAAGTGGGAACATTCCCATTAAATCAGGGATAAGGCTTGAGTGCCTGACATCCCTGCTATTCCACACAACTGTTCTGCAAGACTTAGAAAATGGAGCAAAAAAGAAAAAGAAAAACTAATAAAATAAAAAATAGTGGAATCATTACTGTTAGTCCAAACTGCACCATTTTGTAAGTTCCTCGCTATTTTGCAAACCTTGCAAGAATGTGAGTCCAAACTGCACTTTTATGTAAAAGCTCCCCACTATGGTGCAGACCTTGGTTAAAGTGAAACATTTCACAGGGATTCTAAGCTTTGTAACAGCTTAGAACACACATCCTCACACCCTCTAGCAAATACCTCATTTTGCTTAATTCTCCAGTTTTCCCGCATATCCTGCCCTTTAAACTGCACCAATTAATTTACACTCTTTGAAGCCTAAAAGCTTGTGCACCACTAATTTTTTTCCCACAAGTATAAAAACATCATTTCCATTCTTGGAACATCCCATGGAAAAGTAATCAAAGCCAAACAACTGGTTTAACTACATGTATTGCATTTTTCCATTGACGAGGGATCTTGACATTCTGTAGAATTTTTGCAGTTTATGAACCACGAATCAGTCACAGTATCTAATATATTTCTTACTTACTTCTCTACAACCTTGCCTACAATGGCTATTATATGAATTTCTAACCCAGTAAACAAATAATGTGAAGAATTAATATTATTTGTGAAGTTCACTTATTCAAGGTCAATAAAATTCCATTTAGTATGCAGCTTAAGAACTCATGAAGATTTACATACGTTATCTAGTCACATCCATTATCTAGTCAAATAGAGAGTGAGCAGATTTATTTTTATTATATTTGTATTCACGTATTCAAGAAGTATTGAAGTTGCTAGGGTCTGCATGTGTTAAATAAGACGAACAAGGTTCTCATGGAGTTTACATTTTCTGAGTGGTGAGGGTAGGAAGATTTCAGAGGATATAAAATATGAGAAAAGGGAAAAAATCTTAATGGCAGAATTATAAGAAAAAATTCTAACATAGTGGTTCTCAAATGGGGCAGTGTCACTCCCTGGGGGATATTTGACAATGTCTGTAGTCATTTTTGGTTTTTATACCTGAAAGCAGACTACCACCAGCTTCCAGTGGGTAGTAGAGACCAGGGATGCTTCTAAGCATCCTCCAATTCACAGGTTAGCTCCCACCACAAAGAATTATCCAGAGACAAATGTCAGTAGTGCTGAAGGGGAGAAACTCTGCTTTCACACTTGACTTCCATAAATGATGTCTCTCTTTTTGTTTTTATTTTTATTTTTATTTTAAGTTCTTGTGTACATATACATGATGTGCAGGTTTGTTACACAGGCAATCATGTGCCATGGTGGTTTGCTGCACCTATCAACCCATCACCTAGGTATTAAGCCCCTCTCACGCATGCAATATAGATAGTATCACTGCTTTGTTATTTACACTATTCAACTTGAATTTAACAAATACTGTTCAAATGATTCCTTGAAAAGAATTATTTTTATTTTATGTTGCTTTCTAGATTTATAAATAAAAACAATATTTATAAGTTTAATTTAAAGAGGCTAAAATAAGCCACATTTTAAAATGTGTAGTTTAATACATCGACATTAAGTTCAAATCAGTAGTGTTTGCAGAAGCACTTTGAATGTAAAGTAAATATTAGTATTTCAACCAAGGAATGTGCATGCCAGTATGTTTTCTTTTTGTCTAGTTTTCTCTCTTTTTAAAATTTGGACTGGATCATCTCATCAAATTCCTGTCAAAATTAATATACATTGAATGATAACAACTGCATTTAGTATTGTGGTTGTTATTTGAATTGTTTTAATCATCCTAGGAAAGATTATTAAGAAGACTTTCTATTTTTGTAACAATATGAAACTGGTTTTAATTTGACTTAGTTTCATCTTTATAGAAATCATATAAAAAATGAGTGTTTCAATCTTTACCTAATTCATATGACTTAAGGAAGTTAAAAATAAGATAAAATAAAACAAAAACCTCTAAGATGAAACAAAATTTGATTTCCTCAAATATTTGATACTAAAATATGTCAAGGACAAAATTTGAAAGCACTTGTCAATTAAGATAAAATGTCAGTGGAGCTATTCCCATCATGAATATTTATAAGGGGAATGATAAAGAATCCACATGTATTTGAAATGCACTCACAACATGTTTTTTGAAGTACAAAGATACCAAATTGTTTAGCAAAACTCTGACATCCTTTTTTTTTGGTCATTGACAGAACAAGTCAGCATAAATAAATAAAAATGTAGAGAATTTGAGCAATGTGACCAATAATGTTGGTTAATAGATGCAAATTAATCAAAGTGCTCTTTTGGTTTTAGCAAGTGTATACATGTTGGTTCACCATAAAGGAACATGTTAGGCAATAAATGAAATATACTAAACTTAAAAAAATAATAAAAATTTTGAAAATATTCTTTCACCTGAACAAATGAAAATAAACACACAGGCATAATTTGATAATGTTATTGTAACAATAATGTTCCTGCTCCCACCAAAGCAGCAGCAAACTGACAACTGGGAAATTAGCCTCACTCACCCAAATAAGAGGACATTAAGCACCCTCAGAGAGGAAACACAGAGCCTATTAAACTTTGCCTCTCTCCTTCTTCCCTATCATACTACCCCCAGCCAGTTCCTTCAAAAACACTTATCTGAAATATCTTTTAAAATTTCTAGAGTAGTTTTAGGTTTACAGGTAAGTTGAACAGAAAATAGAGTTCCCTATACCTCCTGCCCTGACACATGCACAGTCACCCCAGCATTGCCACATTATTATCATCTAAAGTCCATACTTTAGATTAGGGTTCACTCTTGGTGTTGTACAATCTATGAGTCTTGACAAATGCATAATGGAATGCCTCCACTAACATTATAGGACCATACCAAAGAGTTTCATGGCCCTAAAAATCCTCTGTGCTCTAGCTATTGATCCCTTCCTCCCCACTAACCTTTGGCATGTATTGATCTTTTTACCACTGTCTCCATGGTTCTGTACCATGAAGTTTCATAGAGTTGGAATTTCATAGAGTTGGAATCACATTGTATGCAGCCTTTTCAGTATTGGCTTCTTCAGATCGGTTTATTTCACTGAGTAATATGCATTTGACATTTCTACATGACTTTTTATAACTTGATAGCTGATTATTTTAAAGCAGTGAATAATATTCTGCTTTCTGAATGTTCGGCAGCTTATTTATCCATTCATCTCCTGAAGGATATCTTGGTTGCTTTCAAGTTTGACAATGATGACTAAAGCCACTATAATCATCTGAATGCAGGATTTTGTGTAGACATGTTTTCAGTTCATTTGGATGAATACTTAGGAGTGTGGTTGCTGAATCTCATGGTTAGAGTATGCCTAGTTTTGTAAGAAGCTGTCAAACTTTCTTCTAAAGTGATCATACCATTCTGCATTTCCATGATCAATCGCTAAATAAGGGTTTTTGTTGCTTCACGTCCTTGTTAGCATTTGATGTTGAATTGTTTTGGATTTTCACCATTGTAGGTGTGTATGCTATCTTGTTGTTTTAATTTGCAACTCCTGAATGATATATGATGTTGAGCATCTTTTTATATACTTCTTTCATATAACATCTGTATCTCATCTTTGTTGAGGTATCTATTAAGGGCCTTTCTCCATTTTTTAAGAAAGTTGTCTATTTTCTTCTTGTTTAATTTCAAGACATTTTTAATATATTGTAGATAGCAGACCTTTATCAAGTATGTATTTTGCAAATATTTTCTTCCAGTCTGCTGTTTGTATTCTCGTTCTATCCATAATGTATTTTGCAGAGCAGAATTTTTTTAAATTTTTTCTTTTTTTCCTTTTTTTTTGCAGATGGGGTCTTACTCTCTCAGGCAGACTTGAGTGCAGTGTTATGATCTCAGCTCACTGCAACCTCCCCCTCCCTGGTTAAAGCGATTCTTCTGCCTCAGCCTCTCAAGTAGCTGGGAATAGAGGCACATGCCACCATGCCTGGCAAATTTTGGTATTTTAGTAGAATTGGGGTATCACCATATTGAGCAGGCTGGTCTCAAGCACCTGACATTGAGATCTGCCTGCCTTGGCCTCCAAAAGTGCTGGGATAACAGGTATAAGCCACTGCACCCGGCTGCAATTTTTTAATTTTAGTGAAGTCTCGTTCATCAATTTTTTCTTTAATGGGTCATGCCTTTGGTGTTGTATCTAAAAAGTCATAGTTAAACTCAAGTAGTTTAGATTTTCTCCAGTGTTATTTTCTAGGAGCTTGATAGTACCTAGGCCTGTGATCTGTTTTGAATTGATTTCTGGAAGAGTATAAGGTGTGTATCTAGATTTGCTTTTCACATGTGGATGATCAATTATTTGTTCCAGCTCCATTTGTTGAAAGACCATCTTTTCTCCATTGCATTGCCTTTGCTACTTTGTCAAAGATAATTTGTCTATGTTTATGGGGGTCAATTTCTAAAGATCTCTATATTGTTTTCTTCACTGATTTGTCTATTCTTTTGCCAATATCACACTGTCTTAATTGTAAAGCATTTTCTTACTCATGTATTTATTTATATTTTGACCATTTCTACAATCTTATCTATGTATTTTGTTCAGTGCATCAAAAAGTAAATATGCTTAAATAAATAATTATAGTTAA